>NC_000011.10:63919013-64222043 GCF_000001405.40 Homo sapiens | reverse complement strand
TGGTCTCACACTCCTGACCTCAAATAATCTGCCCGCCTCGGTCTCCCAAAGTGCAAGGATTACAGACGTGAACCACCGTGCCCCGCCTATTTGTTTTTTGTTTTGTTTTGTTTTTTGGAGGCAGAGTTTCGCTCTGTCACCCAGCGTGGAGTGCAGTGGCATGGTCTCAGTTCACTGCAACCTCTGCCTCCTGGGTTCAAGGGATTCTCCTGCCTCAGTCTCCTGAGTAGCTGGGACTACAGGTGCGTGCCACCACACCTGGCTAATTTTTGTATTTTTAGTAGAGACAGGGTTTCACTATGTTGGCCAGGCTGCTCTTGAACTCCTGACCTCGTGATCTGCCCGCCTCGGCCTCCCAAAGTGCTGAGATTACAGGTGTGAGCCACCATGCTTGGCCCAGCCTATTTATTTTTGAGACAGAGTCTCGCTTTGTCACCCAGGCTGGAGTGCAGTAGTGTGATCACGGCTCACTGCAGTCTTGACCTCCCAGGCTCAAGAGATCCTCCCACCTCAGCCTCCTGAGTAGCTGGACTACAGGTGACCACCACCATGCCCAGGTAATTTTTTACAATTTTTTGTAGAGACGAGGGACTTTCTGTGTTGCCCAGGCTGGTCTCAAACTCCTGGGTTCAAGTGATCCTCCTATCTCTGCCTCCCAAAGTGCTGAGATTACAGGCATGAGCCCCAGTACCTGGCGTGAGCTTTGTCTCTTATGTTTGTTGTGGAGGGACAGCATGAGGGGCACACATGGGGCCCTCAGTAAGGCCTGCTTACAAAGAACAAGGGAAGGGAGTCTTTGGGGTGCCTGTCCAGAACCTACTCTTGGGATGTGGGCACACAGCAGCCGGGTGGCAGGTGAGGGCAGAGACGGTGCTGGGCAGGGGGCTGGGCCAGGGGCCATACCTGACCATGACATAGGAGATGCCGAAGTCGGGCAGGGACTGCCAGGCCTGGATGAAGCGCAGCTGGGCCTCTGCCAGCGACAACTGGGCCACATTCTGGTGGGCTTCCAGGATCCGTGGGGTGAGCTGCGGGACCATACTGGTGACGGGCTGCCAGGCACTATTCCCCTCCTCCAGAGTCACCGAGCCCCCACCTCCCCATCAGGGTGACAGCATGTGAGCCTGGGAAGGGGCAGTGCCCACGTGGGGCCGCCAAGGTGCAGATCTGCACTGCGCCAGGCTGCAAGGTGGACATGGGCACCTGGACCGTGACTCCTCCCAAAGGGTGGGTACCAGCCGCACAATCTCAGGGACACAGTGGGAGAAGCCCAGTGAGTACGTAGCTTTCCTGAGGAAGGCTCTGTGGAGACCCAGGGGTCAGAGGTCTCTGGGTAAACACTATGCTCATTCCCACCCTGACGCCTTCTGGTACCTGCTTGGCCTTGAACTTTCGCTGGAAACGGGGGGCAACGAGGCCGTAGGGGTTGAGGCCCTCGGCAGAGGCATCAGGGCCGTGGGGGTGGTTGCCCGGGCCCCCACTGCCCGTGCGCTGCAGGCTGAGGAAGGCCAGGATGGCCTGCACCTCGCTGGTGTAGCTGCTGTCGGCCATGGTGCGGCCTTTGGAGGCCAGGCGGCAGCCAGCCATCCAGCGGGCATACTGCTGCTCCTGGGCGAGAGGGGTGAGGGGGACAGTGCTAACCAAGCTTGATGCTCCTCAGCCCCTGCCCCTGCCCCAGCTCCTGCCCGGCCCTGGCCCCTGCCCAGCCCTCACTCACATCCTGGCACCGCAGGTAGATCTCACTCATGCCCTCAGGGGAGGGCACTAGGAGTTTAATGCAGAACTTCTGGCCGGAGACGTTAACATCGGGAACCACCTCACAGCCTGGAGGGAGAGAAGGGGTGGTCTAGGAGGTCGGGAGGGGAAGAGCCGCCTGAGGTCCTGGAGTGCATCCTAGCCCACACCGTCACCTCAGGACAGAGGGCATCTTCCCCGGTCTCCAGGAGGAAACAGGGCCGGTGAGAGCATTCACCTGCCTAGCCCACAAGTGGGGATCCCCCCACCCAGCCCCTGGCCCTGTGCACTTACCCTTGAGGTTGAGCTGCTGAATGGGGTCCCCAGGGGCCTCGTCCTGGCTCTTGTAGTAGGACAGTGTGGTCTCCTTGAACACCACCCAGTGTTGGCGGTAGCCCTTCAGGGTCAGCTTCCGGGGCCTTCGTGGGATGCTGGGGTTTGTGAAAGGCCGCCTCACCCCCTCCCTCCATATGCAGACCAACCCCTCCAGCAGGGCTGCCTACTCTGGCCCCCAACTCACCGAAAGATTCGGAGATGGTCCTTGAGCTCTGGGATGGTGGTGAGGCTGTCCTATGGGAGGACCAGAGTCAGAGGGGCACCCGGTACCTCACAGTTCTCCCTGCCCAGCCCCTGCCCTGAGCCCCTCCTCACCAGCACATCTGTGGGCGCCGACCCCTCCAGCTTCACCTCCAGGTTGCTCAGGGCCACATCCAGGTCGTCCAGCCCTGGGTCTGTGCCAGCCGGCTCCCCCACCTCCCCGCTCTGGGACAGCTTGTTGATGTGGTACTAGGTGGTCATGAAGCCAGGGAGGGCTGAGTCCAGCAGCCTGGTCCCCTAGCAGTACCCCCAGGCCGGGCTTCCCTGGAGGTAGCCCCCACTCAGGAAGGCCCTTCCTGCCCTGGGACTGGCTCACCTCCCACCTGCCCTGGTGCCCCCAGGCCCGCCTGGTACCTGCAGGGCGGCAAACACCATCATCTCCTCCTCGGTGCAGTCAATCTCCTCCAGCAGCAGGTCCCACCGGGCCTGCTCATACAGCTGTGTCAGCCGCACGGGGTCTGTCTGGAGCGGGGGGAGAGGAGGCTGGAGGCTGGGCTGGTCAGATGCCAGCTGCCCTGGACGCCCTGCACTGAGCCCCTGCCAGCCTTGGCCCTCTGCCCTGCCCTCCTTGCTGAGGCAGATTCATTCAGTGGCCAGACATGGGCCACAGACCTCAACCCCATCCTTAATAGCCTGCTAGCCCCCTGCTGCCCAGGCCTGCACGTCTAAACCTTGGCTTGGTTGTGCTGATGTTTACTGTGTGCTGGCATGCTGCCCTGGGTGCAGGAGAGACCGAGTAAACCAATCAATAAGTCAAATAATCCAAGGCTGCAATAAACACTATCAAGGAAACAGTTTCCACAGGGAAGCTCACATGAGCCCTCAGTCTAAGGCCCCCCCAAGTTCAATGGAGATGACAGAATGGAACATGGGGAAGCAGTCAGGGAAGGCTTCCCTGAGGAGGTGACAAGCTGAGTAGAGATAGGAAGGATGACAGTGGGCCACTCAAGGGAAGCGTGAAGGAAGAGGATTCCAGAGAAAAGGAACTGGGAAGGCAGAGACTCCAAGAGGGGATCCCAGTTACCCACAGAAGACCAACAATCCCGCTGAAACTCACCCAAAATTGATAGCAAAGGTTTAGGAAGATAAACCCAAAAGGACAAAGGACAGGCCGGGGCGGTGGCTTGCGCCTGTAATCCCAGCACTTTGGGAGGCCAAGGCAGGCAGATAGCTTGAGCCCAGGAGTTTCAGACCAGCTTGGGCAACATGGTGAAACCCTATCTCTACTAAAAATACAAAAAATTAGCCACATGAGGTGGTGCGTGCCTGTAGTCCCAGGTACTCAGGATGCTGAGGTGGGAGAATCACCTGAACCCATGAGGTTGAGGGTGCAGTGAGCTGTAATTGCACCATTGCACTCCAGCTTGGGGGATAGAGTGAGACCTTGTCTCCAAAAGAAAGAAAAAGAAGGCCAGGCGCAGTGGCTCACGCCTGTAATCCCAGCACTTTGGGAGGCCGAGGTCGGTGGATCACGAGGTCAGGAGATCAAGACCATCCTGGCTAACACAGTGAAACCCTGTCTCTACTAATAATACAAAAAAATTAGCCAGGCGTGGTGGCGGGCGCCTGTAATCCCAGCTACTCAGGACGCTGAGGCAGGAGAACGGCGTGAACCCGGGAGGCGGAGCTTGCAGTGAGCCGAGATCGTGCCACTGCACTCCAGCCTGGGCGACAGAGCGAGACTCCGTCACAAAAAAAAAAAAAAAAAAAAAGGAAAAAGGAAATAATTTGGAAGATGGAGAGCAAACTGTAGATGGGAACTGGGTTATGCAGAGAGCGCTAGGGCCTCACGCCTTGTCCCTCTCCTGTCTGGTAAATCCACCAATGAGACTTGAAAATAGGCGGAAAGCAATCAGCAAAAAGAACAGAGATCTCAACAGAGGCATCCAGTTTGCATGGCGGACCCCTGGCAGGCTCTGATGGGGATCCTCTGGATGAGATGCGAGGGTGAGCTGAAGAGAGGACTCTGGATAAAGTCCAAGAAAAAAAGCAGGTCCCTCCCCAGCTCCATGCAGCCAAGTGATGGCAAGGAGACACCTGGCAGAAGCTGGGACTCACTCTCTGGAGATGCTGAGCCAGATGCACCCCTGCATTTGGTACCCCAGACACAGCTGGACGGGGTGGGGGTTGCACTAGGGTGAAAACAGACAATTTTTTTTTTTTAAGATGGAGTTTTGCTCTTGTTGCCCAGGCTGGAGTACAATGGCACGATCTTGGCTCACCGCAACCTCCGCCTCCCGGGTTCAAGCGATTCTCCTGCCTCAGCCTCCTGAGTAGCTGGGATTACAGGCATGCACCACCACGCCCAGCTACTTTTGTATTTTTAGTAGATACAGGCTTTCTCCATGTTGATCAGGCTGGTCTCAAATTCCTGACCTCAGGTGATCCACCTGCCTTGGCCTCCCAAAGTGCTGGGATTACAGGCGTGAGCCACCGTGCCCGGCAAAAACACAAATTTAAAGAAAGCTGGCATTCAGATGAGTGACACACCCACACCCTTTCCCACTTGTCACCCAAGACATTGGCAGGAAGCCTTCTATCTCCAGTTGAAAGATCAGTGGGGTTGCCACTGAGAGGCTGAGCCACCAGAGAAATGCCCGACAAAGAGTGGCAGCCCGGCCCCATCGCCTCCAGGGGGCCACCAAGATGCCAAGCCCTACTCACACACTCAGGGTCTCCAATTGGTTTCTTAGAGCTTCACTTTTAAATATGAATGGACAGGCATGGACTACCCACATTTAAGGAAAGCTTCAAGAGTGAACCATAGAGACCAAGACAACAAGAATAAAACAGCTTGGAGGAAATAAAGGCCAGGTAGGGCGCAGAAGAGAACTTCAAACGTGAATCAAAATCCTTGTAGAGTACAAAAATTAGCTGGGCATGGTGGCACCCGCCTTTTTTTTTTTTTTTTTTTTTTGAGATGGAGTCTCGCTCTGTCACCCAGGCTGGAGTGCAGTGGCGTGATCTCGGCTCACTGCAAGCTCCGCCTCCCAGGTTCACGCCATTCTCTTGCCTCAGCCTCCCAAGTAGCTGGGACTACAGGCGCCCACCACCACGCCCGGCTAATTTTTTGTATTTTTAGTAGAGACAGGGTTTCACCGTGTTAGCCAGGATGGTCTCGATCTCCTGACCTCATGGTCCGCCCTCCTTGGCCTCCCAAAGTGCTGGGATTACAGGCGTGAGCCACCGCGCCCGGCGAAAAAATCCTTATAGAGGCTGGGCCCGGTGGCTCACGCCTGTAATCCCAGCACTTTGGGAGGCTGAAGCGGGCAGATCACGAGGTCAGGAGTTTGAGACCAGCCTGGCCAATGTGGTGAAACCCCGTCTCTACTAAAAATACAAAAATAATTAGGCCAGGCGTGGTGGTGCATGCCTGTAATCCCAGCTGCTCGGAAGGCTGAGGCAGGAGAATGGCTTGAACCAGGGGGGCAGAGGTTGCAGTGAGCCGAGATCTTGCCATTGCACTCCAGCCTGGGTGACAGAAGAAGACTCCATCTCAAAAAAAAAAAAAAAAATCCTTACAGAGCTAAAGCACTGCACTCATAAATCAAGACCAGAATATTCTTTTTTTAAAGGAATGTAACTGGGCGCAGTGGCTCACGCGTGTAATCCTAGCACTTTGGGAGGCCGAGGCGGGCGGATCATTTGAGGTCAGGAGTGTGAGACCAGCCTGACCAACATAGTGAAATCCTGTCTTTACTAAAAATACAAAAATTAGTTGGGTGTGGTGGCAGATGCCTATAATCCCAGCTACTCAGGAGGCTGAGGCAGGGGAATCTCTTGAACCCGGGAGGCGGAGGTTGCAGTAAGCCGAGATCGTACCACTGCACTCCAGCCTGAGTGTGACAGAGTGAGACTCCGTCTAAAAAAAAAAAAAAAATCCCAACTTCTCAGGAAGCCGAAGCGGGAGGATAACTTGAGACCCAATCTGGGCAACGTAGCAAAACTCCATCTCTAAACAATTTTTAAAGAATTAGCCAGGCTTGTGGCACATGCCTGTAGCCCCAGCCACTCAGGAAGCTAAGGCAGGAAGATTGCTTGAGCCCAGGAGTTCAAGGTTGCAGTGAGCTATGATCGCACCACTGCACTCTAGTCTGGGTGACAGAGCGAGACCCCATCTCTAAAAATAAAAAAAGAAAGATAAAAATATAAATTTGGTTCTATTAAAATAAAGAGCTGCTGTTTATGAAAAGAAACCATTCAGACAATTAAAAGGCAAAGCACAGAGGGGGAAAATATATTCACAATGTATTTATCTGGCAAAGTGCTCATATCCAGAATATATAAAGAACTCCTACAAATCAATAAGAAAAAGACAAACGACTCAATATGACAATTGTCAAAATGTTTGAACAGAAACCTCACAAAGCAGGATATCCAGATGGCTAATAGCCTTATGAAAAGGGACTCAACTTTATTAGTCATCAGGGAAATGTAAATTAAAGCCACATGGAAAGCAGATCAGTGGTGGTCGGGGTGTGGGAGGAGGAATGACTGCAAATGGGCATCGTGCAATCAGTGCTTGTCTGGGGCAGTGGAAATGTTCTAAAACTGGATTGTGGTGATGGTTGCACAACCATACACATTTGTTAAAAATAAGCTGAGCCGGGCGTGGTGGCTCATGCCTGTAATCCCAGCACTTTGGGAGGCCAAGGCAGGTGGATCACCTGAGGTCAGGAGTTCGAGACCAGCTTGGCCAACATGGTGAAATCCCATCTCTACTCAAAATACAAGAAGAAATTAGCTGGGCATGGTGGCGGTGGGCATCTGTAATCCCAGCTATGTGGGAGGCTGAGGCAGGAGAATCGCGTGAACCCAGGAGGCAGAGGTTGCAGTGGGCCGAGATCACGCCATTGCACTCCAGCCTGGGCAACAAGAATGAAACTCCCTCTCAAAAAAAAAAAAACCCTATAAAAGAACACTCAAAAAACAAGAGCTCTTGGAACTTAAAAATATAGTTACAGAAATTAAAAATTCAATAGATATTTTAGAAGATAAGTTGAAGAGGTCTCCGGAGAGTAGGACACAGAAAGAAAAAGAACCGAAAAATAAGAAAGAAAAGTGTAGGCCAGGCATGGTGGCTCACGCCTGTAATCCCAGCATATTGGGAGGTTGAGGCAGGTGGATCGCCTGAGGGCAGGAGTTTGAGACCAGCCTGACCAACATGGTGAAACCCCATCTCTACTAAAAATACAAAAAATTAGCCAGGCGTGGTGGTGGGCGCCTGTAATCCCAGCTACTAGGGAGGCTGAGGCAGGAGAATCGCTTGAATCCGGGAGGCGGAGGTTGCAGTGAGCCAAGATCACACCATTGCACTCTAGCCTGGGCAACAAGAGCGAGACTCCATCTCAACAACAAAAATAGATAAATAAATACAGTTAGCTGGGCATGGTGGCGCGTGCCTGCAGTCCCAGCTACTTGGGAGGCTGAAGCAGGAGATCGCTTGAATCCGCGAGGTGGAGGTTGCAGTGAGCTGAGATTGTGCCATTGTACTCCAGCCTGGGCAACAAGAGCAAAACTCATCTCAAAAAAAAAAAAAAAAAAGGCAATTATGAACTTCAAAACCATTTGAGCAAAAAGGGAAAAAATAATCATAGTTACTCTGTGGCTTAACTAGGAACACTATTTATATGTGTTACTATTTACAGCCATATCACATTGTTTTAACCAAAGACTACAGACACTACTCACTTAGAAAGAGGCAAGGAAATGTGTGTATTGTGTGGGCAGGGAAGAGAATGTAAGACAGTGAAACCTTCTTACAAAGTCAATAGATAATGTGTGAAATGGCAAAACAAAGAAGTGGAAATATGTCATAGAGAAGAAAACACTAGAATAAAAAGGCACAGCTGGCCCGACGCCGTGGCTCACGCCTGTAATCCCAGCACTTTGGGAGGCCAAAGTGGGCAAATCACCTGAGGTCAGGAGTTCGAGACCAGTCTGACCAACATGGAGAAACCCCGTCCATCTCTACTAAAAATACAAAATTAGCTGGGCATGGTGGCTCAACGCCTGTAATCCCAGCTACTCGGGAGGCTGAGGCAGGAGAACTGCTTGAACCCAGGAGGCGGAGGTTGTGATGACCTGAGATCACGTCATTGCACTCCAGCCTGGGCAACAAGAGCAAGACTCCATCTCAAAAAAAAAAAAAAAAAAATTAGGCCAGGCGCAGTGGCTCGCTCCTATAACCCCAGCACTTTGGGAGGCTGAGGCGGGTGGATCACCTGAGGTCAGGAGTTCGAGACCAGCCTGACCAATATGGTGAAACTCCATCTCTACTAAAAAAATACACTCCTATTACCCCAGCAA
Organism: Homo sapiens; assembly: GCF_000001405.40. Classification (NCBI taxonomy): domain Eukaryota; kingdom Metazoa; phylum Chordata; class Mammalia; order Primates; family Hominidae; genus Homo; species Homo sapiens. Next base: position 64,213,403 of record NC_000011.10, on the reverse strand, counting down.
TTTGGGAGGCTGAGGCGGGTGGATCACCTGAGGTCAGGAGTTCGAGACCAGCCTGACCAATATGGTGAAACTCCATCTCTACTAAAAAAATACACTCCTATAACCCCAGCACTTTGGGAGGCTGAGGCAGGTGGATCACCTGAGGTCAGGAGTTCGAGACCAGCCTGACCAATATGGTGAAACTCCATCTCTACTAAAAAAATACAAAAATTAGCCAGGCCCACACCTGTAATCCCAGGAGAATTGCTTGAACCCAGGAGGAAGAGGTTGCAGTGAGCCGAGATTGCACCACTGCACTCTAGCTTGGGCAACAGAGCAAGACTCCATGTCAAAAAAAAAAAAAAAATTAGCCAGGTATAGTACACGCCTATCGTCCCAGCTACTTGGGGAGCTGAGGCTTAAGGATCACATGACCCTGGGAGGTCCAGGCTGCAGTTAGCCGGGATAACACTACTGCCCTCCAGTCTGGACAACAGAGCAAGACTGTGTCTCAAAAAATAAAAATAAATAAATATATAAATAAATAAAGCTTAGGAGAGAGACATCTGAGCTGGAGATGATCAGCTGGGAGAGAGTGTGGAGATGGTATTGAAATCCACAAGACTGGAGATGACTGAGAGAAGGAGAGGAGAGAGCAGAGGCCCAGAGCAGAGCCTGGGGCAGAGCCTGGGGCTCACCAACACCGAGAGGCCATGGAGAGGAGGAGGGAACATCACAGAGCCTGGCAGAGTGGCTTGGGGAGAGGCCACCCCCCAAGCAAGTGTACAGGAGGCTTCAGGAGGAAGATATTCTGGAGGAGTGGTCGGGGTGGTGTCTATGCTGCAAGTAAGTGGTCAAGTAAGAAGCGGGTGGGACATGGCCAGGGAACAGATAGCCTGGAGACGTGGCCACCTCAGCAGGTGCACTTCTCACGTGTGGATGGTGTCAAAATATATAGAATAGCCATGGCCAAGGAGTGAGAGGGAGTCGAACAGCACCCAGAGAAAGCTTGGAAGCAAGAAGTGGGATTCTGCGGAGCAAGCGTTCAGACAACTACGATGTTTTGCAGAGAAAGGGGGCAGAGAGGTGGGGCCTACAGGTAGAAAGAGCAACCTGTGGACTTCTGGGAAGTTTTTGAGATGTGCGCGAAGCACATTGCATGGAGCATTTTGCCTGGAGCATGTTGGTTGCCAATGGAGGAAGGGAGGAAGAGTGAACAGGGCACAGAGGGGCCACCCTGCAAAGCTTCCTTCCTCACCCACCCCCAGGTCCTGCAGTCCCTAATGGTGCCCCCTCCAGGAAGCCTTCCCAGAGCTCCCAGGCTTGGGCCTCTCCCACCTGAGCCCCAGACTTCTCAGGGGCACCCACACACACACTGTCTATGAGGATCTGTGGGTCTTAGCTTCCTCCCTGACAGCTCCCTGGGAAACAGGCACTGAGACTTACTGGTCTTCATCCGCTTCAGCATCTGCCCGGGGCCCAGGACCTGGCCTGATGCTGAGGTGAGTAGATGAGTTTCAGTGGGTGTTTGTGGGGTCAGTAAACAAAGGTGTGGATGGACAAACGGGCAGACGGACAGGCCACTACAAGTCACTAACATCCCAGAGCCCATACCCCAGGCCCTAGGTCTCCACATCTCATGGACCTGAGGCCCGCTTTCTCCCTGCCCCGACCCACCTTGGGATCCAAATCGAAGAAGCTGTAGTACTTGAAGCGCAGCCAGAGTGCGTCCCCGGCCTTGATGCCCTGCTGCATGAGACACCGCGACGAGTCCAGCCACCTGGGCCGCGGCAGAAGCAGCAGTCAGGGCTGCGCCAGGTACGGCCGTGGGGTGGGGAGGGGGGCTGGGCTGGGGGGACAAGCACACACAGAGAAAAGGCCTGGAAACGAAGTGTGGATCTGGGGTGGGCACAGACACGGGACAGGGGGTGGATCCTGGGTGGGGGAGCCCTGACACAGGGGGCGTGGCTCCTGGGTGCACCTGCTGTGGAGCTGGGTCTTGTCTGACAGGGAGCTGGGCCGTGGCAGACGCTGGAGCAGGAGGGGGTCGGGTGGCGGCTGGGGCCGGCTCAGCATGTGGTAGCAGGCCTCAGTCTGGGCGCTGTCCGAGAAGTGAGCTGGCATCCCCCGGAACAGTGCAGGTGCCACGCCTGGAGTGCAGGTTGGGAGTCAACCAGGCCTGTCCCCCAGGGCTGGGACTCACGGGCCGGCCCCTGCCCCCAACCCCCCAGGCCCACCCCCACTTGCACTCACCCCCAGCCAAGACAACCTTGCTCAAGTCATAGAGCTCTTCCTCTGGCTCCTTCTCTTTCTTCTTCTTCTCCTTCTTCTCAGGAGCCCGGAGCAGGGACAGCTCCTCGGGGTGCCGGATGCCTGAGGGGAGCTAGGGTCTCAGCGGGGACTAGGTCCTGCTGCAGCCTCCCCACCTCACCCATGGGTGCTTGGGGCGGGTCACAGCCCTGCAGGCAGGGTGGCAACCCAGACAGCAAGGACAGCGTCAACAGAGCTGGGCCTGGAAACGGGGGAACCTGCCTCTTTGCATCACCCTCGTGGGCCAGGGGAATCAGCCGGGCAACTTACTGAGGAGGCGGCAGATGGCAGCCACAGCCTGGAAGAGGGGCTGGGAGAAGCTGGCACGGAGGCGCAGTGCGCGGCGGTTGGGCAACCGAAGGATGACGGGCCGGTGCTGGGGCCCAAAGAAGAGGCGTGCGTCGGCCAGGATCCCGTACTTGTCCAGTGTCCAGTGGGTCTGCAGCAGCCACTGCCTCTTCTGTTCCCACCAAATAGCATGGTCTGACCAGTCCTGCTTGCGATCTGTGGGGCACGGGGGCACATCTGGGTCCAACCTTCCTCCCTGGTGCCCCCAACACCCAGCACAACCCCAGGATTCAGAAGCCTGGGGCGACCACTCCCCTGCCCTGCCTAAGCCAAGAGTGGGGCAGCCTGGGCGGGCCTGGGGTCTACCCCATGGTAACAGCAGCAGGGCTCTCTGCAGGCAGCCCCTGATTTGGCCTTCTAGGCTTGGCTTCTATATCGCTTCCCAGGGGAGCTCTCCAACCCAGCATCTGAGTGCCCCAATCTTAGCGCCCCATCTCTTGCATTCCAGCCCACTGGGCTCCCTCCACATGACGCCCCCTCTGTCCTCCCATAATCCACGGTTTAACAGCCTCTGTCTTGCATTCTGGGGAGCTCCTGGAGGCAGAGACTACGTCTGTCTCACCGTTGTATGTCCTCAGGGCCTGGACCTGTGCCTGGCCTGGAGCAGTGAGCACTCAATATTTTTAGCTATTAGCTGTGTGACCTTGGACAAGCCACTTAACCTCACTGGGCCTCAGTTTCCCTGTAAGATACAATAACGATCTTACAAACTGGGACACGGAACAAGGCCTCCCATGTGGTAGCTGCAGGGTTTGCAGCAAACTTGTGCACGCACATGACGATCCATGAGTGAGCATTGAATTAGAGATGTGCGTCTGTCCCTTGTCAGCCAGCTGGGAACTGGAGTTACAGTAATGGAAGGCACAGGTCTCCCCGCCTCCTCCCTCCAGGAGCATGAACAGGTGGGAGAGAGCATAGGAAAAAGGCTGCCGGAAAGCTGCTCTGGGCACACAGCCCTTGAGAGTTTGCAAAGCCCTGTTTCCTGAGTTCCTCCCAGGTCCTCCCGGTGAGTTTTCTGATTCCCACTGCATCCCACCCACCTCAGCCAGCCCCCAACCCCACTGCTGCACATGCCGGGCATCACCACTGCTGCCAAACCAAGAGAAGCGCTCGTCCTCCGGCACTTCCCCTCCCAGGCTGGGCCCTTCCCTCCTGGGCACCCCAGTGGGACTCTGGCTGTGTGCCGCCGCATCCCCTTGTCTTGGCTCCTTGCTCTTCTCCTGTCCTCTCTGGCCCCTCTCCGGTCCCTCTCCTGACCGGCCCCTTACCTTGTCCTTTCCCCAGGTTCGGCCTGGGACCCTCTTCTCCTGCCTCGGCCAGGTCCCCTTACTGGGTCTCCCTATTCTGTGGTTTCAGTTGCCATTTTCTGCTGCCTCCCCATGCGTGGCCCTCGGCCCAGACCCTGCCCTGGGCCCCCAGCCAGAAACCCATGTGCTGCCAGCTGAGGGGCCTGTCCACCGGCTTCCTCCTTTCCAGAACCCTCTGTTCCTGTGGCCGAGTGGCTGACACTGGGACTGTAAGCACCATGACTCCTGGTCTCGGCTTTTGGAGCTCAGCTCAGACTCGCTGTGCACAGAGGTGCCCTCTCCTAGCCAGCTCCCCCTCCTCACCAGCTCCCTACACCACCTCTCAGGGCTGGGGGACACGGACTCGCGCCAAAGGCCCAGGCATCCTCCCTTTCTCTTCTAGCCACCACATGTAATCAATGCCAATCCCACCTCTAAAATCCACCCTCCTCTCCATCCTCCCTGCCCGGCCTTAGGAGGCCCTGGTGTCTCTAACCAGGACCACAGCCTCCTCAGGGGCCTGCCGCCACCAGCCTTTCGCCTTGCTGCTGACCTTAGCAGGACAGCCTCCTGCTGAGAACCCTTCGGTGGCCACCTTCCCCTCCAGAAGAAAGTCTAGACCCCTTCTGGAGGCCTTCGGGGCCATGCAGAGCTGGCCAGGCACCAGCCAGCCTCATTTCTGGTCACGCTCCCAGCATCCTCACCAGCCGAGAGCCCTAATTCACAGCCCTCCGAGTCCCAGCGCCACCACCTTGCTCCTCCCTGCTGAGGCCACCTCTCAGGACTTCTCCTGGGGTTATCCCCATCCTGGGCTCGGGGCAGCCCCCTCCTCTGGCTCCAGGCCCCCATGATAGCGCCCTCTGTGCGGCAGCCGGCACGCAGCCCCCATGGGTCAGTCTCACCCGCTGCTGCTCCAGGAGGCCAGGGACTGGCCCGGGGCGGCCAGGCTGAGCATCAGTAGACAGAGCTGATGTGCTTAGGAGTGACAGTATCCCCACCACAGGGAACACAGAGCTAAAGGAACTTGCCCTGGGGTGCCCAGCAGCGGGTAGAGCAGCGGGGTCTGTCTGACTCCAGGTTAAGGCCTCCTGCGTTACCCTCATGCCGTGCCCTGGGGCCACCCAGGTCTTCACCACCCTCTCTCTGTTCCTCACTTCTATTCTCACAGCTGCTCCGGGCCCTGCCCCTGGCAGCTCCCCTCACAGCCTCAGTCTTGTGGCCGGGCCGTTCTGGACCCTATCCTCTCCACAGTCGGACTGACCTCCTCCTGTGCTGCACATGGTGGCCTGGCGGGGTCTGAGGAAGCCTCCCCACCATCACCCACCCCCCACCCACTGGCAGCCCAGGCCCAGGCTCTTGGCCGGGACTGTGGTGGGCCTGTCTTCCGGCTCTGCCTATCGGGGTCTTCCTGCTGCTCTCTCAGGAAGGGGTAGCCCCCACCCCCGGCAGGGAAGGAAGATGAGGAGCCCCCGTGTCACTAGCCCCGTGGTCCTCCATGACTGATACCACAGCTGCTCTGCTGTAACTTCCTGTGGGGGCAGGGCCTTCCCACCCAGGCTGGGCCTGTCACCAACCTGCTCAAAGCTTCCGCCAAGGGGAGGGAGCGTGGGGGCAGGCCCCTGGGTCACCTAGACCCCCTCAGACCTCAGCAATGTGACTTCAGCCTCGGCCCAGACAAGACCACTCCTTCTGCCCCTATTGGTGGCTGAATGGAGGATTGTGGCTGCGTCTGATCCTTAGCAGACCAGCTGCAGCAGAAGGGAGGGAGGGAAGAGGGTGGGAGGGAGAGGAAGTTGGGGAAATGTCTTTTTTGGAACCAAATGATTAAGCTAATGCCTGAGTCACCGTGACACCATTATCGGGAGCTGAGCAGCAGGGATGGCCCGGAAGTGCCCAGAGACACCCGTGGCGGCCGCCCATGGTGCCGAGTTCAGCAAGCGGGCAGCGGACACTCACTGATCTGCTCCACAATCTTCAGGAGCACCCCGCCGATGTGCGACTCCCCAGTGACCCGCAGGGTGACCGACTCGGCCTCTGGGTCCTCCTCTCCCACAAACACCCGCAGCTCCCATGACGAGTCGATGTAGTCCCCGGAGGCTGTCTTCATCCCCGCCATGGCTGCGGCTGCTGCTACAGAGAGTGTGGAAGGAGGCAAGGTGGGCAGGCCCTGGTAGGCCTCCGGGTTTGGGCAGAAGAGCTCTGTGATGCCCTGGACACACCCAGAGGAAAGCCGCTCATGAAGGAGGGCGGGAGTGAGCACCCAGGCCAGCACGCCCGTGGTACCCTCAGACTCTCTCTCCAGCGCTGGCGCTTGAGCCGCGAGGGCCCTCAGAGACCATGTAGTCCAATCCGCTCCCATCCTACAGGCGGGCAGACTGAGGCCGGGTAAGAAGGGGCTCACTCAGGACCACCGTGCTCAATGCCAGCCCACAGCTCACTCCCAGACCCTCAGGGGCAGCTGCCCACTCTGGCCATGGCTTCGTACCCAGGCCAGGAAGTAGTTCCGATCCTGGCCCACAGCTCAGATGCCAACATCACAAACCAGCCAAAGCCTCTCCGGGGAGGTGGAAAGTTCAGGCTGCCGCATGGCGAGAGGCAGGCTGGGCAGAGGCTGCAGGAGGATAAGGAAGAGAAGGGCCCAGGGTCCCAGTGAGGCCTGAGCTTACCTTTCCTGGCAAGGGCTGGGGGCTGCAGGTGGGTCTCGGGCTACACCCCTGTGGGCCGTGGGCTTCCTGCCCTCCTTTCTCTTTGGAGCTTCCTTCAGGGCAGCCCTTGCTTGTGCCTTATCACGAGCAGGGCGGGTTCAGCCCCTCCCCAGGGCGGGCTGGCGCTGGGTGCAGGAAGCACACTGCCAGCCCACAGAGGGTTCCAGGGGCCCCCCCACCTTTGTCCCCAGAGAGCACAGGAAGCTAGGGAGAGCGGGGCTTAGCGACTCAACACCATAAAAACGCCCCCTTCCTCATTTGGAGGGAAGCTCAGTGCAAACTCAACAAGTCCCCCGGCTGTGTGTGTTCAGGGCTAGGTCCACTTTTGTGGGAAGTGTCTGCCATCCTCAGCCTGTCACATGAGGTGGGGACCTTGGGCTTTGAAACATCACTGGGCTGCCGGAGGGAGAGCCCAGGAGTCGACAGAGTGTATCCAGGTTATTTGGGACTCACAGGTTAAATCGGCTCCAGCCTGGCTATCCCTATCAACCAAGGATCCCTCAAGGCCCCAGAGGGAAACAAGTCCATTTTGCAGTTTTTCCTAGCTCCGCGTAGGGCTACCTTCAAACTCATGAACTCAGACCTGCCAGGTGAACAAGTGAACAGTACTTGGCCCAGACCATCCACAACCTCCCGGGCCCTCAGGTCACCCAGCTCCAAACACGACCCCTCCACTGTGCTCCACTTGGATGAGCCTCCCCGAGTCCCCACGAGGCTCACTCCCATCAAGTCCCTGCTTAGGTGACACCTCAGGGGTCTCTGGTGGTCTATACCCTCCTGCTCATCACCTGCCCTAGGATGTGGACTTCAGTAGAGCAAGGCACGTCCGCCACCAGCTCTGCGCAGGACAGCGGCCTTTCCAGTGAACACACTGGGGTTGGAGCATGCAGGGTGGGCAAGCCTGGGGGCGGCAGAGTCCTGCCAATGGGGGAGGCTACCTGAGCATCGCCACTCAGATGGGGAAGGGGGCGGCCTGCCGGGGATTCCCAGGGGAAAAGAAAGCTGATGAAACTAACAGCAGGAAGTCCAGCCAGCTGCTAGTCTCAGCGCCTTCCTAGCCCAGAAAGCAGCACTCTTGGAGCAAATGAGGAAGTTTTACTCCTGCCCCAAAGGCCTCCCCAGTCCAGGAAGAGAGCTTTAGAAAACGCAGCTTGTTGCAACCATGGAAAAGTGTAATTAAAGCTTAGCACCCTAAGTTCTCAGGTAAGAGCCGTGCATTAAAACCATCACCCAGGCCGGGCGCGGTGGCTCACGCCTGTTAACCCCAGCACTTTGGGAAGTCCAGGCGGGTGGATCACGAGGTCAGGAGATTGAGACCATCCTGGCTAACACGGTGAAACCCCGTCTCTACTAAAAATACAAACAAACAAACAAACAAAAAATTAGCCGGGCGTGGTGGCGGGCGCCTGTAGTCCCAGCTACTCGGGAGACTGAGGCAGGAGAATGGCGTGAACCCGGGAGGCAGAGCTTGCAGTGAGCTGGATCACGCCACTGCACTCCAGCCTGGGCGACAGAGAGAGACACCATCTCAAAAAATACAAACAAAAAAAACCCATCACCCAGTGGGGTGCAGTGGCTCATGCCTGTAATCCCAGCACTTTGGGAGGTTGAGGCGGGTGGATCACTTGAGGTCAGGAGTTCGAGACTAGCCTGGCCAATATGGCGAAACACCTGTCTCCACTAAAATATAATAATTAGCTGGGTGTGGTAGCAGGCTCCTGTAATCCCAGCTACTGGGGAGGCTGAGGTAGGAGAAGCGTTTGAACCCAGGAGGTGGAGGTTGCAGTGAGCCGAGATCACACCACTGCACTCCAGCCTGAGACTCCATCTCAAATAACAAAACAAAAACAATCCATGACCCAACTCCTAAATCTAACAGCAGCTAACAGCATAGCTGCCCTCTCCCCACAGAGGTCTCAGCATCTCACATTAGAATCCTGTTCTCTGGATCTCCACTATAACGTGGAGAATTAACAGCACCCAAAGCTTATCTGAACCTCTCATTGGTACTACTTGGGGTGGGGAAGCCTTCAGATTCCCTTCCAGCTGCTGAGCAACAGCGCCATCTGGCAACCTTCTTGGCAAAGCCATGGAGCTGTGCCAAGCCACAGCTTGGGACTCCTCCTAAGCCCGCCCCAAAGAGAAGAGCAAGATCAGGTTCCAGGAGCAGCCCCTGCAAGACAAACTCCTGGTTTAAAAAAAAAAAAAAAATCACTCAAGGCCAAAGCAACATATAACCACGCCCAACTGGCTTGTTTTATTGGAGAAGGGGACGCAGAATAAACAACGTGAGACAGCTGGGACCTGAGGCTGGAAGAACCCCCTCCCCTCCCCATAACATGCCCACTGCCCCAAATAAAAAAAAAACCAACTATGGGAGAGCAGCCGAGACAGCAACTAGGGGCAGGGGAAAGAGACATGGAACTCGAGGGCAGCGGTGAAGAGACCATGCGTGTGCTGGGAGGGCCCAGAGGCAGCGGCGGCACAAACAGCGCAGGTACGAGTCTCTGTGTCTTCCCCGGGGTTATGTATAAATATAGAGAGATGAGGCCTTCTCTCCCCTGCTCTCCCTTCCGCTCCGTGCTGCTCGCCGCGGTCCCAGCTCCTCTTTCCACATGAGGGCGAAGGGAAGGGGGGATGAACAAGTCATCACCGAATTGCAATCAGACCCACATCCATCAGCTTCTGGATCTTCTGTGCTATTACAGGATTCTTTAAGTGTCTACAGAGGAAGACGCAGTTACTTGAAATGAGACAACCTTTAAAGTCTTACTTGCTCTCAGAGCAAGCCCCAATTCAACCCCCTCTACAGAAGGCCCCGGCAGGGAGGGGTCCTGGCGAGGCCCGGGGCGCCGAGCTGCAGAGGCCTGCTCCACTTCGCAGAACTTGCCAGTCCTACTCTTGAGCCCACGACACAGCTTCCAGTCAAGACCTTTCTCCCAGCTAAATGGGCCTTTCCAAATGACTGCTTAAGCTATCACGACTAACAAAGCCCTTCCAGCTCGCCACCCACTGCCAATCTCCTTAAGTTTAGGAAGAATGACAGAATTCCTCTTCCTCGCAGACTGAGCATACCACCCCCCAGCCGCGTGCACTCATCTGCCTGCTTTTGTTCTCCATTTCCAGCAAGGCCGCCTCTCTGACTCTACGTACTCGCTGAGTGCCTGGGGGTCCTTCTGCATCTGTTCCAGGATAAGGCGCATGGCTGGGTCACTCATGATCTGCTGCACCTCAGGGTCGGCCATGGCTCGTCGCTTCACATCTTCGGGGCTGTCGTGCCGGTTGTACTGCGCCATCATACAGCGCTGGTAGCCGTCTGCCGCCTCCTGCAGTCCAGAAGAGACAAAGGTGAAGCGTGTTAGGACCACCCAGCTCACTGCTTCAGCAGGTCCAAGATAACAGAGGTAACTGACAAGGGGAGAGAGAACAAGTAAGAGAGAAACAGAGAGAAATGGAGGTGACAGGGAAGAAATCAGGGACTGAACATGGAAAAGCCCCAACAGAGAAAGAGGCAGGGGGGGCCCCTGGAGGCCAGAAGCAGCCCCACCTTACAGCTGGAGTCCAGGTCTAGCGCCTTCTGGTACACATCCATGGCTTTGGTGTAGTCCTTCATCGCTTCCAGCGCAGCGGCTTTCCGTGTATAACCCTTGACTACAAACAGGAAAGGTGGCGCGTTATCCAACCGCAGCGCCCAAGGCTGCTCCTTGCACCTCTTCACCTGCACACCAACACTGTTCACACCTGCTGATGTTGGATCCTAAATCCTACAGGTCCCAAGGACACACAGGTAGACAAAGGGCTTGCCCTTTCCTTCTCTAATCTTTTGGCTAGAGACAGGGGACAGGCAGCAGAAAGGCACTTACTGAAGGTCGGCTCCAGCTGGATACATTCCTCACAGTCCTAGAATGAAGCAACAGAAAGAAATTAGGCTCATTCCCTTGGACAAGCTCAGTACAGGCAACTCAAGCATGTGGACTTCCAACTCTAATGCCTCACCCAGCACCAAACAGAGGGGACAACATCAGGAAAGACAACTCCAGATGATGGATCATCCCACACAAGACAAACTGCCTGGACTCTGCAAGAGGCTGATGTTATGAAAAACACATAGCGGGGGACAATTCCAGTTTGAGAAACTGAAGAGTACATGACAACTAGACAAAATGCGTGGGCCTTGGTCCTGAGAGCTTTGGAATCCAAAACCATTGCTGACTAAAAAACAAAACAACGCTGGGTGCGGTGGCTCATGCCTGTAATCCCAGCACTCTGGAAGGCCAAGGTGGGTGGATCACCTGAGGTCAGGAGTTTGACACCAGCCTGGCCAACATGGTGAAACCCCATCTCTACTAAAAAAAAAAAAAAAAAAAAAAAAAAATTTGCTGGCCTGGTGGCTGCACCTGTAATAATCCCAGCTACTCAAGAGACTGAGGCAAGAGAATCGCTTGAATCCAGGAGGCAGAGGTTGCAGTGAGCCAAGATCACGCCATTGCACTCCAGCCTGGGCAACAAGAGTGAAACTCTGTCTCAAAAAAAAATAAAAACAAACAAACAAAAATAAAAAAACCTCAGTTTTAAAACATATTTTTGGAGAAGTGGGCAAGTCTAAGTATGGATGGACAGACGGCAGATGGCATCAGGCCTTGGTCTGGTGAGGTCGCGTGTGCTGACAGTGCTGCACTGGACAGGAGTCTTTTCAGGCAATGCGTGCACAAGACTTGGATGTCTCATTCTAAGTACCAAATGTATACAATTTCCTTTCGCAAACAGTTCAGCAAAAACAGGTCAACATTTGTCAGATAAAGGTGGAAGATACACCAGATATTCACTATGTATTCTTCTCTTTGAAACATCTTCAAAGTGAGAAATGATGAGGAAGAGAACACTATGCAGTACACTGAGCTCCCCTGGAATTAATTCCAACTCTTGCACCAAGAAGCTGGGACAGCAGCAGAAATCCCATTCATTCTTTCTCCACGCTCTCATGATCGGGAAAGTACTGCCCACCTCCCAGGTGATTGACAACCTGCTATTCTTTGCCTCACAAATCAATATGCTTTTGACATGACTCTTGCACAATCCTACTAGTAGAAATGATGTCTCTAGGCCAAGACACAGACCCAGAAGACAGTGGCACAAAATATAAAAACCAACACAAACCCAGGTATGGCTGTTTCTAGACAGGTCACACTTTGTCACCTTCCCACAATACGGTCCAGGTTTGTCAGCTAGAGAACAGTCAAAAAAAACTGCTGATAGAGGCAGGGTGGCTGAGATTCGAGAGGATTATGGGAACTCCACAGTGTCAAACAATTGTATTTGACCTAACTTGATATGACTGAGAACAGCAGACCTACCTAGCTGAGCAAAACAGAAAAGCAAGCAAGGATGGTACAGCTGCTGAAAAACATATGGTGGTTCCTCAAAAATAAAACATAGGCCGGGCGCAGTGGCTCATGCCTGTAATCCCAGCACTTTGGGAGTCCAAGGCAGGAGGCTCGCTTGAGCCCAGGAGTTTGAGACCAGCCTGGGAAAACATGGTGAAACCCTGTCTCTATAAAAAATACAAAAATTAGCTGGGTACAGTGGTGCACACCTGTAGTCCCAGCTACTCAGGAGGCTGAGGTGGGAGGATGGTTTAAGCCAGGGAAGTAGAGGTTGCAGTGAGCTGAGATTGTGCCACTGTACTCCAGCCAGCCTGGGCGATAGAGCCAGACCTTGTCTTTTTTTTTTTTTTTTTTTAAAAAAAGGGGGCCAAGCGTGGTGGTTCACGCTTGTAATCCTAGCACTTTGGGAGGCTGAGGCGGGTGGATCACCTGAAGTCAGGAATTCAAGGCCAGCCTGGCCAACATGGTAAAACCCCGTTTCTACTAAAATACCCGGGAGATGGTGGTTGCAGTGAGCCGAGATTGTGCCACGGCACTCCAGTGTGGGCAGCTGAGTGAGACTGTCTCAAACAAACCAACAAAAAAAGTAAACACAGACACCACATGACCCAGCAATTCCACTTCTTAAAAATGGTTAAAAAGGCAAAAACAAAGAAAAAAGAGGAAGGTTACAGGGGTGAAAGGACCCACCTTCCAATGTACTGCCAACCAGTAGTGACTCCATGGACCAGGACCAGTTAGATAGATACAGGTCCCATATTTTACACACACACACACACACACACACACACACACACACACGACCAGTTAGATACAGGTCCCATATTTTACACACGCACACACACATACACACACACACCCCTATAAATCTGGGCAACACAGCAAGACCCCAACTCTACAAAAAAAATAAAAAATGTAGCAGGATGTGGAGGCATGAGCCTGTGGTCCTAGCTCCTCAGGAGGCTGAGGCAGGACAGAGTGAGACACTGTCTCAAACATCATGATCATCATCAACTCAATGTTGATGAGGAGAGAGAGAGAAAACCCACTCCTCATGTGCAGGCTTTCAGTAATGGCCGCCCCCACAGGTCTCGTCACCTTGAGTGCCAGCTGGAACTCCAGGAGTTTGGTGTAGCAGGCAGCTCGATTGCTGTATAATTTGGCATCTTTCGGGTTCCTTTTGATGGCTTCTGTATAATGCTTCATGGCCTGGGGATAGTCCCCTGGGGAAGAAAAACAAAGACTGTCTTTTAAAAAGCAAAAAGCCCCCATGTGTAGCCGGCCATTTACCCCACAGCCAGGCACGGGAGGCACACCCAGCACTGCTCCCCCAATCCCCCAGCTGCAGGCAGTACCTTTCTGAAAACACTCGTTGCCTTTGTTCTTCTCCTCCAAAGCCAGGTCGGGGTTTATGTAGGCCAGCCGCTCTTGCTCCTTCAGGATTTTCTCTGCCTACAAAACATAATTCTTGAAATAATAATTTAAACGCTCATAATCATCTAAATATTGGGCTTAAAAATCACATTAGGGGCCGGGCGCGGTGGCTCACGCCTGTGATCCCAGCACTTTGGGAGGCCGAGGCGGGTGGATCACGAGGTCAGGAGATCGAGACCATCCTGGCTAACATGGTGAAACCCTGTCTCTACTAAAAATATAAAAAATTAGCCTGGTGTGGTGGCGGGAGCCTGTAGTCCCAGCTACTCGGGAGACTGAGGCAGGAGAATGGCGTGAACCCGGGAGGCGGAAGCTTGCAGTGAGCCGAGATCGCGCCACTGCACTCCAGCCTGGGTGACAGAGCGAGACTCCATCTCAAAAAAAAAAAAAATCAGATTAGGATTTTAATTTTCAGAGTATTGCTGGCAAGATTTTTTTCTTTTTTTTTTTTGAGATAGAGTCTCGCTCTGTCGCCCAGGCTGGAGTGCAGTGGCGCGATCTCGGCTCACTGCAAGCTCTGCCTCCCGGGTTCAACGCCATTCTCCTGCCTCAGCCTCCCGAGTAGCTGGGACTGCAGGCGCCCACCACCATACCAGGCTAATTTTTTTTATTTATTTAGTAGAGACAGAGTTTCACCGTGTTAGCCAGGATGGTCTCGATCTCCTGACCTCTTGATCCGCCCACCTCGGCCTCCCAAAGTGCTGGGATCGCAGGCGTGAGCCACTGCGACTGGCTATTGCTGGCAAGATTTTTTTTTTTGAGATGGAGTCTCACTCTCACCCAGGCTGGAGTGCAGTGGCATGATCTCGGCTCACTGCAACCTCCGCCCCACTGAGTTCAAGCGATTCTCCTGCCTCATCCTCCTGAGTAATTGGGATTACAGGCGCCTGCCACTGCGCCCAGCTAATTTTTTCGTATTTTTAGTAGAGACGGGGTTTCACCATCCTGGCCAGGCTGGTCTTGAACTCCTGACCTTGTGATCCACCCACCTCAGCCTCCCAAAGTGCTGGGATTACAGGCGTGAGCCACTGCACCCGGCTATTGCTGGCAAGATTTTAAAAGAAATTTACAGTCTTTATAAAATAGTCAAAATGTTATGTTACAAGAACTATTAACATTCTCAATGCACAGGCCCTCAATATTAACACATTTAGGGTTGAAATCTTGGCCAATACCAAAAACTGCAAAAAAAAAAAAAAAAAAACCACAAAAAAAAACACCAGATCACTTCCTACATGTTGTCACTGTTAAATGACAGAGAAAGAATCATGTAAGATGACCAAAGCCACTACCTAAAAAAAGATCAGGTTCAGCCAGGCATAGTGGCTTACGCCTATAATTCCAGCACTTTGGGAGGCTGAGGAGGGCGGATCACTTGAGTTCAGGAGTTCAAGACCAACCTGGGCAACACAGTGAGACCCCTTCTCTACAAATAAAAAAATTAGCTGGACGTGGCCAGGCGCAGTGGCCTGTAATCCCAGGACTTTGGGAGGTTGAGGTGGGTGGATCATGAGGTCAGGAGTTTGAGACCAGCCTGGTCCATATAATGAAACCCCATCTCTACTAAAAATACAAAAATTAGCCGGGCATAGTGGCGTGCACCTGTAGTCTTAGCAATTCGGGAGGCTGAGGCAGGAGAATTGCTTGAACCTGGGAGGCGGAGGTTGCAGTGAGCAGACACCATGCCACTGCACTCCAGCCTGGGTGACAAACAGACTCCATCTCAAAAAAAAAATTAGCTGGACGTGGTGGCACGTGCCTGTAATCCTAGCTACTCAGGCTGAGGTGGGAAGATCACTGAAGCCCAGGAGGTTGAGGCTGCAGTGAGCCACGATTGTGCCACTGTCTTTCAGCCTGGGTGAAAGAGTGAGACCCTATCTCAAAAAAAAAAAAAAGTCAAGTTCATTATTAAATAAAACAGTAAGAAACAATGGCTCAATTATTAGGAAAACAAGAAAATACCCCTATTCTTTTCCTACGCACCTGCTGGCATTTCTTGAGCACATCTGGGGTTCGGTGCTCTGCCAGAGACTTGTTATAGAAATGGATGGCATCCTTGTACTTTTCTTCTTTGAAGTAGGAGTTGCCAATTCGAGCATATGCTCTGATAAAGAAAGAGGGACAAGGACTGCTTAGGACAGAGAGATAAAGTCAGCTCCTGCAGAAAAACACACCTGCAGCTAGAAAGGCCCGCATCACTGCCTTCAACACCTTTTGTCTTGTCTCTGGTGACCTTCTTGCCAGCCCTTTCTTAACACAGCAGATTCTATGGCCAGCAGCCCTCCTCCCCATGCAGAGAAACTTAAGTCTTGGACAGCAAACCCTCCGCGCTACTCAAGGTATTCTGGAAGGTTGAGCCTACTTGGCAATCTGTCGATAGTCTTCTCGGTTTTCTCTCCCCACTTCAATGGCCTTCTCACAAAGCTCCCGGCACTTATTGTAGTCGCCCTTTTCAAAGTATACCGCTGCCAGGCAGGATGGTTAAGAAGGAACAGTCAGTCTTTGCTTCCTCCCTCAGAGACACCCAACAATTCCCTTGCCCCTTGTTTCTGGGCCTCACCTGCTTGATTGGTAATGTAAGTCATGTTAGTGGGGTCCAGCTCCTTGGCTTTGTCGTAATGCTTCAAGGCTGTGTCAAAGTCTTTCTTCTTGTAGGCATCGTTCCCCAGCTCTTTTTCTTTCAGTGCCTAGATGAGGTTTAGAAGTGAGTGCTGAGCAAATCTAACTCAGGTGACAAAGCAAGAATCTATGATCTGTCACAAGTTCTGAAATGCAACTAACATGAATAGAATTCTATCAAGTTCTCCTGAAGGCCTCTTCATCAGTCAGCTATAGACAATAAAGTATCAGCCGTTAGAATGAAAACTAACTTCATCTTTGCTTGCTCTGAAACTCCCCCTTTTCCACCTACTCTCCTAGATCTTTGTCAGGAAGCAGAGCGCTTCTTTAGGGGAGAGGAAATCCCTTCGACTTGAAGCAACCGGTGAGGACAGCAGAGTTTTGGACCAGGCTTTATTCTGAGGCTGCAGCAGATCTGGTGTCAGTCTTGTGGTTGCCTCAGGGTCTTAGTTGTCAGGGAACCATAGCAGAGGGGGTGGTGAGAGGATGAGAAGCGGCTGAGTGGCACGAGTCTTCAGCAAAGCTCACTACCGCCCACACTGGAGGGCCTTTTTCCAGCTGAGACACCCTAAACAACCAACGCTTACCCATTTCAAGGTGCTAAATTTGGCAACAATCTGCTGTTCCAGTTTACAAGGAGGGAAATGAAATCGTTGAGGCACATGCCTTCTGCTCTAAAAGAGTGCTGCTTAGCGGACACTCCCAACCACACACCATGTCCAGCCAGGAAGCAAAGGCCTAGGGATTGATGTGGACAACATTCTTCGGATCACGACAAGGACGTGAATTACTCTCAACTTTCCAGTCTTGCTAGGACCAACATTCACACTGGCAGCAATGAAGCCGCTGTGGTGACCACGGGAAGGGCAACTCCCGCAGCTCACTCTTTGCTACACATTACTCCTAGGAATGCTCTTGTGAAGCTTTTTTTTTTTTTTTTTTTGAGATGGAGTCTCGCTCTGTCACCCAGCCTGGAGTGTAGTGATGAGCTCTCAGCTTATTGCAACCTCTGCCTCCCGAGTTCAAGCGATTCTTCTGCCTCAGCCTCCCGAGTAGCTGGGACTACAGGCGCCCACCATGACACCTGGCTAATTTTTGTGTTTTTAGTGAAGATGAGGTTTCACCATGTTGGCCAGACTGGTCTTGAACTCCTGACCTCAGGTGATCTGCCCACCTTGGCCTCCAAAAGTGCTGGGATTATAGGCATGAGCCACCGTGCCTGGCCTGAAGCTGATTTTTTAACATGCTGGCCATTCTAATGAATAATAGCCATAAGCTTAGCGCATACTAAAGCACTCAAAATAGTTTTAGGTGGGCACAGTGGCTCGTGACTGTAATCCTAGCTGAAGCAGGAGCATCGCTTGAGGCCAGAAGTTCAAGACCAACCTGGGAAACACAGCAAGACTCCGTCTCTAAAAAAACCATAATAATCATGGTCAATCAAGGTCAACAGATGTCCCCATTCAACATAAAGATTTCTAGTTGTTTATAGATAGGTGACAGTGAGGAGAGAAAAAAACAAGACCTGCTTCTTATTCTCTGGAAGATCTTCTTCCATTGGCTCTGGCTTGGTCTCCTTTTTGGGAGGGGGTGGTGGTGGAGGTGTTGCAATCTCTTCCTCCTCATCCATACTGCCCAGATCGACCCCAAGGAGGACGCTGAGAGTGGTCATGATCCGGGGATCTTGTAGTTTCCTAGTATTGATTTAAAAAAATAAAGAAAAATTGTAATTACTCCTCCCCACAATTAGTCTTTTAACTCCCACTTACTACTAAAGTCAGATTCTTGTGTTTAGAAGCTCCTCACCCATCAAAAGATGGCTAGATTTTGCACCACTCATGAGTTACAATTGAGAAATACTCAAACCGTCAAAACACTATCTAAAATAGAGTCAACAAAAACAAATAAAATGAAGTCACAGATAGCGGAGCACGGTGGCTCACACCTGTAATCCCAGCACTTTGGGAGGCCGAGGCGGGCAGACCACTTGAGGTCAGGAGTTTGAGACCAGCCTAGCCAACATGGTGAAACCCACCGCTACTACTAAACATACAAAAATTAGCTGGGCGTGGTGGCGTACACCTGTAATCCCAGCTACTCAGGAGGCTGAGGCAGGAGAATCGCTTGAACCCAGGAGGTGGAAGTTGCAGCGAACTGAGATCACACCACTGCACTCCAGCCTAGGGGACAGAGCGAGACTCCATCTTGAAAAAATAAAATAAAATAAAATAAAATAAAATGAAGTCACAGAGGTCAAGTTTATTCCTCAAGGTTAGCAGATACACAGAGGAATGAGTTGTTTTAGGTATACTTCCGTAGCTGATCTCAGGAGCCAGAGGATTGATAGAGATGAATACCAGTACAAGATTTAGACACATCTTTACACATGAACTTCAACCCTGTTTCCACTCTGATATACCAACAGAGAAAGTAGGGCCTAAGTAGATGGAAAGGATGGGGTTGACGCTAGATCAGAGTTCTAGAAGAGCAGGAGAGAGGTGTATACAGATGACAAAGAACATTCTAGATTACTGTGAAATATGCTCCCCTGACCCTTTCTATAATTACAAATAAACGACCACCACCTACTGCTCTGCAGAGAATAAGCAAAGGCAAAAACTCTGCAGTTTAGACCAGGGAACCCTCTGCTGTGAGGTTACAGGAAGAAAGCATAACATTCCCCGATTTCCAGAACCTCAGTGAGCGGCGTCCACTTACGTGCCCAGGTCAGAAGGCTTGTTTCGTAGCTGCTCTATCAGCTCCCGGTAGGTAGGATCACTGAGTAGTGTCCTTGTCCTGGGATCACTCTCCAACTTCTGATACAGATTAGGCATGTTGAAAGGGTTCATGAATTTTCTCTCTGTCCAAATAAAGGAAAGCACATCACTATGAAATGAGTTCACTAGAATTACTGTGTCCCATACCCTACCAGACTGACATTTCTCAGGGGTGAAGACTCAAAATTAATCACATTAATAATAAGAAAGAAAACTGTGCGTGGTACCTACCTGCCAACCTGGCCTCCATATTCTGTAAACCCTCTTTCAGTTGAGGGTTATTTGCCTCGTGTTTTAAGCCCTCCTCATAGGTTCGCTTGGCTTCTTCAAAGCGGTTTAAGAACTCTAGAGCTGCTGCTTTTCGTGAATAGCCCTTAAACCACCAAAGACAGACACAAAATAGAGAACACCCAGAGGTAAATCTAGAAGACGAACTCAAAAAAGAACAATTCTACTTTTATGGGGGAAAAATGAGTATTCACATGAAGGCCAAAGAGAAAAAAAGGAGAGGAGTAGGCTACGAGGCCAAGGCTGCTACTGTAAGGATCCATCCAAATAGCAGAGGCACATCCGCCCCGCCTTGTTCACCTCTGATCGACTGTGGTCAGTTTCTTTGGCAACACTTTTTCCCTTATTTTTTTGGTAAAGACAGGGACTCCTTATGTTACCCAGGCTGGTCCCAAACCTTTGGGCTCCAGTAATCCTCCTGCCTCAACCTCCCAAAGTGCTGGGATTATAGGCGTGAGCCACTGTACCGGGCCTCTTCCTTTTTTTTTGAGACAGGGTCTTGCCGTGTCACCTGGGCTGGATGCAGTGGCACGATTTCAGCTCACTGCAACCTCCGCTTGCCAGGCTCAGGTGATCCTCCTGCCTTAGTCTCCTGAGTAGATGGGACTACAAGCACATGCCACCATGCCTGGCTAAATTTTTTTGCATTTTTAGTACAGACAGGGTTTCACCATGTTGGCCAGGCTGGTCTTGAACTCCTGACCTCAAGTGATCCGCCCACCTCAGCCTCCCAAAGTGTTGGGATCACAGGCGTGCGTCACCGCGCCCAGCCCTGGCCTCTTCCTTCTTAGTACCAAAAATAAAGCCTGTATTACAACTAATGGCTACCTTAGATTTGATGAAAAATGCCATTTCTGAGGAGGATACTCAAACAGGGAGGTGGGTAGGTAACTATCAGTGTATCAGGACAGGTAAACCTCAGGCCACCAAAAGGCATTTCTGGAAGGGTCTGAAGGGCCTCTCTCCCTCCACTGCCCACAGCTGACCTTGCCCCAGTCAGGCTTTAGGTCGACAGTCTTGCAGCCATCCTCATAAGCCTTCTGGTAGTCTCCTTTCTTGGCATAGGCAGCAGAACGGTTGCTGTACAGCACGTGGTTGTGGGGATCCAGCTTAATAGCTTCGGAGTAGCACTGTAAGGCATCATCGATGTTACCCACGCTCAGGGCCTTGTTGCCTTTCTCCTTCAGCTCATTGACCTGAGGGGAAAGGAACACACAGCTTCTCTATGATGTGCCCATTTAATCCCAAGCTTTAAAGACAACACTCATTCTTTCATGTAGTTACCAACAAATAAATAGGTGACTTTACAGATCAGAAGAGAGAAAACCGGTTCATTTATTTAATTTCTCACACCTTCCCTAAGGAGCCAGCAAAGAAAAAATAAGCAGGGGCAAAGAGCCCAGGCTGCACTCCACGCTGGCCCCCATGTGACGAACGAGGGCTCTGCCACTCTTCCGGTCTCCACATGGAGCTCACGAAGCCACTCCAGAATGTGCCACATGCTCCTTCCATGGAAAAGTCAATTCATTTGCCACAGATTTCCAAAGCATCCAAATGACAAACAGAGCACAGCCCTAGTCACCCCTCACAGGAAGAAGGTGGGCGGAGTGGCACTGATACATGCTCCAGTGACCCAAAGGCTGTGGGATGGCAGCGGAGACTTCTCTTTCTTGGGAGCGGCAAGATGCTTGCCTATGGCATAGTTGTCATCTCCTCCCATCAGGGAAGAACCAGTCTCCATTTCCTGGTGTGGCAACATGTCACCACAGGATAGATAAATGTTCATTAATGGGTAACAGTCAAGCTAGCTCCCCAAATTGATTCCTGCCATTCTTAAATATTACATTACAAAGGGGATGGAGGATGAAGAAATGCTACTGTGGTTTAAACCTCTCCCTTCTCAAACATATAAAGTGCAAGAAGTAAGGATACAGCGGGGTTTTGTTTTGTTGTGTTTTTTGAGACAGAGTCTCACTCTGTCACCCAGGCTGGAGTGCAGTGGCACGATCTCGGCTCACTGCAACCTCCGCCTCCCAGGTTCAAGCGATTCTCCTGCCTCAGCCTCCCAAGTAGCTGGGACTACAGGCGCACACCCCCACACTTGGCTAATTTTTGTAATTTTAGTAGAGACGGGGTTTCACCATATTGGTCAGGCTGGTCTTAAAACTCCTGACCTCAGGTGATCCACACGCCTTGGCCTCCCAAAGTGCTGGGATTACAGGTGTGAGCCACCGCGCCCGGTGGGATACAGCAGTTTTAAAAAGTGAGGCAGCTCTGCCTGGCCGCCCCACCGACTGGGAAGTGAGGAGCGCCTCTGCCCGGCCACCCAACTGACTGGGGAGAGAGGAGCACCTCTGCCCACCTGCCCCACCGTCTGGCAAGTGAGGTGTGCCTCTGTTGGGCCACTGTGCAACCCTCCAAGTGTGAAGTGACAGCCTTGTGTGTGATCTTTCTGCCCTCCCCAAGTTTGCATTTTCCACATTAAATTTTACTTTTTCATTAAAAAAAAAAAAAAAGTGAGGCAGGCCTTGGCCCTGTCAGAACAGTGTCCTCACTAAAGGGTTTCTCCTTACTGAGCTGCCCCACAAAAGGTCAGGTGCCCCACAGCAGCCTACCTGAGGGCAGGCAACCCCTTGAGAAGCTCATTGTATTTATTATTATTATTTTTTGAGACAGAGTCTTGCTCTGTCCCCAGACTGGAGTGTAGTGGCACAATCTTGCCTCACGGCAACCTCCGCCTCCTAGGTTCAAGCGATTCTCCTGCCTCAGCCTCCTGAGTAGCTGGGATTACAGTCACCCGCCACCACGCCCAGCTAATTTTTGTATTTTTAGTAGAGATGGAGTTTCACCATGTTGGCCAGGCTGGTCTCGAACTCCTGACCTCTTAATCCACCCATCTCAGCCTCCCAAAGTGCTGGGATTACAGGCGTGAGCCACCGCGCCTGGCCATATTTATTTTTTTTTAAAGATGGCATCTCACTCTGTTACCAGCCTGGAGTGCAGTGGCATGATCACAGCTGACTGTAACCTTGAGCTCCTGGGCTCAAGCAATCCTCCTGACTCAGCCCTTTTTTTTTTTTTTTTTTGAGACAGAGTTTCACTCTGGTTGCCCAGGCTGGAGTGCAATAGCACAATCTTGCCTCACCACAACCTCTGCCTCCCAGGTTCAAGCGATTCTCCTGCCTCAGCCTCCTGAGTAGCTGGGATTACAGACACGCACTACCACATCCGTCTAATTTTGTATTTTTAGTAGAGACGGGGTTTCTCCATGTTGGTCAGGCTGGTCTTGAACTCCTGGCCTCAGGTGATCTGCCTGCCTTGGCCTCCCAAAGTGCTGGGATTACTGGTATGAGCCACTGCGCCCGGCCAACTCAGCCTTTTAAGTAGCTGGGACTACAAGTGTGTGTCACCATGCCTGGCTAAATGTTTTTTTCTTTTTGTGGTAGAAATGGTGTCTCACCATATTGCCCAGGCTTGTCTCAAACTCTTGGCCTAAAGCAACCCTCCTGCCTCAGTCTCCCAAAGGTGAACCACCACACCAGGCCAAAATACACTTTTAAGAGGTAAACGTTCTGTGAGATAGAGTTGTCACCGAAGTTACTAACTCATTCTATGTATTATCCACCCACGACCCAGTAAATTGATGCAAGAAATAGTTTTGTCAAGAGAAATGATTTTAGGCTGTAATCTCAGCACTTTGGGAAGCTGAGGCGGGTAGATTAACTGAGGTCAGGAGTTCGAGACCAGCCTGGCCAACATGGTGAAACCCCGTCTCTACTACAAATACAAAAATTAGCTGCTGCCGGGTGCAGTGGCTCACGCCTGTAATCCCAGCACTTTGGGAGGCCAAGGTGGGCAGATCACCTGAGGTCAGGAGTTCGAGACCAGCCTCAACATGGAGAAACCCCGTCTCTACTAAAAATACAAAAAAAATTAGCCGGGCGTGGTGGTGCATGCCTGTAATCCCAGCTACTTGGGAGGCTGAGGCAGGAAAATTGCTAGAACCTGGGAGGCGGAGGTTGCAGTAAGCTGAGATTGCGTCATTGCACTCCAGCCTGGGCAACAAGAGCGAAACTCAGTCTCAAAAAAATAAATAAATAAATAAATTGCCCGGATGTGGTGGTGCATGCCTGTAGTCCCAGCTACTCAGCAGGCTGAGGCAGGAGAATCATCTGAACCTGGGAGTCGGAGGCTGCAGTGAGCCGAGATTGCACCACTGCATTCTCACCTGGAGGACAGAGTGAGACTCTATTTGGAAAAAAAAAAAAAAGAGAGAAATGATTTTGGAATCCTCAAATAGAGAGATCAGGAACTTCCATCAATCAGAGACCTTACAGAGGCAAGGGCAGAAGGAACCTGCCAAATTAAGCAAACAAGGGATAAAAAATCCTAGAGCCCAAGATGGAGGCCAGAAGACGAAGAGTTAACAAAACTCAAGTGGTGTCAAGAGGCAGCTGGTGAAGTTCCTGCCTATGCTTTAGAAAAGCATTTTTCAAACAGAGTACTGATCAACAGTGGGTCAGGAAATCAATTTTGTAGGTCATGACCAGCATTTTAAGAGACCAAATGGGACAAAAAAATACCAGCACACAGTGCACATAACAGTAAATACTGTTTTGCTGAATGTGTTACATGGCTGTA
Source organism: Homo sapiens (assembly GCF_000001405.40). Lineage (NCBI taxonomy): Eukaryota > Metazoa > Chordata > Mammalia > Primates > Hominidae > Homo > Homo sapiens. Next base: position 64,189,632 of record NC_000011.10, on the reverse strand, counting down.
CGCCTGTGTTGGGTTAAATGTAAGAAGTGTATCATTGTGGGATTTGAAAGGCCCCTATTGAAAAAAAAAAGCCTGAACATTCAAAATCTGTCCAACTTTTTTTTTTTGGAGATGCAGTTTCGCTGTCATTCAGGCTGGAGGGCAGTGGCGCAATCTTGGCTCACTGCAACCTCGACCAGCCAGGTTCAAGCAATTGTCCTGCCTCAGCCTCCCACGTAGCTGGGACCACAGGCGCGCACCACAATGTCCGCTTATTTATTTATTTTTTTTTTTTGAGACGGAGTCTCGCTGTTACCCAGTCTGGAGTGCAGTGGCGCAATCTCGGCTCACTTCAAGGTCCGCCTCCCGGGTTCAAGCGATTCTCCTGCCTCAGCCTCCCAAGTAGCCGGGACTACAGGCGCGTGCCACCACATCCAGCTAATTTTTGTATTTTTAATAGAGACAGGGTTTCACCATATTGGCCAGGCTGGTCTTGAGCTCCTGACCTCGTGATCCACCCGCCTCAACCTCCCAAAGTGTTGGGATTACAGGCGTGAGCCAGCACGCCCGGCCCAGTTTTTCTTTTTTCTTTTGTATTTTTACTAGAGACGGGGTTTCACCATGCTGGACAGGTTGGTCTCAAACTCCTGACCTCATGATCCGCCCACCTCGGCCTCCCAAAGTGCTGGGATTACAAGTGTGAGCCACTGCACCCGGCCCAACTTGAGTATTTTCTAAACTGAAATACAAACCTCACAGTTGAAAATGAAAACAAAAGGTAGAGAAATCGTGTTTGTTTTCAGGAATGGCTTCCAGATGGTGGGCTCAAACACACCTGGGATTAAATGCCAGGTCATCTGTACAGCTGCCATGCCAGTTTGCTGTCCTAAGTCAAATATTCATTCACCATCTACCTACCTGTACATACACTTCTATCACCAGTAGTGGTAATTTAAAAACAAACATTTTAAGACCAGGCAAGGTGACTCACGCCTGTAATCCTAGTGCTAATGAAGTGGGAGGCCAAGGCTAGAGGATTGCTTGAGCCTAGAAATTCGAGACCAGCCTGGGAAACAGCAAGAGCCCCGTCTCTACAAAAAATGTTAAAATTAGCCAGTTGTGGTGGTGTGCCCAGCTACTCAGGAGAGTGAGGCAGGAGGATCGCTTGAGGCCAGGAACTTGAGGCTGCAGTGAGCTATGATCCCACCAGGGCACTTCAGCCTGGGCCACAGAACCAGACCCTGTCTCTAAAAAAAATACAAAATAAATTTGGTAACAGAAATCGTTTCTTTTCTTTTTTTTTTTTTTTTGAGATGGAGTCTCACTCTGTCACCCAGGCTAGAGTGCAGTGGCGTGATCACAGCTCACTGCAACCTACGCCTCCCGGGTTGAAGCAATTCTCCTATCTCAGCCTCTCCAATAGCTGGGATTACAGGCCTGCGCCATGACCCGCTAATTTTTGTACTTTTAGTAGAGAGGGGGTTTCACCATGTTGGCCAGGCTGGTGTAGAACTCCTGACCTCAGGTGATTCGCCCACCTTGGCCTCCCAAAGTGCTAGGATTATAAGCGTGAGCCACTGCGCCCAGCCGAGATCCTTTTTTTTTTTTTTTTTTTTGAGACGGAGTCTCGCTCTGTGGCCCAGGCTGGAGGGAGACGGAGTCTCGCTCTATGGCCCAGGCTGGAGTGCAGTGGCGCAATCTCGGCTCACTGCAAGCTGCCCCCAGGGTTCACGTCATTCTCCTGCCTCAGCCTCCCGAGTAGCTGGGACTACAGGCTCCCGCCACCACGCCCGGCTAATTTTTCTTCTGTATTTTTAGTAGAGACGGGGTTTCACTGTGCTAGCCAGGATGGTCTCGATCTCCTGACCTCGTGATCCGCCTGCCTCGGCCTCCCAAAGTGCTGGGATTACAGGCTGAGCCACGGTGCCCGGCCCCAGATCCTTTCTTAAAGGTAAAAGAGCAACGTCTTATTCCAGAAATCTTTTCCTCACCTATACTACAGCCCATTTAACCCTAGATACAACTGAAATATTATATGGGCACAAAAAAGTTTACTAACTTCATTTCCACTCTTTTTAATACAGCAAGGAAGCTCGAGCTTTGCCTAAAGCAGCAACTGCTACAAGAGACCAAAGGCTCAGCTCTGTAGCTCACACCAAAAAAAGGATGGTAGTCACTAGTCCATCGAGATGTCTTATTTAAGGGGAGAGTGTGGGCGATCTTAGTTTTATGGCCCTGAAGTAAGAACCAGATACCAGGTATAGTTTCAGAATTGTCACCCCCAAGTGTTATGGGCCCGGAGCGAAGACAGTAGTACTCCCGAGCGGGAGGATGATTTCTCGGAGGTTGGTAGAGGTTTCTTGGAGGTTGTTTTGTCCTTTTTCTTCCGATGAATCATTACAGCTCAATGACAGCTTCAAATCGAACAAAACCTCTAGGCCTTTCATAACCGCAAGCTACTGAGGACATAACCAAGTCACTGAAAGGAAGCAGCAACCGCTTCAAACTCGGCCCCTCAAATGCTCAGTAGAGGCCCATAACTTCCAGCGGTTGATCTCTGTAAATTGTCTACAACCACCCCCGGGTCGTCAGAAACCCATCTTTCAGACCCACCTTTCGGAAGTGTTGGTCCTCGGTCACTCGACAATCACACACACAAGCATACAAAAAGAGGGGGAGGGGCCGCAATACATTTGTAAAACACTGTCAGAGATGGAATTCGTCCCAAGGACTTTTGCGGCACCCTTCCCTTTCCCGCATCAGGTAGAGTCGGTCTGTCGCTCCTCAGACCCCCGCTCAACGCTCTCCCACCCTGACCTTCTCAGATGTAGAAGAGTAACATTTGCCCCAACTGCATCCCAGGCTGCTAAGATCCTCGGCTACTCCCAGTGTATCCCCGTCCCCGCTCCCTGGATCCGTCCAAGTTCCTCGTGGCTAAGTCCCGAGCGGTTTCTCCGTCGGCCGTCTGAGATCTCCCGGAGGGCTACCTCGCGGGTGCGGACCCCGGCCCCCGGCCCACCTCCACCCCGCCCCCTGCGGCCCGCACCCTCCCCAACATGGCCCGCAGCCGCCCCCTCGGGACGCCTTCAGGGCCCGGTCGCGACCCCTCTTCCCGCCGCCGGCCGGACTCACCCAAGCTGTGGCCTCCGCCGGGCCCTCCTCGCCCAACCAGGGGGCGATGGGCGCTCCCCGCGGCCGGCCTCGCTAAAGATCCCGCTCCCGCCCGCCGCCCGCGGCCCTCACCTCCCCGCCGCCGCCCCGTCCGGCCCCAGCGCCGAGCTCCGGTCTCCTGGATCCGGCGCCCGCCCCGCCCCCCTACCGCGGCCTGGCCACCGCCGGTCCCCGAGCAGGCTCGGGGCCTCAGCCCGCCCCTCCCCCTTCACCTGCTCCATAGCGCAGCGCGGTCCGGAACCCCGTTGAATCGAATCCGTCCGCTCCGCGTTCCCAACCGCACGCGCCGCCTTCTGGAACCTACTAGAAGCTACCGGGACCCCGGCTCCCGCCCCTTCCTCGCCTGCTCACTGGTCGAGTTCTTCTAGGGGGAATGTCTGTGCTGCTCTACTATTGGCTTGAGGTCCAGCCCATCATCTCCACTTCCTTCTCATTGGACAGCGGGGAGTAATTCCCTCAACCCTGCCTCCCCCGCACCTCAGGATTGGGCGCTCCTCTATAAACCCACCCATCTCAGGCTCCACGAATGGAGGGAGGAGCGAACTTCTGCGACACGGATTGGTCTTTTGCACTGCCAATCGTAGCCGCGCTGGCCGCGCCCATTGGTTCTGATCGTTCTGGAAATTTCCACCTCTCCCATTGGGCTGCCGGACTCCATGTCGGAACCGCCTTCAGAATGAGAGCGATTCCAATTGGGCGGAGGGTTGCCAACTCTTTGCGCTGATTGGTTTAAATCGCTGCCCTTCAAAAGGCCGGGTTTCGCCCCGCCCCTGATATATGGGAGTACCGGCTGCAGTCGGGGTCTGTAGCTGTGTCGCCGGCGGCTGCGGGGCCTCTGGGTTGCTTTCCCTCTCGCTCCCGAGTGCCGCGAGTTCCAGGCGGTCCCCGGGATCGCCAGCGGCACAGGGCCCCAGCCCTTCGCCCGCGCATCGGGATGGGGGTCCTAGCCGGTGGGAGCTGCCTGTCCCTCGAGCGCCAGCTACCCGCGTTGTCCAGCGCTCCGGCCTCGGCCCGGCCCTCCTGCCTCCTGGCTGTTAGGTTCTGAATGTTCCGGAAATGCCACGTGACCGCGAGGGCGCTTGGGCTTGGGCTGGACAGGCCGGGGATCTCACCGCGGCGGGCCCGGCTGTCCCGCTTGGGCGTCCTCAGTGGAACCGCACACCCTTTCTCAGCGCGCCGGTCGTTTGGTCCTGTAGGGCCGAGGGGAATTCGTGCGGTGTTGAGCACGCGGGAAGCACTTAACGAAAGGGAGCTGCCCCTCAGCCCTCGTGAGTCCGATGTAAAGGAGTGAAGGAGACGAAGAACTGAATCAGTAGTTGACCGCCTGTGAGCTGGCGAGCTGTGCCCTGGTAGGGCCTTAAATCCCAGCCCCAGAAGTCGGAGGCAGGGCAGGCACCCCAAAGCGTGGAAGAGATGCACCTGCGGAGTGAAAATGCTGCTATTGCTTCTAGGGTCAGCCTTGGTTCCTGGAACAAAGGAGCCGCATGACTCGGGTCTGGCGATGATGTTGGGCTCTGCAGTGTCCTCATCCTTCCCCCTCTCTGGGTAATGATATCTTCCCAGGGTTTAAAGTGTGTCCTCTCTGCCAGTAGCTTGTCTCCACAGCCTCATCTTTAATTCCACCTGCCCCACCCATTTTGGACACTGCAGCCAAGTTGCAGCAGATCCGCAAACCTGGTAATCCCTCACTTGAAAGTGCTGGAGGCTTTAGGATGGGGTTCAGGGCCTGTGCAATCTAACCGCCTGCTTTTTTTTTTTTTTTTTTTTTTTTTTTTTTGAGACGGAGTCGAATCTCACTGTCTCCCAGGCTGGAGTGCAGTGGCGCCATCACAGCTCATTGCAGCCTCAACCTCCTGAGCTCAAGCCATCCTCCCACCTCAGCCTCCCAAGTACCTGGGGTTACAGGCAAGCACCATTACGCCTAGCTAATTTTTCTGGGTTTTTTTTTTTTGTTTTTTTTTTTGTATAGATGGATTTCGCCATGTTGTCCAGGCTGGTCTTAAACTCTCGCTCTGTCTCCCAGGCTAGAGTGCAGTGGGGCAATCTCGGCTCCCTGCAACCTCTGCCTCCTGGGTTCAAGCAATTATCCTGCCTCAGCCTACCAGTTAGCTGGGATTACATGTGTGCGCCACCGCGCCCGGCTAATTTTTTTATTTTTAGTAGAGGCGGGGTTTCACCATGTTGACCAGGCTGGTCTCAAGACTACTGACCTCAAGTGATCCCCCCCCCCCCCCGCCTCGGCCTCCCAAAGTGCTGGGATTACAGACGTGAGCCACCGTGCCCAGCGGTTTTGCATTTTCAATTGTGGGGCACGGTGAGAAAAGACTTGAAGAAAGCAAGGGAGTGAGATCCATGGAAATGTAGGGGGGAACCTTGCAGGCCTATGGAACAGCCAGTGCAAAGGGCCTGGGGTGGGAGCTGCCTCAGGGTAGCCAGGATGGCAGGAGGCACAGCTGCCGAGAGGAAGCAGGGGCCAGGTCCTGCAAGGTTAGAGGCCATTGCTACTCCTGAACACATTGGCAGGTTTTGAGCAGAGAAGTGACATGATTTTAGTTTTCTCAGGATCCCTCTGGCTGCTGTGTGGAGGAAGAGGGGAGGGTGAGAGCAGGGATACCTCTTAGGAGGCTGTGGTAGTAATCCCAGGGAGCCAGGATGGGAGCAGAGGAGGGGACAGGAATTGGATTCTGGATGCATTTTGGAGGGAGCATGAAGGAAAGCGGGGTCAAAGGTTCCTCTGAGGCCTTGGCTGCCTCTCTTATTCATCTACATCCATTCTGTCAAGGACACCTTTCATTTCTTCTTGGCACTGTCTCAAGGCCACCACGCTGCTGCCCACCTGACCAGCAGTGGCCTTTCCAGGCCTTCCATCTTCTCCCCAGCAGCTTATCTCTGCGTAGCCAGGTCCCATTTCCCACACACCTTTTTTTAAAGTGTGTTGCACTGCTCTGGGTGCAGGACTGTAGCAGTGACCAGGGCAGCTCCAGATGAAGCTTCTGCTCACAGGAACCTTTTCTACTGAAACAGATGATACCTAAACTCTCAGCTGTGTGACTTTAAGCAACTTGCACAACCTCTCTGTACTTCAGTTGCCTCCATCTTCAAATGGGGATTAAAAAGTGTTGACATCATAGTGGTTGTGAGGATTACATGATTTGATAGTTTATAAAGCACTTAGAACTTGTGAAGAAGAGTGCCTGGGGATTGCCTAAGGTCAGGAGTTCAAGACCAGCCTGGCCAACATGGAGAAACCTCATCTCTGCTAAAAATACAAAAACTAACCACGCATGGTAGTGCACACCTCTAGTCCCAGCTACTTGGGGGGCTGAGGCAGGAGAATCACTTGAACCTGGGAGGTGGAGATTGCAGTGAGCCAAGATTGCGCCACTGCACTCCAGCCTGGGCAACAGAGCAAGACTCGGTCTCCAAAGAAAAAAAAAGAACTGCCTGGCTACGGAATAAGAACTACATGGAGTTATTAAATCAAAATCGGTGCACAAATGATAATTCTTAAGAGTGAGTGCTACAGAGAACACAAAAGGCAAGGCACAGAGAGATGACCTGGGAGGCAGGGAAGGAAAGCATTCCCAGAGGTGAGTGGTTAGTGAAGGCTTGTCAGAGATGGGACGAGGAGAAGCCTAGGGGGCACAGAAGATGCAAAGGTGCTGAGGCCAGGGCAAATTCAGAATTTTTTTTTTTTTTGAGATGGAGTCTCGCTCTGTCTCCCAGGCTGGAGTTCAGTGGTGCAATCTCGGCTCACTGCAACCTCCACCTCCTGGGTCCAAGCAATTATCTGCCTCAGCCTCCAGAGTAGCTGGGATTACAGGCATCCACCACCACGCCCGGCTAATTTTTGTGTTTTCAGTAGAGACAGGATTTCACCATCTTGGCCAGGCTGGTCTTGAACTCCTGGCCTCATGATCCACATGCCTCAGCCTCCCAAAGTGCTGGGATTACAGGCGTGAGCCACCGCGCCCAACCCAGAATTCTCTTTTTTTGGGGGGGGGTGGGGGACAGAGTCTCACTCTGTCATCCAGGCTGGAGTGCAGTAGCGCGATCTTAGCTCACTGCAACCTCTGCCTCCCAGGTTCAAGCGATTCTGCCTCAGCCTCCCGAGTAACTGGGATTATAGATGCCCGCCACTACGCCTGGCTAATTTTTTTTTTTTTTTTGTATTTTTAGTAGAGATGGGGTTTTACCATGTTGGCCAGGCTGGTCTCAAACTCATTACCTCCAGTGATCCACCTGCCCTGGCCTGCCAAAGTGTTGGGATTACACAGGCGTGAGCCACCATGCCTGGCCCTGGCCCAGAATTTTCAAGAAATCTAAGGAAGGCTTTTTTGTGCTCTAAGTGTCCTTGTCTGTAAGGTAGGGGGGATAAAGTGCCCTTGACTTCCCAAGGTTACTATGCAGATTGAACAATATAATCCTCCCGGGTTGGCCTTGAGTCTTGTCAGACCTGAAGCTTATGACAATTTGAGAGCTCGCTTTGAGAAAAGAAACACAAAAAATGAGGTGTGTGGCTTTAGAAGGAGCACAAATGGGGTCCCCGATGTTTAAGCTGCTTTAGTGTTACAGTAAAGCCACCTCTGAATACCCAGAAGTGTTAGCTCTTACAACTTCCACCAACTCAGTCTTCTCCAAGCCTCTTGGTGGACTCAGAGGAGGACAGGGAGGCAGCCACTCTGGCCGGCCAGGGCCCTCCTCCCAGGTCCCTGGAACACAGGCGCACCAACCACAGCTGCGTCCTGGCCTGGGCATCACGTGACGTCCCAGAGTGATTCACGCTGCTATTTCAGTGCTGCTGCAGTCAAGGGTAGGGAGAGGCATGGCGAGGCTGTATCTGGAGTCAGCTTGGAGGCCGTAGTTCCTGCAGCAGTGGCACTGAAGGTACAGCGAGGGTGACTGAGTCTCAGCAGAGCAAATTCCCAACTTTAAAGTTTTCTCAATATCAGAAAAACTAGGAGAGCTGGATCTCAGTGTAAGTGGGGAGTAGGGGTTAGGGAAGGGCTGCAGCTCAGAATTGGGGCTCTGTAGACCTGGAATTTTTGTTTGAAACTCCTAAGAAATCTCTTAATTTCTTACTTAACTGAGTGATCCTAACTTGTAGCTCTTCTGCAAAGATAGAACTGGCATCCTTATTAGTGGGGAAAATAAAGTACTGTAGAGTTCTGTCCAATTCCGAGGACTTGTATAGAGCCAGGCACTGTGCCAGATGCTTCAAGGAATAAAATGATAATTATTATCTAATAATTATTAATCAGAGAACCCTGGAGCCCAGTCCTGGGCCTTGCTATCCACACCCCCCTCCCTGGGAGATCCAGCCAGTCTTGTGGCTATAAATGCCATCTCAGATGACTCCCATAAACCTGTCCTCTGCACAGATCTCACCCCCCAGTCCCAGACTTATCTATCCAGCTGCCATCTGGACATCTTCGTGTGGATGGCTGACAGACTTCCCGGGGTGCTCAAATCATAATTCCCAATATCCCTCTCAACCCCGCCTGCCCTTGACTTCCTCTTGCCAATGGCATCATTATTCTTTCAGCGGCTCAGGCTGAAAACTGTGGAAGCATTCTCGACTCATCCTCTTTCACAGCCCGCATCCAGTCCATCAGCTAATTCCGTCAGCTGGACGCAGACCCCCGGGACCCCCTCAGGGTGTAGGGGGAAGGAGTGTTGCTCCTTGGACTGGTAGATGCCCAGAGTCAGAGGTGACAATGTGCTTAGACACCCTGCAAGGGGCCCCCCCAGCCTAGGCACGCAGGCCATATATAGCCTCTGTAAGATGTGGGGTTGGGTTAGGGGGCGGGAGGAGAGACTCTGTATTTCAGGGGACCACTGAGGTGAGGCCAGCTCAGCAGCAGCCATGGCACACAGTGGATCAGAGCCCTTCCCAAGGGTTAAGGACCATGTGAACTGGGAACAGGATGAGTTCCTCACAGCTGAGTAGGATAGAGGCTTACGTCAGAACAAGGTGATCCCAAGGCAATGGTTTTTTTTCTTTCTTTCTTTTTTTTTTTTTTTTTTTGAGACAGAGTCTCTTTCTGTCACCCGGTCTGGAGTGAAGTGGCGCAGTCTCAGCTCTCTGCAACCTCTGCCTCCCAGGTTCAAGCAATTCTTCTGCCTCAGCCTCCCAAGTAGCTGGGATTACAGGTATGTGCCACCATGCCTGGCTAATTTTTGTATTTTTAGTAGAGATGCGTTATTTCCATGTTGGCCAGGCTGGTCTCGAACTACTGACCTCAGGTGATCCACTCGCCTCGGCCTCCCAAAGTGCTGAGATTATAGGCATGAGCCACTGCGCCCGGCCGAGGCAATGGTTTTCAGCTAGGGTGTCCCCAGCTGTCATTTGGCAATGTCTGGAGACATTTGGGTTGTCATAACTGAGTGTGTGTGTGTGTTTGTGTGCACATGCTGTAGTGGCCAAGGATGCTGCTAAACACCCTACAAGGCACAGAATAGCCATCACAATTATTTGGCTCCAAATGTCAATAGAGCTGAGGGAGAGAAATATTAATATAAACACAGCAGTTCCTGCACACCGAGGTTGAGGCTCAAGGGTGAAACCTGCCTGCTACATGGCAAGCAGATTGCAACTGACCACAGCACATAATATGACACCCAATGGCAAGAGAACGATGTCAAGGGTCACTGAGAGAGATGAAAGATGGTGCATATTCATTGACACCCCTCTCATTGCAAAGTGGGAGGTCTGTGTCCCCTCCCCTTGAATTCCATGGAGTTGGGACTACTCTGACCAATAGAATACAACAGAAATAACATCTTGCAGTTTCCAAGCCTTATAAAACTGGCAGCTTCCACTTCTTGTTTCTTGGGACACACTGCCTTGGAGCCTGTGCTGCCACTGAAGAAGTCTGAGTGCCCTGAGGCCACCATGGTGTGGGGAAGCCCACGCTAGCCTTGTGGCAAGCCAACTGTTCCGCAACATAGTGCGGGCTCCAGGTAACATGAAGGAAGCTGTCTTGGGCCCTCTAGCCCAGCCCAGTCTCCAGCGAATCCCACTGAGTGACCCTAGTCAAGCCCACATGGAGCAGAAGAATCACCTAGCTGAGCCCTGACCCACAAAATCTTGAGAAGGAATTAAATTGCTATTGTTCCCAGCCAGAAAAGCAAGGTAGCTTAAGGTAGTTTGTTCCACAGCAGTAGGTAACTAGAACAGTCATGTCCAAGGATTTGTTCCTGCACTTTCCCCTTCGCCACGTATGGCAGAAATTCTCAGGAATTCTCATGAGCCAGTGTCATGCTAGTGCTTGTTGCATCTGCTCCTCTCCAGCCGCCCCAGCCCACTGATCCAAGCACTCTGTGAAATGACTTTTGTGTGTCGACTTCTTCCCACGAGGAAGACGTTTCTTTCATTGCCATGTGCTGGACCCCAGTGCAGAGCCCGGGGCATTGTCAGTGCTTAGTGTTTGTTGAATGAGCCAATGGAACTGGTCACCCTCCGCTGCCCTGGGGGTCCCTCAGCCTTTCCCAGAAGGTCCCTTGGACCTTCCCTCTGGGCTTCCTCACTCCCTTTTCTGCTTATTCTTTTCTGAGCCGAATTGTTGTAGCCCCTCAGATCCAAATGGCCCAACCCCACTGTCTCCTTCCCAGCACCTCTGTTGAGAAATACCAAGTGGTAGAGAGTGTGCCTGTGTGGACGTGGGTGGGATACGTGCCTCTTCTACACCGCCCGTAGGAAGGTACGCTTAGCAATAGCTATTGAAAACACAAAAGTGATTCTGCTCTTAGGAATGTCTCCCGCAGGGACCCTACCCTGGTGGCACAGGACGTCTCACACAGCACTGTCTGGGACAGCAAAAGGGATGGAAACCACCTGAGTCCAACTATGGAGGACACTGGAAAACACGATGCTGCCTCCATAGGATGGGATATTGGCAAGTGTGAAGAAACAACATTTGGGTAGATATTGACATGGCAAGGACATATGGTAGAATGAAAAAAGTTAGTGGTTGTGATATTGTGAATATAAGTATGCATATTTGGGTTTCACTTCCAGTTCCTGGCACAGAGCTCCTGAAACACTTGTAATTTCTTGAGTGATGGTGGGAGAGGAGCATCTTTTGTTACTCATAATGAGCCCCTTTCAACCATAAATTTATGCTAATGAGGTGACTCTTGGCGCATGAGGGTGGTAGCCAGGAGAAGGGGAACCCAGTAAATGATTAGAGGGTTCAAACCCTGGGGAGGGGAGATGGGGTGGACATTGAGTTAATTACCAGTGGTCAAGAATTAATCAATTATACCTGTATAATGAAGCCGCCCTAACACTCCTAAATGAGGCCGGATATAGTGGCTCACGCCTGTAATCCCAGCACTTTAGGAGGCTGAGGCGGATGGATCACCTGAGGTCAGGAGTTCAAGACCAGCCTGGCTAACACGGTGAAACCCCGTCTCTACTAAAAATACAAAAAATTAGCTGGATGTGGTGACACACGCCTGTAGCCCCAGCTGCTCAGGAGGCTGAGGCAGGAGAATCGCTTGACCTGGGCGGGAGGCAGGGGTTGCAGTGAGCCAAGATTGCACCACTGCACTCCAGCCTGGGTGACAGAGCAAAACTCCATCTCAAAAAAAAAAAAAACAACTAAATGACAGGGTTCAGAGAAGAACACATGGAGGTGCTGGGAGGGTGGAGTGATCAGAGAGCACTTGGAGGCTCTGCATCCTGCCTTCCACACCTTGTCCTATGCATCTCTTCCATCTGGCTGTTCCTGAACTTCTATCCTTTATGATAAACCGGCAATAGTAAGTTAGGCTGGGTGCAGTGGCACATGCCTGTACTCCCAGCTACTTGGGAGGCTGAGGCTGGAGGATCGCTTGAGCCCAGGAGTTCAAGGCTGCAGCGAGCACCACTGCACTCCTGCACTCCAGACAGAGACACTCTGTCTCAAAAAAAAAAAAAAAAAAAGTAAACTGTTTTCCTGTGAGCTGTTCTAGCAAATTATTGAACCTGAGGAGGGGGTCATGGGAACCCCCAATTCATATGTCAGAAGTATGGGGGACCCAGGACTTGCTCCTGGAGTTTGAAGTGGGGGTAGTCTTGTGGGACTGGGCCCTTAACGTGTGGGAGCTGATGCCAACTCCAGGTTGATAGTATCAGAATGGATTCAATTGTAGGACACCCAGATGGTGTTGGAGAGTTGGTCGATGTGGGAAAAAAAAACCCACACATTTGGTGTCAGAAGTGTTGTGAGTTAAAAAAAAAAAAAAAAAAAAAAAGCATAGTAGTTGTGGAACAGTGTGTATGGCTGAATCCTATTTTTGTAAAAATAAAATTATGTGTGTATCTCTTCACATATGATTATACATGCAGGGAAAAAATCTACGATACGCAGCCAGTGGCTACAGGAATTACCTCTGTGGACTGGGAACAGGGAGGCGGTGTGCTGTGATAGTTTGCTGGGGCTGTCATAACAGAATGCCACAGATGGGGTGGCTTAAACAACAGAAATGTATTTTCTTACAGTTCTGGAGGCTGCAAGCCCAGGTTCAAGGCATCAGCAGGTGTGGTTTCCTCCGAGGCCTCTCCCCGTGGCTTGCAGATGGCTGCCTTCTTCCTGCATCCTCACGTGGTCCCTCCTCTGCACTCCAGCATCCTTAATGTCTCTTTGTGTGTCCAACTTTCCGCCCCCCCCCACCCCTTTTTTTTCTGATGGAGTCCACCCAGACTGGAGTACAGTGGCGTGATCTCAGCTCACTGCAACCTCCACTTCCTGGGCTCAAGTGATTCCCCCGCTTCAGCCTCCCGAGTAGCTGGGATTACAGGCATGTGCCACCATGCCTGGCTAATTTTTGTATTTTTAATAGAGATGGGATTTCACCATATTGGCCAGGCTGGTCTCAAACTCCTGACCTCAAGTGATCCACCCATCTCGGCCTCCCAAAGTGTTGAGATTACAGGTGTGAGCCACTGCGCCCAGCCCCGAACTTTCCTCTTAAAAGGATATCAGTCAGGCCAGGCGCAGTGGCTCATACCTGTAATCCCTGCACTTTGGGAGGTTGAGGCGGGTGGATTACTTGAGGTCAGGAGTTGGAGACCAGCCTGGCCAACATGGTGAAATCCCGTGTCTACTAAAAATACAAAAATTAGCCGGGCGTGGTGGCAGGCGCCTGTAGTCCCAGCCACTCGGGAGGCTGAGGCAGGAGAATTGCTTGAACCTGGGAGGCAGAGGTTGCAGTCAGCTGAGATCATGCTACTGCACTCCAGTCTGGGCAACAGAGCAAGACTCTATCTCAAAAAAAAAAAAGACACCAGTCAGACTGGAGTAGGGCTCACCCTAATGGCCTGATTTTAACTTAATTACCTCTTTTTTTTTCTTTCTTTTTTTGAGACAGAGTCTCGCTCTGTCACCCAGGCTTGAGTGCAGTGGCGCGATCTCAGCTCACTGCAACCTCTGTCTCCCGGGTTCAAGTGATTCTCCAGCCTTAGCCTCCCAAGTAGCTGGAATTACAGGCGTGTACCACCACACCAAGCTAATTTTTGTATTTTTTAGTAGAGACAGGGTTTCTTCATGTTGGTCAGGCTGGTCTCAAACTCCTGACCTCAGGTGATACACCTGCCTCGGCCTCCCAAAGTGATGGGATTATAGGTGTGAGCCACTGCACCCAGCCTTAATTACCCCTTTAAAGGCCCTATATGCAAATACAGTCACATTCTGAGCTACTGGGGGTTAGGGCTTCAACATAGGAATTCAGGCAGACATGATTCAGCCCATAACAAGGGCTTTCACTTTTTTTTTTTTTGTAGAAACAGGGTCTCACTATGTTGCCCAGGCTACTCTTGAACTCCTGGGTTCAAGTGATTCTCCAGCCTCAGCCCCCAGATTAGCTGGGGCTACAGGTGCACCAGCACGCCCAGCTAATATTTTTACTTTCATTTTTTTTAGACGGAGTTTAGCTATCTTTGCCCAGGCTAGAGTGCAATAGCGTGATCTTGGCTCACCACAACCTCTGCCTTCCGGGTTCAAGAATTCTCCTGCCTCAGCCTCCCAAGTAGCTGGGATTACAGGCATGCACCACCATGACCGGCTAATTTTGTATTTTTAGTAGAGACGGGGTTTCTCCATGTTGGTCAGGCTGCTCTCGAACTCCCGACCTCAGATGGTCTGCCCGCCTCAGCTTCCCAAGGTGCTGGGATTACAGGCGTGAGCCACCGCGCCCGGCCAATATTTTTTGTGGAGTCAGGGTCCTACTATGTTTCCCAGGCTGGTCTTGAACTTCCAGGCTCAAGCGATCCTCCTGCCTTGGCCTCCTAAAGTACTGTGATTCCAGGCCTGAGCCACAGCACCCTGCTGGCTTTCACTTTTTACTTTATTTCTATGTTGTTAAAATCTATTACAATAAACATTACTTTTAAAGGATTTTGTGCACTTCAATCCAAATGTCCCTGAAGCATCTACCTCCCTCCTGGGCCTTCTCTGAAGTCAGAGTAGGGGCAGCTGAAGCCCTCCCTCTGCTGGCTCCAGGAACGAAACCCCCTGGCCCACTAAGGCCCTTCCCCTGGGGAGGGTGGCGTGGGATAAGAACACTCAGTATCTGTCTGGCCCTCTCAAGATCACTGAGGACTTTCCCAGACAGCCGACATGGTCTTCAGATCAGTCTGCCAAACGTCACATAGAGGCTGGGCACGGTGGCTCACGTCTGTAATCCCAGCACTTTGGGAGGGCAACGTGGGTGGATCACCTGAAGTCAGGAGTTCGAGACCAGGCTGGCCGACATTGCAAAACCTCGTCTCTACAAAAATATAAAAGTTAGCTGGGCGTGGTGGCACGCGCCTGTAGTCCCAGCTACTCGGGAGGCTGAGGCAGGAGAATCACTTGAACCTGGGAGGCGGAGGTTGCAGTGGACCAGGATCGTACCACTGCACTCCAGCCTGGCCAACAGAGTAAGACTCCATCTCAAAAAAAAAAAAAAAATCAGGTGGAGGGGCATCCTCTGTTTTCCAGGCTCCTGGTTTATAGCTGCAAGCTCTGGACATTTAATACCTTGTAATCCATCCTTCCCTTATATACCTCTCAACATAATGACTGTACAATATGGCCAATGAAACGGATAGTAAAATGAAACATAGGCAAGTAATAAAGTGAGATATGAAGACAGTAGTACAACCTGGATGAGGGTGGAATGCAAAATTGTCATCAGAGAAGACGACAGGAGGACCTGAGAGCTGGAGGGACGGACGCTTATCTACCCAAATGAGGCTATAAAAAGTAGAAAGATGGCAGGGTAAAAATGGGGGAGGGCTGCCACTTAAGACTCTCAGGAAACAGTGATGCATCAGACTTTATCATTAAGTCCCAGGGGAGAGGAGTGGATCTGGGGATCCCTTTAGATATGGTAGAATTCTCCTGGGTCCTGCTCTGGTCTTAAATCTCAGACCAGTAGCAGGAAAACCCTAACTGTACTGTGGTCCTGAATGTCACTGCAACTTCAGCCCTGCTGTGGTGGTGTATCTGCTCCTCTGGCTGGCTCTGCCACCTTGAAAGGTGAGACCATGTGGAGCAGAGCCAAGGGGCCTCAGCTGACAGCCAGCACCAACCATCAGTCATGTGAGTGAGACCACCTTGGACCCCCAACCCCAGTTGGGTTGTCAGATGACTATAGCTGCAGGTACAAGAGTGACCCAGTGACACCAGCAGATGAACCGGCTAGCTTAGCTCAGCCCAAACTGCTGACTTAGAACTGTTGTTATGTTAAGCCAGTACATTTTCAGTGACTCATTACAAAGCAGTAGATAACTGTGACAGTCTAAGAGGATCTAAGTTTGGAAACAGGATTGAATATTTAAGATAACTGATTTGCCAGATTTATAAGTTTATTAGTATATAAGAGTTGCTTGGCTGGGCACAGTGGCTCATGCCTGTAACCCTAACACCTTGGAAGGCTGAAGCAGGAAGATTGCTTGAGCCCAGGAGTTTGAGACCAGCCTTGGCAACACAGTGAGACCCAATCTCTTAAAAAAAAAAAAAAAAAAAAAAACTCCGTCTCCCTCTCGCTCTCCGTCTCCCTCTCGCTCTCCCTCTCCCCACGGTCTCCCTCTCATGCGGAGCCGAAGCTGGACTGTACTGCTGCCATCTCGGCTCACTGCATCCTCCCTGCCTGATTCTCCTGCCTCAGTCTGCCGAGTGCCTGCGATTGCAGGCACGCGCCGCCACGCCTGACTGGTTTTGGTGGAGACAGGGTTTCGCTGTGTTGGCCGGGCCGGTCTCCAGCCCCTAACCGCGAGTGATCCGCCAACCTCGGCCTCCCGAGGTGCCGGGATTGCAGACGGAGTCTCGTTCACTCAGTGCTCAATGGTGCCCAGGCTGGAGTGCAGTGGCGTGATCTCGGCTCACTACAACCTACACCTCCCAGCCGCCTGCCTTGGCCTCCCAAAATGCCGAGATTGCAGCCTCTGCCCGGCCGCCACCCCGTCTGGGAAGTGAGGAGCGTCTCTGCCTGGCCGCCCATCGTCTGGGATGTGAGGAGCCCCTCTGCCTGGCTGCCCAGTCTGGAAAGTGAGGAGCGTCTCCGCCCGGCCGCCATCCCATCTAGGAAGTGAGGAGCACCTCTTCCCAGCCGCCATCACATCTAGGAAGTGAGGAGCGTCTCTGCCCGGCCGCCCATCGTCTGAGATGTGGGGAGCGCCTCTGCCCCGCCACCCCATCTGGGATGTGAGGAGCGCCTCTGCCCGGCCGAGACCCCGTCTGGGAGGTGAGGAGCGTCTCTGCCCGGCCGCCCCGTCTGAGAAGTGAGGAGACCCTCTGCCTGGCAACCACCCCGTCTGAGAAGTGAGGAGCCCCTCCGCCCGGCAGCTGCCCCGTCTGAGAAGTGAGGAGCCTCTCCGCCCGGCAGCCACCCCATCTGGGAAGTGAGGAGCATCTCCGCCCAGCAGCCACCCCGTCCGGGAGGGAGGTGGGGGGGGTCAGCCCCCCACCCGGCCAGCCGCCCCATCCGGGAGGGAGGTGGGGGGTCAGCCCCCCCGCCCGGCCAGCCGTGCCATCCGGGAGGTGAGGGGCGCCTCTGCCCGGCCGCCCCTACTGGGAAGTGAGGAGCCCCTCAGCCCGGCCAGCCACCCCGTCCGGGAGGGAGGTGGGGGGGTCAGCCCCCCGCCCGGCCAGCCGCCCCGTCCGGGAGGTGAGGGGCGCCTCTGCCCGGCCGCCCCTACTGGGAAGTGAGGAGCCCCTCAGCCCGGCCAGCCACCCCGTCCGGGAGGGAGATGGGGGGGTCAGCCCCCCCACCCGGCCAGCCGCCCCGTCCGGGAGGGAGGTGGGGGGGTCAGCCCCCCGCCTGGCCAGCCGCCCCGTCCGGGAGGGAGGTGGGGGGGTCAGCCCCCCGCCCGGCCAGCCGCCCCGTCTGGGAGGTGAGGGGCGCCTCTGCCCGGCCGCCCCTACTGGGAAGTGAGGAGCCCCTCTGCCCGGCCAGCCGCCCCGTCCGGGAGGGAGGTGGGGGGGTCAGCCCCCCGCCCGGCCAGCCGCCCTGTCCGGGAGGGAGGTGGGGGGGTCAGCCCTCCGCCCGGCCAGCCGCCCCGTCTGGGAGGTGAGGGGCGCCTCTGCCCGGCCGCCCCTACTGGGAAGTGAGGAGCCCCTCTGCCCGGCCAGCCGCCCCGTCCGGGAGGGAGGTGGGGGGGTCGGCCCCCCGCCCGACCAGCCGCCCCATCCGGGAGGGAGGTGGGGGGGTCAGCCCCCCGCCCGGCCAGCCGCCCTGTCCGGGAGGGAGGTGGGGGTGTCAGCCCCACGCCAGGCCAGCCGCCTCGTCCGGGAGGGAGGTGGGGGGGTCAGCCCCCCGCCCGGCCAGCCGCCCCGTCCGGGAGGGAGGTGGGGGGGGTCAGCCCCCCTGCCCGGCCAGTGGCCCCGTCCGGGAGGTGAGGGGCGCCTCTGCCCGGCCGCCCCTACTGGGAAGTGAGGAGCCCCTCTGCCCGGCCAGCCGCCCCGTCCGGGAGGGAGGTGGGGGGGGGTCAGCCCCCCTGCCCGGCCAGCCGCCCCGTCCAGGAGGTGAGGGGCGCCTCTGCCTGGCCGCCCCTACTGGGAAGTGAGGAGCCCCTCTGCCCGGCCAGCCGCCCCGTCCGGGAGGGAGGTGGGGGTGTCAGCCCCCCGCCCGGCCAGCCGCCCCGTCCAGGAGGGAGGTGGGGGGGGTCAGCCCCCCCGCCCGGCCAGCCGCCCCGTCCGGGAGGTGAGGGGCGCCTCTGCCCAGCCACCACCCCGTCTGGGAGGTGTGCCCAACAGCTCATTGAGAACGGGCCAGGATGACAATGGCGGCCTTGTGGAATAGAAAGGCGGGAAAGGCGGGGAAAAGATTGAGAAATCGGATGGTTGCCGTGTCTGTGTAGAAAGAAGTAGACATGGGAGACTTTTCATTTTGTTCTGCACTAAGAAAAATTCCTCTGTCTTGGGATCCTGTTGATCTGTGACCTTACCCCCAACCCTGTGCTCTCTGAAACATGTGCTGTGTCCACTCAGGGTTAAATGGATTAAGGGCGGTGCAAGATGTGCTTTGTTAAACAGATGCTTGAAGGCAGCATGCTCGTTAAGAGTCATCACCAATCCCTAATCTCAAGTAATCAGGGACACAAACACTGCGGAAGGCCGCAGGGTCCTCTGCCTAGGAAAACCAGAGACCTTTGTTCACTTGTTTATCTGCTGACCTTCCCTCCACTATTGTCCCATGACCCTGCCAAATCCCCCTCTGTGAGAAACACCCAAGAATTATCAATAAAAAAATAAATTAAAAAAAAAAAATAAATAAAGTGAAGGTTGATGTTTCAATAAATCCTTTAACGGGAAAAAAAAAAAAAAAAAAAAAAATTAGCTGGGTGCGGTGGCACACACCTGTAGTCCCAGCTGCTCAGGAGGCTGAGGCTGGAGGATCGATTGAGCCCAGGAGGTCAAAGCTAGTGAGTCATGATTGCTCCAGACCCTGTAGACGCTGTCCCTGAAAAAAGGAAAAAGAAAAAGAGTTGCTTAAGTGATAAGAAAAAAAAAAAAATCCTTGTAAGTCTCTTCTGCTTGGAATTTGAGGTGTTTGAGAGGATCAGCTACTTTAAGTCTGTAAAATATAGTTTAAAATCTATTAGAGGATTTAATTACCTAAGTTTGTAACTGGCATTAATTTTTAGAATAATTTAATCTGTTGAACTTATGAGTTAATTAAATATTAAAGAATAAGTGAACATAATTGTTCTTACTTTTATAAAAAAATTAGTAGGCTTATACATAGAAAACTAGATTTACAAATTGCACTTGGATGTTTAAGAAAAACTAGTTTTTAAAATTTATGTTTAATAAATACAGTATTAATTTAAACACAAGCAGCAGTAGGTAGCTTTTCTCTGCACAAAACCCCCTCTCCAACATTAAAAATCCTCAACTGACAACACCCTATGCCACAGCCCCAGCCGAAGATTCAGCATTCCACAGACTTCCACGCCTTTGCTTCTGTGGGCCTCTCTGCGTGGAACGCCCCCAACACATACACACCTTCCATACCTGGCAAAATTTTACTTTTTCCAAAAGGTCCAGCTCAAATTCTATGAAGATATCCTTCCTCACTGAAGTTTAGAATGCTGCTGCCTGCCCAGGAGCACTTACGCATGTGACCCAGGCCTCCAGTAGACCACGGAGAGCTGTTAGCAGGGACCTTCACTATCTTTGTGATAGCAGAGCTGAATCCCAGCAAAAAGAAACAGTAGCGCTGGTACACAGTAGGCATCCAGGGTGCTTCAGCAGCCTGGCCGTGTAGGACGTGGGTTTTGGAGATTTCTGAGCAGGTGAATAACACGATATAAATGGTTTTTTTAAATACATATTTGTTGGCTGGGCACAGTGGCTCATGTCTGTAATCCCAGCATTTTGGGAGGCCGAGGTGGGTGAATCATCTGAGGTCAGGAGTTCGAGACCAGCCTGACCAACATAGTGAAACCTCGTCTCTACTAAAAGTACAAAAATTAGCGGGGCATGGTGGCGCATGCCTGTAACTCCAGATACTTGGGAGGCTGCCCCTTGAACCTGGGGGACAGAGGCTGCAGTGAGCCGAGATCATGCCACTGCACTCCAGCCTGGGCGACAGAGCCAGACTCCGTCTCTAAATAAATAAATAAATAAATGCATGTTACTTATTTATTTATTTT
Source organism: Homo sapiens (assembly GCF_000001405.40). Lineage (NCBI taxonomy): Eukaryota > Metazoa > Chordata > Mammalia > Primates > Hominidae > Homo > Homo sapiens. The sequence continues at coordinate 64,169,357 of NC_000011.10, read as the reverse complement.
TAGAGACAAGGTCTCACTGTGTTGCCCAGGCTGACCTCCAGCTCCTGGACTCAAGTGATCTCCTTGTTTCAGTTTCCCAAGTACTTGGGACTGCAGGTGTGACCCACTACACCTGCGTTATTTATTTATTTATTTTGAGAGGGAGTCTCACTCTGCCACTCAGGCTGGAGTGCAGTGGCACGATCTCAGCTCACTGCAACCTCTGCTTCCCAGGTTCAAACAATTCTCCTGCCTCAGCCTCCTGAGTAGCTGGGACTACAGACGTGTGCCACCATGCCCAACTAATTTTTTTTTTTTTTTGTATTTTTAGTAGAGATGGGGTTTCGCTATGTTGGCCAGGCTGCTCTCGAACTCCTGACCTCAGGTGTTCTACCCGCCTTGGCCTTCTAAAGTGCTGGGATTACACGCGTGAGCCACTGCACCCGGCCTGAACGCCAAGACTTTCTTATGGCTGGGGACCCTGCCTCTACCTCATCATCCTCACTAGACATTGCCAGGAAGGTTGCACAGGGCAGAATAATGGCCCTCCAAAGACTCCACATCCTAAATCCTAGAGCCTGTAAATATGTTACATTACACGGCAAAGGGGAATGAAGGCTGCAAATCAGCTAAGTAGAGAAATTGTCACAGATTATCTAGGTGGGCTCCATGTAATCACAAGTGTCCCTGAAGATGGAAGAGAGAGGCAGAAGGAGAGTATCAGAGGGAAATGCCACTACAGGAGAATGCTCAGATGCAACCGCGCTGGCTTTGAACATGGAGGAACAGGTCTCAAGCCAAGGAATGTGAGTGGTCTCTGGGAATCAGAAAAGGCAATGATACAGGCTGTCTGCTAGGGCTTCCAGAAAGGAACATGGCCTCGTGTTCCCCTTGATTTTAACCCAGTGATGCCCACATCAGACTTCTGTCCTACAGAACTTTAAGATACTAAATGTGTCGTTGAAGCCAGTGAATTTGCGGTAATGGTACAGCAGCAATGGAGAAGTAATATACTGCATCACCCACATGCCTCATTTCACCAATCAGTGACACCTGCATAACCATTTTCCAGACTGCAGATGGGAACCAAACAGACCTGGACCCAAGTCGGGGCTGGGATCCTGACCTGACCTTGGGCCAATCATCTCTCTGCCTGGAGGGGGTGAGAGCTGAGGATATAACGGGCTAATGGAGGTAGTGGGAATGGACATAGAGGGCTTAGCTCAGTACAGCTGGGACTTCGTGCATGTAGGTGTTGGCTGTCCTGGTTGCAGTCAGCAAGGTCCTTCCTTTACTCTGAGTTACTGGAGGGGCCACAACTGGTGAGGTGACCTGGAGCCTGACCCCTACATCCTGAACCGTGCCTTGCTGATGTTTTCAGGAGAGGGTGCAGGCCTTGCTGGTGGTCCTGGAATGCTGGGGGCCGTGGGCTCTTCCTTCCTGGCCTCTGGCTCCCCTTTGCCCTCACTCCCAGTACTGATGACTGCCTACCCTGCTGCTGGCAAGTCTATGCTGATCCTCTCTTGGGCAGATTTAATGTCTGGAGTCCAAGGGTGAGCCCGTGTCACCATCCCAGTGGTTCCATCTGCATCCATGGCAGGTCAGGGATCCTCGTACGGCCATCCATGGTTATTGCCACACTCAGAGTCAGAGGCCTGGAGCACAGGAGCAGGTTTGCAACCAGCCAGACTCTCTTATTCCTAGCTGACAGCTCAAGAAGTTTGAGTCTTAAGGGGCTAGGGTACCCTAGGGCAGCAACACTAGTACTAGAACCTTCTCTGAAACCCTGGCTCGTTCCTCCCTCGTATTAAAATATATTCATTATTATTATTACTTTTGAGATAGGGTCTCACTGTGTCGTCCAGGCTGTAGTGCAGTGGTGCCATCATGGCTCTCTGTAGCCTTGAACCCTTGGGCTCAAGTGTTTGCCTGCCTCAGCCTCTGGAGTAGCTGGGACTAGAGGTGAGTGTCTACCACCATACCAGGGTAATTTTTTTGTGTGGGGGCGGGTAGAGATGAGGGGGTCTCACTATATTGCCCAGGCTGGTCTTGAACTCCTGGCCTCTAATAATCCTCTTGCCTCAGCCTCCCAAAGTGCTGGGATTACAGGTGTGAGCACTTATTCATTATTCATTATTACATTCATTATATTATTATAATGGCCCGGCCTGTATTCATTATATTTATCATAAAGTAATATTAATAGTACATAAAAATATATAAAAGTACTTAAAAATCCATCCTCGTGTTTTTTGTTTTGTTTTCTTTGAGACAGAGTCTCGTTCTGTCACCCAGGCTGGAGTGCAATGGCACGATCTCGGCTCACCGCAACCTCCGCCTTCCGGGTTCAAGTGATTCTCCTGCCTCAGCCTCCCGAGTAGCTGTAATTAACAGGCATGCACCACCACGCCTGCATAATTTTTGTATTTTTAGTAGAGACGGGGTTTCGCCATGTTGGCCAGGCAGGCCTCGAACTCCTGACCTCGTGATCCACCCAACTCGGCCTACCAAAGTGCTGGGATTACAGGCGTGAGCCACCGCGCCCGGCCGGTTTTTGTTTAAAAAAGAAAAGAAAAAAAAAAAAAAACACACAGACACACACAAAAACATCACCCCAATCCTTCCACCCTTGAACGCCACTTGAAGCCTAAGTTTCCTGCCTCCAAATTCCACTATTTCCACCCTCGACTCTCCTCCCCAGCTGTCCTAGATTCTGCTCCAGCTGAGCCTTGGCCCCGGGGCTGTTAGAAGGCAGAGGCTCTGGGGAGAAGTCCCCAAACCGGATTTACCCGTTCGTCGCACCTGTCCCTAGGAGGGCAGGCTGGGGTGTGGAGGCGGTGCCCTGCTGACCCGCGGGGAGAGAAGCCCGGGTCTCCCAGGCTGCAAAACGCTCGGCACTGCGGAAGCCGCGCCAGGCTCTCCCAGCTCGATACGCAGCGGCCGGCGCGCCTGCTCCGCCGCGGGGCCGAGCGGCAGAGGGGCCCGGGGCTGCGTGGAAGGCCCGGGGGCTTCAGCCCGTGCCGGGGAAGCCGACGCTCAGCCAACCAGAAAGTTAGAGGCGGCCGAGGTCTCGCGGAGGGGAGGCGCCTGGCGGCCACGGGAGAAGTCGAAGGGCTCAGGCGGGGCTCCATCCGCGACACTGGGAGCCCGGGCGGGCGCGCACGTGTGTATACGAGTGCGTGGGCCCATCCGGCGGCCCGGACTACAAGTTCCAGGGTGCCCAGCGGCGCTCCCGGGTTTTCTGGCCGCGCCTCCCGCTGGCTCCGAGCAGGTCGCCGCTGGCTGGCAGTCGCCACCCGGTCCCAGAGTAAATAAGGGAGAGACACTCCCGAGCGCCGTAAATAGAGTCCAAGTGGGCGGAGAGCCGTCCCGCGCCGCCCGCTCATGTCTCTACAGAGCCGACTGTCCGGCCGCCTGGCACAGCTGCGCGCGGCGGGGCAGCTGCTCGTCCCCCCGCGCCCCCGGCCCGGACACTTGGCGGGTGCCACGAGGACCCGCAGCAGCACGTGCGGTCCCCCGGCGTTCCTGGGCGTGTTCGGCCGCCGTGCGCGGACCTCGGCGGGAGTTGGGGCGTGGGGGGCGGCGGCGGTGGGGCGGACAGCCGGGGTGCGCACTTGGGCCCCCCTGGCCATGGCGGCGAAGGTGGACCTGAGCACCTCCACCGACTGGAAGGAGGCGAAATGTAAGTGTAAGCACGAGGGGGCGCGAGGGAGAGGGCGGCCTCACGTGGAGCTTCCCGGCTGGGCGGCCCCCAACGAGCGAGCAGCCCCTTCCACCCGAGAGACCTGGGGAAGTTGAGGCCCCATCTGCCCTGGAACGGACCCCTCCTCCCCATTGACAGCCCCCCCCGCCCCCGCGCGTGTTCCCAGCCCCACAGAACAATTCACTCCAGACCAGGTCCAAGTGTCCACGCAGGGGGCAGCGTGAGGAAGGCGGCCTTCCTTACCCCATTGGAATGGGTCACAGGGCACCCCAGAGATTGTGCAGGACCTACCAACTTCCTTCCCTGTGCAGGAGGGAAACTGAGGCCGAGTGCCACAGCTGGCTTCCCCAAGGTCACTCGGAGCTGGTGGCAAAGTGGAGGTTATGATCCCGGACTCTCCAAACTTTGCACAGTGTGGTTCTTAAGTGTTCGGGAATGGGGCTGAGGGAACAGCTCCGGGGCTGGCGTCCCACCTGGTGGGGCACGTAACCTCACAGAGTGACCTTCCTGGGCTGGCCTGTCCTGCCTCCACCCCACCCCAAGCCCGCACTCTGATGCCTTCCTGGGCACGTGGTCTGGCGCCCTTTTCCCCTTCTCGCTGGCCTCTGGCCACTTGTGAGCAGTTTGCTCATGCCAGGAACAGAGGTTAGAGGAGCAGGGCAGAGGTGGGGTCTTGTCCCTGTGACAACTGATGACACCCTTCAAGAATCACACCACTTCCTCTTGCTCCTGGAGGGGGCATGAGTCTGGGGCCTGGGGAGAGAGAGAACCCAAGCTGCCGCTACTGAGCCCCAAATAGCCCTGCCGGGCACCCAGCTGCCCCTGCCTTTCAGGGCCTGCCTCCTGGGATCCTGTGACTCTTCCCGGCTGGATCCCCTTTCAAAAGTGCAGGGAAGTGGCTAATTGGCTGGGCCTCCGTGGTGGAGTAGGTGTGGCCTCTGGGCTGGGCAGGCAGGATGGGGGGGTCCTGCGGTGTTAGGGGTGAAGAGAAGATGGCTTTCTCGGGACCAGAGGTGGAAATCAAAATGATTTACTCCTGACATGAATTGTGTGGCCTGCGCCAGGATCTAAAAGTGACGGCAGAAAGCACCGACTTTAGCCCGTGAGCAGATGGAGAACTTGTCAGGCACTTGGCCCTTGCCCCAGAACAGCAGGAGGAGTTTGGGGCTGGCAGAGACCCCTGGAGGGGGAGCCACTGTCCCCACAGAGACCCCTGCTCCCCTGAGCACTCTCTCAGAGGACAACAACCCAGGAGGGTGGGAAAGAGCTACGGAGACAAGGTGCCCAGGCACCTGCTCGAGGGCTGCCGCTGTTTTTAGGATCCAGCCCCCACAGCCCCACTCCTTGGTGCCAGGAAAGCAACCGGACCTTGTGATGGGGCTGGGGTTCCTGGGCTGCTGTGTTGTCACTGGGGTCTCCCTTTTGCTTCGAGGTGGGATTTCCAATCATGCAGCAAACTTTTATTGAACGCCCCCTAGGTGGTCAGGCTGGGGACTCAGACATGTGTCAGATAGGCAAGGGCCCTGCCCTCATGGAGCTTGTAATCTGGTGTGAGGATTACAAAGCATCTATTGTAAAGAATGTGTTCTAGCAGCTGAGACAAGGCCCGGTAACCTCAGTGCTGTGAAGACACCATAGCAGATGGGGCCACCTGAGCTGGGGAGATCAGAGGAGGCGTCTCAGGGGTGGTGGCCTGAGAAGAGGCATCCAGCTGGGTAATGATATTCCAGACCCGTTATTGAGTGACAGTGGGCCAGGCCCAAGGAGTGGGGCTGGTCTGGGGCTCTGCCTGCTACTGAAGCCACAGTTAGAGGGACGCTTTCGGGGGTGAGATGTGGAGATCCCCCAATAGTTATCTATTTCTGTGTAACAAAACACCCCGAACCTTAGTGGCGTAAAACAGCAAACCTGCATTCTCTCCATCTCTTGAGGGTCAGGAAACTGAGAGAAGCTTAGCTGGGTGGTTCTAGCTCAGGGTCTCCCTCCCTCTGAGGCCGGGTGGGACTTGGTTAGGGCTGGAGGATGGGCTTCCTAAACAGCTCCCTCCCATAAAATGGCATTTGGTGAGAGGCCTCGGTTGGTCACTTTGGGGCCTCTCCATGGGGCTGCTTGAGTGCCTCACATGGGATAGATGTCCTAAGCTTTTCCCCCAGAGCATATGCTCCACGAGAGGGATCGTGAGGAGACCCCGATGGAGCTGCAGTGCCTTCTTTGTGACCTCGTCTTCGAAGTCTCTCCTGCTTTATTCTAGGGGTCAGAATCGAGTCAGGGAGTCTGGCCATACTCCAGGAGAGGGAAATTAGGCTCTACCTCTTGAAAGAAAGAATCTCAAAGAATTTGAAGGTGTGTTTTTATTTTCTTAAAAAAATTTTTTTTTGAGACAGTTTCACTCTTTTTGTCCAGGCTGGAGTGCAGTGGTGTGATGTCACTGCAACCTCTGCTTCCCGGGTTCAAGTGATTCTCCTGCCTCAGCCTCCTGAGTAGCTGGGATTACAGGCACCCACCACTATACCCGGCTAATTTTTGTTTGTTTGTTTGTTTGTTTGTTTGTTTTTTAGATGAAGACTTATTCTGTTGCCCAGGCTGGAGTGCAGTGGTGTGATCTCAGCTCACTGCAACCTCCGCCTCCGGGGTTCAAGTGATTTTCCTGCCTCAGCCTCCCCAGTAGCTGGGATTACAGACGCGTGCCATCACGCCCGGCTAATTTTTTTGTGTTTTTGGTGGAGATAGGATTTCATCGTGTTAGTCAGGATGGTCTTGATCTCCGGACCTCGTGATCTGCCCGTCTCGGCCTCCCGGAGTGCTGGGGTTACAGGCGTGAGTCACTGGGCCTGGCCAATTTTCTTAAATTTTTTTTTTTTGAGATGGAGTCTTGCTCTGTCACCCAGGCTGGAGTGCAGTGGCGCGACCTTGGTTCATTGCAAGCTCCTCCTCCTGGGTTCATGCCATTCTCCTGCCTCAGCCTCCCGAATAGCTGGGATTACAGGTGCCCGTCACCATGCCCAGATAATTTTTTGTATTCTTTAGTAGAGACAGGGTTTCACTGTGTTAGCCAGGATGGTCTCAATCTCCTGACCTCGTGATCTGCCCGCCTCAGCCTCCCAAAGTGCTGGGATTACAGTCGTGAGCCACTGTGGCCGGCCAAAATTTTTAAAATTAATTTAAATTTTTTTCGAGACAGGGTCTCGCTCAGTTGCTCAGGCTGAAGTGCAGTGGTGTAATCATAGCTAGCTGCACCCTTAAACTGCTGGGCTCAGCGATCCTCCTGCCTCAGCCACCTGAGTAGTTGGAAGTACAGGCGCGCATCACCATGTGCAACTAATTTTTTTTTTTCTTTTGAGACAAGGTCTGTTGCCCACGCTGGAGTGCAGTTGTGAGATCTCAGCTCACTGCTTCCTCAACCTCCTGGGCTCAAGCGATCCTCCCACCTCAGTCTCCCAAGTAGCTGGAACTACAGGCATACGCCACCACGCCTAGCTAATTTTTTGTATTTTTTTGTAGAGACAGAATTTTGACATGTTGCCCAGGCTGTTCTCAAACTCCTAAGCTCAAGCGATCTACCCACCTCGGCCTCCCAAAGTGCTGAGGTTACAGGTGTGAGCCATGGGCTGCTAATGTTTTAAAACCTTTATTGTAGAGACTGGGTTTCACCATGTTGCCCAGGCTGGTCTCAAACTCCTAAGCTCAAGCGATCTACCCACCTCGGCCTCCCAAAGTGCTGAGGTTACAGGTGTGAGCCATGGGCTGCTAATGTTTTAAAACCTTTATTGTAGAGACTGGGTTTCACCATGTTGCCCAGGCTGGTCTCAAACTCCTAAGCTCAAGCGATCTACCCACCTCGGCCTCCCAAAGTGCTGAGGTTACAGGTGTGAGCCATGGGCTGCTAATGTTTTAAAACCTTTATTGTAGAGACTGGGTTTCACCATGTTACCCAGGCTGGTCTCAAACTCCTGGCCTCAAGCAATCCGCCCACCGCAGCCTCCCAAAATGCTGGCATGACAGGTGTGAGCCACTGTGCCTGGCCAAGTGTATTTTTTAAGCCATCACATTATGGGAGATCTGGGGGGCTGCCCCAGCTGGACTCTGCCTTTGATTAGGGTCTGAGCCGTGGCCCTTGAAGACTGCTACACTTTTCATCGTTACATTCAAATCACACTTTCAGCCAAGTTACATTTGACAGTCAAGTGCTGCAAGTGTAGAGATCTTCAGTGCACAGTGTATGCAACTGTGCAGTCACTACTTGGGTCAAAAGGTAGAGCATTGCCATCACGCCAGAAGTCGCCTCTTTTCACTTGGTACTGTCTGGAGCTAATCACTCTTGTGATATCTGTTCATTTTGTCTCTTCTTGAAGTCTGGCCCCTTTTACTCAATATCCGGCCAGTTCGTCCTTGTTATTGGATGTGGCAATGGTTCCCTCTTTTTCATTGCTGTATAGTGTTCCAGCATATGAACGTACCACAGCTTGTTTCCCACTCTTTTGTTGTTTTGTTTGGTTTTGTTTTTTGAGATGGAGTCTTGCTCTGTCGCCCAGGCTGGAGTGTAGTGGCACGATCCTGGCTAACTGCAACCTCCGTTTCTTGGGTTCAAGCGATTCTCCTGCCTCAGCCTCCAGAGTTGCTGGGATTACAGGCACCCGCCACCACGCCTGGCTAATTTTTGTATTTTAGTAGAGACGGAGTTTCACCATGTTGGCCAGGCTGGTCTCAAAATACTGACCTCAGGTGGTCTACCTGTCTCGGCCTCCCAAAGTGCTGGGATTACAAGTGTGAGCCACCATCCCGGCCCCCACTCTTTTGTTGATAGGCATTTGGGTTTCTTGTGAATAAAACTGTGCTGAACATTTTTTTTTTTTTTTTTTTTAGATATGGTCTCATTCTGTTGCCCAGGCTGGAGTGCAGTGGTGCAATCACAGCTCACTGCAGCCTCCAACTTCTGGGCTCAAACCATCCTCCCACCTCAGCCTCCTGAGTAGCTGGGACTATAGGCATGTGCCACCATGCCTGGCTAATGTTTTTAAAAATGTCTTGCAGAGACAGGGTCTCATTATGTTGCCCCAGGCTGGTCTCGAACTCCTGGGCTCAAGTGATCCTCCCACCTCCGCCTGCAAAAGTGCTAGCGCTGAGATTACAGATGTGTGCCACTGTGCCTGGCTTCCTGAACATTCTCTCCATGTCTCTGATGGACATGTGCTCTCATTTCAGGGCTGTACCTAGATAGGCCTCCAAATACTTGTCTGCCTGAGAGGATCCTCTCTCAAAGCCTGGCACACAGTAACCAAACTCACAAGAGACTGACGTATAGGTCAGAAGGCATATGTGCAGTTTGTGGTGGGGAAATATAATGGCAGTGGGTCTGAAAACTCAGGTGTGCCTGAGCAGAGCCTCCTCTCCCTATGGGAAAGCCTCATGGAAGCCAAATTGTAATCTTAGGATTGCTCAGAGCATGCGATCTTATCCAGGGCTGGTTGAGTGATTTTGGAAGCCTTGCCCTGGGCAAGGCAGGTAAGCTTCCCTGTTTGAGAAGGGTCAGCCCACCCACAAGGATCCCCTTCCCCGGGCGTTTGCTCGGTATTTCCATCTATATGCAGTGCTGAGTGCCTGCTCTGGACCCATGGAAGGATGCCCAGCCCATGGCCCAGCTTGTCCTCCAAGCTGACGGCCAAATTCAGCTTCCCCCTGGACACTCCTTTTCTTTACCTCCAGGCTGACGCTCATTTCCATGGGCCCATTCTCCCTCTAGGTATGTACATACCTTCAGGCTGGATCTTCCTGGCTGGGAGACTTTCAGTCTTTTGGGGACACTTCAGCAGTGTCTGATTTTACTAGCCAGGGGTTACTTTCTCTAATTTATTTTTATTTATTTGTTTTTTTAATTTTTTTTGAGACCGAGTTTCGCTCTTGTTGCCCAGGCTGGAGTGCAGTGGCGCAATCTCGGCTCACCACAACCTCTGCCTCCTGGGTTCAGGCAATTATCCTGCCTCAGCCTCCCGCGTAGCTGGGATTACAGGCATGCGCCCCCATGCCCGGCTAATTTTGTATTTTTAGTAGAGACGGGGTTTCTCCATGTTGGTCAGGCTGGTCTCAAACTCCTGACCTCAGGTGATCCGCCCGCCTTGGCCTCCTGAAGTGCTGGGATTACAGGAGTGAGCCACCGTGCCTGGCCTGTTTGTTTATTTATTTGAGACAGGGTCTCACTTTGTTGCCCAGGCTGGAGTGCAGTGGTGGTATCTTGGCTCACTGCAGCCTCCGCCACCCAGACTCCAGCAATCCTCCCACCTCAGCCTCTTGAGTAGCTGGGATTACAGGTGTGTGCCACTACACCGGCTAATTTTTGTATTTTTTTTTTTTTTTTTTTCTGAGACGGAGACTCGCTCTGTCACCCAGGCTGGAGTGCACTGGTGCAATCTCGGCTCGCTGCAACCTCCGCCTTCTGGGTTCAAGCGATTCTCTTGCCTCAGCCTCCTGAGTAGCTGGGATTACAGGCCTGTGCCACCACACCGGCTAATTTTTGTATTTTTAGTAGAGACAGGGTTTCACCATGTTGTTCAGGCTGGTCTCGAACTCCTGACCTCGTGATCCACCTGCCTCAGCCTCCCAAAGTGCTGGAATTACAGGTGTGAGCCCCTGCACCCGGCCTCATTTTTCTATTTTTTGCAGAGACGGGGTTTTGCAATGTTGGCCAGGCTGGTCTTGAACTCATGAGCTCAAGCAATCCACCCACCTCAGCCTCCCAAAGTGCTGGGATTACAGGCGTGAGTCACTGTGCCCGTCCTACTTTCTCTAATTGAATACCCTCAGTTTTGAGGCACTTCTTTATCCCCCCGGGAGTGCCTTTTCATCAGAAGATCATGGAAACACCCTCACTGTAAAGGCAGTTGGGCATGAGGGACTTAGGTTGGGCCCTTGTCGGTATCTGGCGCTGTATCATCACAGGAGGGGCCTGGCTTTGGGTCCTTGTTCCAACAGCCCCTGGCAGGCAGAGCTGTGAGCCACAAAGAGCAGGGACATTGTTGTCAGATGTGGAGACGTGCTGCTGCTTCCTCGCTCTCCAAGCCTCAGTTTCCTCATCCATAAAATGGGACCAATGGCACCTGCTTGGAGGTTGTGCTGGGATCACATTAGAAACCACTTTGGGCCAGGCGTGGTGGCTCACGCCTGTAATCCCAGCACTTTAGGGGCCAAGGTGGGAGGATTGCTAGAGCCCAGGAGTTCGAGACCAGCCTGGGCAATATATCCAGACCTTGTCTCTCCTAAAAATAAAATTAAAAAAAGAAAAGAAAAGAAATGATTTTATATATCATGGCCCAGAATGGGTCCCAGCAGCCTCCCCTTCCTTGTCACCCCTCAGGCCCTCAGGCCTGTCTCCTCTCTCTGCTCTGTGCTGGCCGTGGTGACACTGGGCTCTTGTAGGCTTGTCTCACGTGCTGGGGCCCTGAGCATGCACAGCCTAAGCCATCCTCTCCTTGGTGACTCAAGGTGGGGCTGCTACGCTCCAGCCTCACACCACACTGTGCAGAAGCCAGGGCTAATTTCAGCCCCCGTGGGATTTCATCCAGAGTGGATGGCTTATCTGATTTGACTGCAGCACTGGCAAATTTTCCAGGTACCCCTGGGAGTCGGGGGGCTTCTCCCACCTGTCTTTTGGGGACGCAGCCTTGCCAATGCCCTGGTGTGGGCAGAGACAAGGGGGCAGGGTAGAGGAGAGGGGCTCCAAGGTGCTGCGTGCTCCGTCTCCCTTTTGCTCGAGCTGTGGGCTTTGACAAGACCCTGTTCTTGCGGGCCGGTGAGCGCAGGTGATTAATGCCCCTGCCACCGAGTCTAAATGCCGCTGCATTCTGGGAGCCCAGCCTTTATCAGCCCTGCCCACCTGGCATTCTCTCTGAGAGGAGCCCTGCCTTGGTGCCCCAGCCTGCCCTCACCTCTCTGAACACCATCTTGCAAAGTGCCATAAAGACACTTCTTAAAACACAGCATTGAATTCCCATTCGCCCGCTGCACTTTATGGTTCTGGTGGAGCCTGCTTCCTCCTGCTTGGCTTTCGTGCCTGGGAGCCGCTGGAAGCTTCGTCTGGGGTCAGGCCTCTCCATCAAAATTTACTGCGGACATCTTTTTACAACACCTATCTCACTGAACTGTGAAATACTCTTGCCTCTTCAAAAATGAAAGAAAATGAAAATGCATGTTTTACATCTTTTATAACAAATAAAACTCACTTGTGCTTTAAGTCTGCATTTGTCCTTCTTACAGGAGGAGGTGGGAAATGTTAGAAATTCATGGGGCAAGGCCGGGCGCGGTGGCTCACGCCTGTAATCCCAGCACTTTCGGAGGCTGAGGCAGGTGGATCATCTGAGGTCAGGAGTTCACGACCAGCTTGGGCAACATCGTGAAACCCCGTCTCTATTAAAAATACAAAAAATTAGCTGGGTGTGGTGGTGCATGCCTGTAATCCCAGCTACTCAGGAGGCTGAGGCATGAGAATTGCTTGAACCCAGGAGGCAGAGGTTGCAGTGAGCCGAGATCGTGCCACTGCACTCCAGCCTGGGTGACAGAGTGAGACTCTGTCTCAAAAAAATAAAAAAAAAACACAGAAATGCGTGGGGCATGTTCCTGGCTTAAGGCCCCTGTTTCTCCTCCAGGGGGAACAAAGAGGGGCCTGGCGGGCGAGGATTGCCGATAAGAGGACATGGAGGTGAGATGCTGAATGGGCGCAGTTGGCCTTTTCTTTCCCCATAAATCAGAAACCAGTGCAGTGTGTAGCTCTTTGGGGATCAGCCAGGCCACAGCCTTGTTCTGGTGGTGAGGACAGACATGCTGTCTGGCCTGCTGGCCTTCTGAGGCATGCACTTGGGTCCATAGACTAGAAGGGACGGGCTGACAGATGTCCTCAAGGTCGGCGCCCAGCCAGCTGGTGGCAGAGCCAGCATGCTGTCTCTGGGAAGTGGAGCAATCCTGTGGGCTTTGCTGGAGAGAAGGGGCTTTGTGGGCTGTGGATCACTCAGACCAGGCTACCATGCTTAGGGAGGGCAGTGTGGGAGCAAGTTCAGGTTCCTCTCGCTTATGTGTGACTGGGGGCAGGTCACTCTGCCTCCTCTCTAGAACAAGGTGGTGGCATCTGCCAGATGATATCTGCTAGGGCACCTGAGGTGTCTCTGGTCACGCTGGTCTAGTTCCATGGGATTCCCAGGGCCTGCCCAGCCAGAGACACTTCAGCAAGGCCTCTGGGGTCCGTCCGGGTCCCAGCCCACCAGTCCCGCCAGCATCACGGTGGGTACCTGACTTTCTGGCCACAGGTCCAGCCGTCTGGGAGTGCCCACACAGTGGCATGCCAAGGCCTCGCAGTGGGGAGGTCACAGTTGTGCAAGGTGACAAATATGGGGATTCAAATTATTTATTTAGAGACAAGGTCTCGCTCTGTTGGGCAGTCTGGAGTGCAGTGGCACAATCACAGCTCACTGAAGCCTTGACCTCCCAGGCTGAAGCGATCCTCCTGCCTCAGCCTCACAGGCAGTTGGGACTACAGGCACATGTCCACCACGCTCAGCTGATTTTTTTTTTTTTTTTTTTTTTGAGATGGAGTTTTGCTCTTGTTGCCCAGGCTGGAGTGCAATGGTGTGATCTCAGCTCACCGCAACCTCCGCCTCCCAGGTTCAAGCGATTCTCCTGCCTCAGCCTCCCGAGTAGCTGGGATTACAGGCATGTACCACCACACCCGGCTAATTTTGTATTTTTAGTAGAGATGGGGTTTCACCATGTTGGCCAGGCTGATCTCAAACTCCTGATGTCAGGTGATCCACCTGTCTCGGCCTCCCAAAATGCTGGGATTACAGGTGTGAGCCACCATGCCCGGCCGCTCAGCTGATTTTTTGTATTTTTTGGTAGAGATGGGGTTGCTCCATATTGTCCAGGCTGGTCTCGAACTCCTGGGCTCAGGTGATTGGCTTGCCTTGGTCTCCCCAAGTGCTGGGGACCCAAATAATTAGAAAAGTTCCTCCGGCTGCTGTGTCCCCAAGTTGGAAAAAAAAGTTCTCCACAATTTTGTCCTGTTTGCTTTGTTCTCTTTGGGCATTATTTAGCCGCCAGGAAGGAGTGAGTGTGTCTGGCGTGTAGACCGCACTTTGCAGCACACAGCCACCTTCTCCTTTGACCCTCCCAGCAAGCCTGGGTGTTAGCAAGGGAAGGCCTGCCTTGTCCCTATTCCAGAGATGGGAAAACCCAAGGCTTCAAACTGAGCATGGTGTTGGGAGGTCACGAACCCAAACCTGGCGGGACCTATAACAGAAGAAAAGGCGCAGCCTGGGTCTAGGCCGGCTGCCACCAGCATCTGTCCGTCCTCAGACAGGGAGGCAGACCTGGAGAGACCGACTGGCCTCACTTTCTCCACCCAAATGCTCTCTCTCTTTTTTTTCTTTTTTAATTAGGGGATCATCTCTGGCTCCCTCTTACCTCTGGGCTTTTGCACATACTGTTCCCTCTGCCTAGAAGACTCTGTACTTAGCAAACTCGCCCTCAACCTTTGGTCTTGGCTCATTTATTCCTCAGCGTGCCCCTCAGGCACCCTCAGGTGCCCACACACCGTGCCAGGTGGTGGGAATCTGATGGCAAACACAGCAGATCCCCTATGGAACCTACAGGTCAAGATGGCCAAGATCAAGAAAGGGGGCCGGCGCCGTGGCTCACGCCTGTAATTCCAGCACTTCGGGAGGCTGACATGGGTGGATTGCTTGAGGTCAGGAGTTCAAGTCCAGCCTGGCCAACATGGTGAAACCCCATCTCTATTAAAATACAAAAATTAGTTGGGTGTGCTGGCACACGCGTGTAATCCCAGCTACTAGGGAGGCTGAGGCAGGAGAATTGCTTGAATCCAGGAGTGCAGGTTGCAGTGAGCCAAGATCGTGCCACTGCACTCCAGCCTGGGCGACAGAGTGAGACTCCGTCTCAAAAAAAAATAAAAGAATAAGTGTAAACAAAAGCAAACTATCCCATATCCTGCAGAGCACAGCAGGTACAAAGGGCCTGGGGCAGGAAGCAGCCTGGCTGTTTGGGGAACTGGTGTAGTGGGGGAGGCAGCATTGGGAGTGAGGTGGGAGAGAGGCCAGAGGACCGGCGTTTGAATGCAGTTTTGAACAGAGGAGGGATGGCACCTGATTTATGTTCCCAGGATCCATGGCTGCCGGTCAAGGAACAGATGGGGATGAGATGCACACGGAGATCAGCTGGGAGTTGGGAGCGTCTGTGGGATCTAGGGAGCCATGAGGAAGGCTCAGTCCTGGAGGGTGAGAGGAAGGCTTGGTTTCTAGGGTGTCACGGGGATCAATCCAAAAGAGGATGGAAAGGGAGGGACCCCTGGTGCAGGGTCTCGAGTAAAAAAGAGGGAAGAATGGAGCAACAAAAAAATGACGTTTTGGGGGAAAGAGTCAAACGTTCTGTTTTGCATGCCTGGGCTTTGGGGAATGAGAGCAGGCAGGCACTGTGGGGGTCAGAGGCTCAGAAGAGAGTGGAGGGACAGCCCCGGAGGTTGCTTGCTTAAAGAGCGTTTTGAATCTGTGCAACTGATTAGAAGACCTAGGGAGGAAAGCAGCAAGGACACTTCCTGTCCACAGGGAAGGCAGGAGGGGCCGCTGCATGGGGTGTGGTGACCTTGACCTTGTTGGAAGGAGGGACCAGACTGGGTGGACTGAAGGGAGCATGGGAGGGAAGAAGTGGAGACAGCAGAGGAGGGGGCAGCTGCAGGGGCGTGGAATGCGGGCGTTGAGGGAGGGGACGGGATTATTTGAGGGCAGGCAGGACAGCCTGGTGGAGGGGGACCTGCAGCAGTGAGTCCTCTGGGAGGTGGGCTTGGCAGGTGGCAGCGCTGGTACTGAATGCAGGACCTACTCGTGCCCAAACATGTTTATGGAAGAGGGGGCAGAAGTGGCTGCCAGGAAAGGTGGCTCTGGCTTGAGCAGCAGTGGGGGCTGACCAGGGGTGGGCCTAGCCTTTTGTGATGACCCCACCTTTGCATCCAGCAGGGACTCTGGACTGGGCCCCTTGCATGAGTTCTGTCATCTAATGCTCTCAGCATCCTTGGGTTGTTATCACCCCTGCCAGCAGTGGTTAGATGAGGAGATGGAGGCCTGGATGATGAAGTGACTCTGGCCGGGAAAACACCCTGCTGTGTGAGGGTGGCCTCCCAACCTCCCTGAACATTTGTGGAGGGACCTACCTGTCCCCCTCACTGCCATGTGCATAGAAGCTTCCAGGCTGCAGTCCTTCCTTTCTCACCACCTCCTCTAATTGCTCTCCCGCCTCTACATATTTTTTGATGCTTTTTGAGTTTCTCAATTGTAGCCTTTGCTGTTTGCCGTGGGGGCTGCCCCATCCCGGGAGCCTGTGGTCCAGGGTGCCAGGCTGGGCTGAGCGCCTGGGTGTGCAGGCGGCCTCGGGCCAGCAGGGGGAGCCCGTGAGCTGCTAGCCTGGCCTGGCGCGGTCGGGGCGGGCCCTTCTGAGACGGGTTCCAGGTTTCTGTGCCTGGTGCCACCCCCAAGGGAAGGCGGAGCCCATGGGACAGTGCTCAGGCAAGGGGAGCCGGCCAGGGTGGACCCCGAGTCTGTGAGCGGGTGGGGGGTGCCTGGCTCCTCACTCAAGTCCCTGCTGTGTGAGGGTGGCCTCCCAACCTCCCTGAGCCCCGGTTTCCTCATCTGTAAAACGAGAACGATTCCAACCCCATTGGTCATGCTGGGAGCCCTCAGCCGCTGCCGGGGGGGATGTTGGGGACAGGTGCCAGGTCCACTTGGTCCTGCAGCTCCTGGAGGAGGACAGCTGTCCCGCTGCCTGCATGCAGTGACAGTGAGGGCAGAACTGACTGGCGGTGGGACTGATGGATAATGTCGCTGGCTGAGTGCTGCCAACCGGCTTGGCCTTAGTGTGTGGGAGGAAGCTCGGAGCTGTTCTGCAGGGGACGTCTTCACCCCCGTTCTAATCAGGGAGAAACGGGGGACCCAGAGAGATGTGGACGCTGCTGGAAAGTGGCAGAGCTGAATTCATCACAACCCAGGTCTGCGATGCCTGAGCCAGTCCCTCAGCCTCCCCAGACCTCAGTTTCCCTCCCTGAACAAAGAGAGCAGGACAAGATATTCTAGGGGCCTCTGAGGTTTCCCCAGCATGCCTGCCCTGTGTGCCCAGAGAAGGAGGGACAGGAAGAGCTGGTTTGCATTCTTGGATGAGGCAAGAAAGGAGATGTGGGGGTGCAAGCCCCAGGCCCGTTCCTCTGCCCCCACCCTGATCCTCCTTCCTGCCTCTGCAGCCTTTCTGAAGGGCCTGAGTGACAAGCAGCGGGAGGAACATTACTTCTGCAAGGACTTTGTCAGGCTGAAGAAGATCCCGACATGGAAGGAGATGGCGAAAGGTAGGCCCTGCTCGGGGGAGGCCCTGGTGGGCAGGCTCCAGACCCGTGGCTTGGGAGAATTGTGCAGACAAGAAGAGCTAGTCCAGTGGCATGTATCGAGTGCTTGCTGCAGGCAGGTGCTCCGCGTGTATCACCTCATTCAATTATTTTATTTTATTTTTTGAGATGGAATTTCACTCTTTTTGCGCAGGCTGGAGTGCAATGGCTCGATCTTGGCTCACTGCAACCTCCACCTCCCGGGTTCAAGCGATTCTCCTGCCTCAGCCTCCTGAGTAGCTGGGATTACAGACATGCACCACCATGCCTGGATAATTTTTGTATTTTTAGTAGAGATGGGGTTTCACCATATTGGCCAGGCTGGTCTCGAACTACTGACCTCAAGTGATCTGCCCGCCACGGCCTCCCAAAGTGCTGGGATTACAGGCGTCAGCAACTGCGCCTGGCCATCTCATTCAATTATTAACACAACAAGTGCAATTTTTATCCCCATTGTATGGTTGGAAACAGAGCCCTAGGTTAGGTGAGCCACCTGCCCGAGATTACTTGCTTGTGGGGAGCTGGGGTTTGAAGCTGCGATTTGGTTGCTTACAGTGGGGTGTGTTGGTGAGACAGCAGGCCTGGTGACCCATAACCCTAGGCAAGTCTCTGACCCACCTAATCCTCAGTTTCTACCTCTGTGAAATGGGATAGATGATATTGGCACTGTACCTGCTGGTGGCCTTGCTGTGAAGATGCAAGGAGTCCCCGCGTGATTTTAGCACGCAGTAGGTGCTCCTCAGTGTGGGTTCCTGGTACTGGGTCAGCAGTCATCGTGCTGCAGGCTGCCCCTGGAGGTGGAGGGAGGTCGATAGGGAAGGCCCTGGCCCCTGGGCCCTGGCTGGGTCCCTCTGCAGTGGGCAGCCTCGCTGTGACCTCCCCGGCCCCTACTTGTTCCAGGGGTGGCTGTGAAGGTGGAGGAGCCCAGGTATAAAAAGGACAAGCAGCTCAATGAGAAAATCTCCCTGCTCCGCAGCGACATCACCAAGCTGGAGGTGGACGCCATCGTCAACGCCGGTGAGTGGCTGGCCTGAACCAGAGACCTGGTGGCCGCCCTGTTGCCTTTGCTCTGCTCTGCTGTGCCAGGCCTGGGTGGACGCCACCTGGCTCCAGTGAGGCTCGGGTTGCTGGCAAGGACAGCCTGCTGGCGCCATGGCAGCCCAACGTGTCGGCCACTCGGGCTCCTCTTCCCTTGAAACCCTGACCTGCTGTGTCGGGGGCGCCTTGCTCCACTGAGACCCATTAGTGGCCGGGGAAGGGGGAGAGCTGGGCTGAAACTGGGCTGCCCTGCCAGGAAGGCAGAGGCCACAGCGGGGAGGTCTGACCTTGGGGGGCCACAGAAGCCCCAACCAGCACCTGCCTTCCTCTGCCTTTGGCCTGGCCTGCCCCCGCTTCAGACCTGGGCGGGTGAGGGAGCTTGTCGAGGGATAGTGGGGGCAGAGAGGTCCCCTGCCATGCCCTGGCAGCTTTCCAGAGCCTAGAAACAGGAGCTGCTCAGCTTCCTGCGCTCGCCTCTTGCTGGCTTGGCAGTTTATTGTGATGAGTATGGGAGCCGGCTGCCTCTTTGTGGGAGGGAGGAAGGGGGCTGCTACTCCACACAGCTAGTGGTTGTCTGGCAAGGTCAAAGGCGCCAGGAAAGGACTTTGGCATGGGGTGCCAAGGGCTGGTTAAGTCGAGCAGGTGGCTTGTGGAACAGGTTGAGTGGCGGCTGAACCCCGGCCCTCGCCCGCCTGCTCGCTTGCTCCTTTGCTTACCTGGCATCTGCACCAAGCATTGGAGGAAGGGGGGCCTCTTTCTCAGACCCTGAATATGGGGGGCAGGTCCTCTCGTCTTGGGCTCCAGCTCACAGGGAAAACCCTGCTGTGCCAGCCCCTCCCTAACCTGTGCAGGCCCAGGGCACCCCCAGGAGCTTCTCGAGTCTCCTTCGTCCCCACTTTGCGCTTGTAGCGGTCGTGCCTGGCCCCAGCGCTGTCCCCCAGTGACTCTGGGGCATGGTGGTGCTGATGCTGTGAGCATTTCCGTTAATCTCTGTGAGTGACAGGCTCTAGGATCCGGAGAGGGGAGTTCACTCGGCCGCCCCGGGCCTGGTCCGTGGGGTCTGAGTTGTGTTTCCTGAAGCAACCTTGCTCTATGCGTCTTCCCACTGTTGACTGCAAAGCTGGATAGTCATATGGGGGTGCCTTGCCCGCACATTCCCTGTCTAGGCACACAGGTGACAGGTTACACGTAGGCAGGAGTTTCTGCTCAGTGTGGCTGGCTGAGGGCAGCAGGGAGAGCTAGGGTCACCTTGGGCTTCTGCAGGTGGTTCTGGTGTGTTTCTCTAGGGCCACTAGGATGAGAACTGCTAGTCCATCTGAGGACACACAGCTAAGACAAAGCCACATCTGGGTTGGCAGACATTACAGCGGCCTAGGGGAGAAGGGCGTTCTTGCTGCCTGTGCCCAGGAGGGGCTGGCCTGGAGCAGAAGGGCAGAGCCTTGGGGCTGTGGCTGAGGGGGCAGTCAGGCAGGCCAGTGGGTACTCCAGCCCTGCCAGTCACTGGCAAGCGTGTGAGAGGTACTGCAGCGGTACCTTCTTGCTGAGCTGCAAAGTGGCCGGAGGGAAAATGAGGCATCTTGTGAGCTCTGTCCCCCTTGGGTTGGTGGTTCGCTGCAACATGGGCCAGGAGAAAGGGTGCAGGGACCAAGGTGGGGTGTTGATGGGTTCAGATGGAATGGGGGCGCTCCGGAGGCTGCACCCGGGCTGTGGGCGTGATTAACACTGCTTCCTAAGTGCCCTTGGGAGTCGCCAGGTTTTGGATGCAGCAGCTCCATCAGAAGCGGTTTAGTGCCAGCTCCATTTGCACCAGGGCCAGGGCTGGGGCAGTGCTGGCTGAGTTTCTCTGTGGACTCCCCTTCTCTGTGTCCTTGCCTAGGCCTCTGTTTCCTCCTCTGCAAAATGAGGGTGGTGAAGAAACCACCCGTCAGGTTACTGGGGGCACTCGGAGCTGATGCACGTGACGTGCAAATGACGGTCACTCAGCACCTGGCGGGAATCGGGGCTCAGCACCTCGCACTGGTGCTGAAACTGGTGTCATCAGCGCCGTTCTGGGCATCACCCCTGTCCCAGCGGTGCCGAGGGACATGGTACCTCCTGCAAATGATCAGCTTTCACCTCCCCCTGCTTGCCTCAGTTTACCCATACACCTCTTGGTGTGTTCTCCTGGGATCTTTTTGTTCTAGACTCTCACAGCCAGGAGGACCCGGTACCCGCCTGGAATCCCAGGGAATGACGGAGGCAGGGTCTGAACACGGGCTTCCCACACAGAGCCCGAGTCTCCTTTCAGCCGTCCAGGGCTTTGTGGAACCCCAGCGTTCAAAGTGGCTTTGGCACTGGTCAGGCCTCCAGGGTCCTGGGTGGCCTTGGCTCCCACCCCAGCCCCTGTGCCCACCAGGGGGCAGCAGAGATTGCAGTTCCCAGGAGCCCATATATCAGCCTGTTTATTAGTGGAATAAAAGTCGTTGGCAACGGCAGGGCTTTTCGGGGCTGCATAAATCTGCGTCTGTGCCTCGTGAAACCCATATGTGCTTAATTCATATGTAAAGTTTCAAGCAGGAAGAGAATACGTGTCCATTAAATTCTATTTGACTTGATTATAATCATTAGCCGTGAATAATTGCTTCTCAGTGCCTACCACGGAGCCACCACAATAAGCCAGAGGAGAGAGCAATTATCTTGGGGTGGGGATTTTTAAATTTATATTTTTGAAGCCAGGAGCAGTGCTGGCCCCGCGGGCGTCAGTGGCCCATGGAGAACGCCGTGGGTCACACTGGGCTGGGAGCTTGAGATCTGGCCGCCCGCCGGAGCTTCTGGATTTTGTTGTGGGGAACAGTTCTCTTTGTTCCTGCTGCCATATGGGAGGGGCTGTCGCTGCCTGGGCTTGGGTCCAGCTGCAGGGATGTGGAGGGGAAGGGTGCAGTGGGAGCTAGGAGAGGGCTGTGAGGGAAAGGGGGCGGGGAGAGCTCCCAACCCCCCACCCTCCTCCATCCTGAAAAGCTGTGGGGTTGAAGGGGTCTCCAGCCAGGCTGTGGGCATCTCTCTTGCCACTCAGCAGGGCCCTGGGGATCCTTGGAGAGGGCAGTTGCCAGGTGTCCCCCTGCCCGCCCCCCTCACTCTTTCCCCTCCCTGAAGAGGCATCTGCCTGTGACCTCCGTCAGGCCATTGAGAATCGGACCCTGGGCGGGACGTAGTAGCTCACTCCTGTAATCCCAGCACCGTGGGAGGCCGAGACGAGAGGATCACTTGAGCTCGGGAGTTTGAGACCAGCCTGGCCAACATAGTGAGACTCTATCTCTACAAAAAAAAAAATAATACGGCATGGTGGTGTGTGCCTATAATCCCAGCTACTCAGGAGGCTGAGGCAGGAGGATTGCTTGAACCTGGGAGGTTGAGGCTGCAGTGAGCCATGGTTGTGCCACTGCACTCCAGCCTGGGTGACAGAGTGAGACCCTATCTAAAATATATATATATATATAATAGAACATCAGATTCTGGGCCAGGTACGATGGCTCACACCTGTAATCCCAGAACTTTGGGAGGCTGAGACAGGCGGATCACTTGAGGTCAGGAGTTTCGAGACTAGCCTGGCCAACATGGCGAAATCCCATCTCTACTAAAAATACAAAAATTAGCCAGGCGTGATGGCATGCACCTGTAATCCCAGCTACTTGGGAGGCTGAGGTAGGAGAATCACTTGAACCCAGGAGGCTGAGGCAGGAGGATTGCTTGAACCTGGGAGGTCAAGGCTGCAGTGAGCCATGATTGTGTTACTGCCTTCCAGCCTGGGCAACAGAGTGAGACTCCATCTCAAAAAAAAAAAAAGAAAGAAAGAAAATCAGACTCTGAGGCTGCAGGCGGTGGCTCACTCTTGTAATCCCAGCACTTTGAGAGGCTGAGGCAGGAAGATTGCTTGAGCCCAGGAGTTTGAGACCAACTTGAGCAACACAGTGGCACCCTATCTCTACCAAAAAAAAAATTAAAAAAGATTAGTAGGGTGTGGTGGTGCATGCCTGTAGTCCAGCTACTTGGGAGGCTGAAGTGGGAGGACTGCTTGAGCCTGGGAGGTCGAGGCTGCAGTGAGCTGTGACTGTGCCATTGCACTGCAGCCTGGGCAACAGAGTGAGATGCTGTCTCAAAAAACAAATAAAAATAAGAAAATCAGATTCTGTTTCCCTACTGATCTCCTGGCATTTGAAATTCAGGACTGGTTTCCACTCTTACATTATTGGGCTATGAGATGTGATTGGGATGTGTGTGATGGTGTGTGTGTGAGGTCAGGAGTTTGGCCTGTGTGTGTGATGTGTGCGGTGCGTGTGTTTGTGATGTAGCATGTTTGTGTCTGTGCTTGTGTGATGCGTGGGGTGTGTGTGATAGAGTGTGTGTGTGAGGTCAGGAGTTTGGC
The DNA here is from genome assembly GCF_000001405.40 of Homo sapiens. Classification (NCBI taxonomy): domain Eukaryota; kingdom Metazoa; phylum Chordata; class Mammalia; order Primates; family Hominidae; genus Homo; species Homo sapiens. The sequence continues at coordinate 64,146,815 of NC_000011.10, read as the reverse complement.
CTATGTGTGTGGGGTGTGCGTATGCATTTGTATGATGTGTGTGATGCGTGTGTGTGCGTGATGTGTGTGTGTCTGTGCTTGTGTGATGCATGGGGTGTGGGTGATGGAGGGTGTGTGTGGTGTGATGTGTGTTTGTATGGGATGTGGTGGGAGTGAGGTGGGAGGTTGGGCAGAAGCATAGAAGTGGGGATGCCTGGCTGGCGGGTGGCAGGGCTTGAAGTTGCAGGGACGGAACAAACCCCCACACCCTCAGGCACAGTGCAGGCCTCCCTGGGCCCTGTCCCCGTGGGCTGCCAGCTGAGGCCACTTGCTTGGGTAGCACCCGGGAGAGTCTCAGGTTCCTGCCATCTGTGTCGGCCACGGCTCCTGCCCACAGGAGCATGGCGCATCCGTCTTAATGAAATTGGGCTGCCATGTGCAGGAGATAAGCCAGGGAGCCCCCGCAGGCCCCCTCTTCTGGAGGAGGAGGTTCTCAGAGCCGGTGCCTGCCTCTCCAGCCTTGCCTATGACCTCAGTCCTGTGTCTGGGGAGAGCGCCGGTCTCAGGGTATCCACTAGGGGGTGCTGTGGCTGCCAGGGTGTTTATGTCTCCTTTTTACCACGGGGGTGCAGTGACCTTGACTAGGCCACCTCCCTGCCCTTGAGTTTCCTGGTGCACCAGACCTGTGTGTGTGGACTTCTTGTTCCTGACAGATAGCAGAGTCCTGGGCAGGACATGTCCGGGCACAAAGAAAGATCCCCATTCTTGGCCAGGCACGGTGGCTCACGCCTGTTATCCTAGCACTTTGGGAGGCCGAGGCGGGCGGATCGCTTGAGGTCAGGAGTTTGAGAGCAGCCTGGCCAACATGGTGAAACCTGGTCTCTACTAAAAATACAAAAATTAGCCGGACACAGTGGCATGCGCCTGTAGTCCCAGCTAGTCAGGAGGCTGCGGCAGAAGAATTGCTTGAACCTGGGAGGTGGAGGTTGCGGTGAGCCGAGATTGTGCCACTGCACTCCATCCTGGTTGCTGGGTGACAGAGCAAGATTCCATCTCAAAAAAAAAGAAAAATCCCCATTCTTGGCCAACCCAGGGGTCCAGCTGCCTGGCTTTGGCCTTCATGTCATAAGAGGACAGGGCAGAGATGGATGAAAGGCTTTGTGCAAAGATGGAAGGGATCTTTTGTTTCAATGCCAGCCCAGAGCAGTGAGCATGGGCTGTGCGCACCGTGGCCAGGAGCAGGTCAGGGTCCCAGCACCCCTGCTGGCCACTCCGTGGCCTCTACTTCCTCATCTGAGAAATGGCATCAGCATCAGTTCCACCGAAGGGCAGGGGTGAGGAGGACAGGAGTTCAGGCCTGTCCAGCCCTGGGCCCAGGGCCTGGCACACGGAGAGTCCCCAGGAAATGATTACTGGGAAGTCAGGAGCGAGAGCTACTAAGCAGAGTATAATGTGACAAAGTGCTAGGAGCAAGGTCTGAACAAAGTGCCACGCAACGCCGCAGGGACCAATTAATTCTGCAAGGAGGTGGCGGGAGGCGAGGCGGGTCAGCTAGCCTTTGAGGGGCCCAGGTGTGCGGCGGGGACGGGTGGGAAGCCATGTTTCACAGCGACAAGCCGACCTCGCAGGGAGATTTTTAAGCCGCTTATTTATTTAAAATAAGTCATGAAGTGGCGCTCTATCTCCTTAAGTCTTGGGGCTTTGATTTGTGAGAATCTGCTGGCCGCTTATCACCGCCCTCCTCCCAAGCACCGGCAGCCCCTGCCTCATCCTCTCCTGCCGCCTGGAGGGCCCAGCAGAGCCTGGCCTGGTGAGAAGGAGCAGGCCAGAACCTGAGTGGCCACCTGAGCGGCCACCCGCCCCTGCGTCCGGCTGTCCCTGGGCACTGCTTGGAGTCAGTGATTTAGAGACCGCCTTGATGGACTACCAAGCAGGGGCCCCGCAGGGATGCGGACTGCCTTGTGGGAAGTGATCTGACGCTGAACTGTCGCCGTAAATCGCTTTATCTGTCACTTCAGATTTTAATGTGTTTGCTGAGGCTTGCCGGCCACCACGACAGCAGAAACCTCTCCGCAGTGGGCAGGGGAGATGGCCGGGCCAGCGACGAGTCCAGGGCTGGCTGTACAGCAGACTTTGCAGCTGGAACCTGTTAGCAACATGGGCCTGGCCCTGGGCTCCCTCCTCCTCGGGGAAGCCAAGCGCAGGTGGGGCCGGGCTCCCTCCTCCTCGGGGAAGCCAAGAGCAGGTGGGGCCGGGCCACTTTCCGGTGCCCTGGCCACTCTGGATGTGCTCAGTGCTCTCAGAGGCCCGAGAGGCAGGCAGGATTGTTACCCCATTTTCGGGGATCAGATAACAAGCCCCACCTCGGCAGGTGACTGAGCCAGAATTCGAACTCAGGCACTTTCATCCATGCAACATACATAGATGATACGGCTGCTGTGCACCACGCCGTGGGGTGGGCCTGGGCTGCAAAGGACACAGTCTCTAATTCCGGATAAGGGGTAACACATGTGAATGGAAAAGGAACCATGGTGCATGAGAGGCAGGAGTCTGGCCTACAGGGGAGGGAAGCAGTGGGGAAGGCTGCCTGGAGGAGAGGGTGCTTGGGTTGGACGGGGTGCTAAGTCAGAAGTCGGGGCAAGAGCATTCTGTGGGGAGAGAGCACAGACAGGGAGGGGCGAGGTGGACGGGACACTGTGGGAAGGCTCTGAGGGGTCTGGAGTGAGCCACGGCCGGGGCCTGAGTTGGGGGGGCTTGGTCAGATCACTTGGGCTGCTAGGTGGAAAAATGGGGGCAGGGAGCATAAGATAATAAGGACAGGGAGACCCAGAGCTTGGGGTGGGAGGTGTCTCCCTCTAGGTCTAGGCTGCATTCATACCGTGTGCAGTTAATCTCTCTTGCACTATATCAGTCTCATTGTGCTAATGGTGAAATGGAGGCTCAGAGATGTGAAACAACTTGCTAAAGGTCACACAGCTAAATGGTAGTAGAGCTGGGATGGGAGGTTTGCCGAGCTCCAGAGCCCCCAGGAAATTGTGTGTGTGTGTGTGTGTGTGTGTGTGTGTGTGTGTGTGTGTGTGTGTATGTGTGTGTCGGGGTTGGGGGAAGGGAATACCTCCTCTCTGTTCTCTTTTTTTTGGTTGATGAATTTGAGTTCTGAGAGTGGGTGTGTCCTGTCTGTCCTCACGGCCAGGAAACTGAGAGGTGGGGCAGAAGTTTGCCACAGCGGGGAGGGGTCGTTGTAAAAAAGATGGGACCAACATCTGAATCTGGGCTCCTGGGTCCCCTGAGGCCTCCTGGTGGGCTCCAGCTCCCTCAGCCTGCCCGGTATCCTGTGTCCCAAGCCCCCTCAAGTCCCCGGCATGCCCCATGGAGCTCCGGCTCTGGACTGAGGGCAGCCTGTCACCTGCCGCTTGGTACTGAGTGTTCCTTCTGCTCAACACGCTGCACACGTTGCCTCGTGTCTGAGTCAGGCACTGACATTTCCCCCATTATACAGATGAGGACACTGAGGCACCCACAGGTCACGGCTCTGGGTAAAAGGCAGGGCTGGGAATCAAACCCTCATCTTTCAGATTTGGGGTTTAAGAGAGAGACCATCAGGTTTTTTTCTTTCTTTTTCCTTTCTTTCCTTTCTTCCTTCCTTTCTTTCCCTTTTTCCTTTCTTTCCTTCCTCTCTTCCTTTCCTCCCTCCCTCCCTCCCACCCTCCCTTCTTTCCTTTTTTTTGACAGGGTCACACTGTTCCCCAGGCTGGAGTACAGTGGTGCAATCATGGCTCACTGCAGCCTCCACCTCCTGGGGTCAAGCGTTCCTCCCATCTCAGCATCCTGAGTAGCAGGGACCACAGGCATGCCACCCCTCCCAGCTAATTTTTTTATTTTTTGTAGAGACGAGGTCTCGCCATGTTGCCCAGGCTGATTTTGAACTCCCAGGCTCAAGCAATCTACCTGCCTCAGCCTCCCAAAGTGCTGGGACTACAGCCGTGAGCCACCATGCCCGGCCCAGTTTTGCTTTTTCACCAGCTCCCTCTGGGTCGTCTGGAAGTGAGGGGCAGAGTTGATCAGGGGGGCCAGTCAGGATGCCTGGGGTCCAAGAGGCCCCCTCCCCACATTAGAAAGCCCGGAACACCCAGACACAGCCAGGAGCTAATTTCCGCCAGTGCAAGAGGAGGGCGGCTCATCCCCACAAGATCGGGCAGTGGTTACATAAATTCATAAATGATGGATCCCTCCTGAATTATTGAGATGCCCTTGTGGGCTCGCAGGGTCTGGTCCAGTGAGTGGAGCATTGGCTGGGGGGCGGCACTCAGAAAGGACCTTCCAGGGTCCTTCCACCCCAAGGTCTTCCGCCCCGTCCCCTGCTTCTTACCTGAAGTTCTTCTGTCATTTCCATGGGGAATGTGAGAGTAGACTGTGGACCCAGTAGCTCTCTGTCCTGGGTTTCAGTAGATTTATTTTGTAAATTTTTTTGTAGAGGTAGGGTTTCCCTGTGTTGCCCAGGCTGATCTCAAACTCCTGAGCTCAAGTCATCCTCTTGCCTTGGCTTCCCAGCATGGTCGGATTACAGGTGTGAGCCACCATGTCTGACCTGATGTTTGTTGAATGAATAAGTGACTCCATGCCCTTGAGAGTTGGTCAGATGGTGGGAGGGGCTGCACGAATCAGTGACACCCTCTAAGTCCCCTCTTCCTGCCTAGCCCAGCCCCCTACCCCACCCCTCTAGGCCTGAAGGGGCTGATCCATTTTACAGATTAGGATGGTGGTGGGCATTTCTAGGTCCTTATGAGGTTCCTGGCTCCTTTTGAGGTGCTGGAGGTACAAGGCCCAGTGTAACCCAGTGCCTGCCCTCCTGGCATTTGGCGTCCTGTAGAGGAGGACAGGGGAGGATCTAAAGCCCAGAGGGGGACAGTGACCTGTTCAGGGTCACACAGCAGGAAGGTGGCAAAGCAGAACTACAAACCCAAGGGCCTTTTCTCCCCCTCGCGGCAGACTCGTAGTTAGAAAACCCCAGCTAGGAGTCTGCTGCCCCCACATGGGGTGGCCACCCTGCCTCCTACCCTGTGCCCAGTGTCCCGAGCACATCCTCTGTGGCTCCTTCCTGTCCTTGAGGCCTCAGCGCCTGCACCTGTGCCCCTGCTTGCGTCCCCGGTGTGCTGTCCACCCGAGCACTGAGCCGAGGAGGCCGGAGCTTGTGGGAATGTGTGTGTTTTGAAATTAATGGGGACCATTAAATTGGCCAAGCATGAAAAGGGCTGGATCTGCAGCCCTTGGCTCGCTCTCCTGGAATGATCCGCCAGTTCCTTGGCAAGGCACAGCCGAGCTGGTTTCAGGGCTCCCCAGGAGGCCGTGGCTTGCCTGCCCGTTTAACGGATGGGTACTCTGTGTGCCTAGGATATGAAGGGGTCTGGCTGCAGCAGCACGTGGTGGCCACAGTGCCCCCGCTCCCCGGCTCTGTGCAGATGGCAATGTCTGTGGGTGCGTTGACTTGAATCTTTTCCCTAGACCTCTAGAGTGGGCTCAGACACTCTCCAGACCCTGACCCTGGGGCTTCCTGGATGAGTCCTGGCCGGGCCTGGTGCCAGCTTGGCGTGGCCTCCAGGACATAGCAGGATTAACAGTCAAGGACCCAGGCCCCGTCTCCTCACCTCCCCCACCACGAATAGCCCCATCTACTGTGGATTCTCCATGTGGACATTTTCTTAAAGATAGGGTCTTGCTCTGCCACCCAGGCTGGAGTACACTGGTGTGACCACAGCTCACTGCAGCCTTGACCTCCTGGGCTCAAGCAATCCTCCCACCTTAGCCTCCCGAGTTGCTGGGACCACAGGCTCATGCAACCATGCCCAGCTAATTTTTGTATTTTTGGTAGAAGTGGATTTACACCATATTGCCCAGGCTGGTCTCAAACTCCTGGGCTCAAGTGATCCTCCTGCCTAGGCCTCCCAAAGTGCTAGGATTACAGGCATGAGCCACTGTGCCTGGCCATATGGGACATCTTGTAACTGGGAGTTGGAGTCCTGGGTACAAGTCCTGGCTTCACCGTGTACCAGCTTTGTGACCTTGGGCAAATCACTTAACCTCTCTGAGCCTGTTTTCTTGTCTGTAAAACAGGGATAAGAGTGCATGGGGACCCAGCCCCCAGCACTGTGGGTTTGAGAGGAGACTGCTTGTGTAGGATGCTCAGTACAGTGTCTGGCACAGAGTGAGCGCCCAGGAGATGCCAGCTCTAGTTCTTGTTGCCATAGCTGCTGCTCTGGGAGGGCTGCTGAGACCCGCTGAACCGGGCATCCCATCAGCCAGCACCTGCCCTGCACCCAGCCCTTGGTGGGGCTGGGAACGGGGGAATGGTCCCTCTATCCTGAACAGGCTGAAGGCACCTCCTTCCCATATTCGTGGTAGGGAATCGAGTCACCTGCTGGACCTGGCATGGCCGAGGGGACGGCCCTCTCCTGACTGCCAGAGTCTCTTGGATGGGCTTCCTGACCATGAGGGCACAGGGCAGGCAGCCTGGGCCCCTCACTCCCCACTGCCAGCAAGGCGGTCCATGCCTGCTCTGCCTTCCATTGGGAAAGATGTGTGGTCACATGGAAACGGCCTGTGCAGTGGGGCGTGAGGTGGGCTAGGACAGGGGATGTCCCCAGAGAAGCCAGGTGACTGAAGTGGCCCTGTCAGGGCCTGGCTGCCATCTGCTGAGGCCTAAGCTGCCAGAGAAGACCCCTGAAGGCCTTCAGGGGTGGGGTGGAGGGCGCTGGCATGCTTGGTTGGCCAGCTTTGGAGGTCCCAGAGGCCAGGGCAGTGGCTGCTTACCAGACAGAACTGGCTAAGATCTGGTTCCTCCACTATGTTGGGCAAGCCCCTGCCTCTTTTTTTTTTCTTTTTTTGAGACTGAGTCTCGCTCTGTCACCCAGGCTAGAGTGCAGTGGCGTGATCTCGGCTCACTGCAAGCTTCGCCTCCCAGGTTCATGCTATTCTCCTGCCTCAGCCTCCCGAGTAGCTGGGATTACAGGCGCCCGCCACCACGCCCGGCTAATTTTTTGTATTTTTAGTAGATACGGGGTTTCACCGTGTTAGCCAGGATGGTCTTGATCTCCTGACCTCGTGATCCGCCCGCCTCCACCTCCTAAAGTGCTGGGATTACAGGCATGAGCCACCGCACCCGGCCAGCCCCTGCCTCTTTAGGCCTTGGGGTTTCCCATCTGTTCCTTATGGGGGCATTAATAGGAAAAAAATGCATTACCACACTGGAGGGGCTCATAAACGGTAGTGACTGTTATTAGCAGTGAGGGATCTCACTTCACCACCCACAGGACTCCGAGCCCCTCGAGGGCAGGGGCAGCTCCATGGACTCTGGGTCTCCGTCCCTGGACAGGGCTCCTCTGCGGTGGGGGCAGCCCGAGCATGCCTGCCCCTGGAAGGACATACAGGAACTCATGATGGCTCATGGCTAAGGAGTCTTATGGGGAAGCAGGCTGCCCTGGTGGGCACGGCTGTGTGGGAGTCTCCTGCTCTGTCCACTCCTGGCAGGGGCAGGGACGCGGCTGTTTATATCCGCGCCGGGTGTCAGGAGATGGAAGCCAGGGAGGACGGGAGGATGCAGGAGCATGGAGAGCATGTGGGCTGCAGATCCGGGGGAGGATGGGCACCAGGACAGAGCTTGTCCTGACAGTGGTGCGGGAGGCAGTGAGCAGAGGTGGGGCTGAGAGGTCACTGGCGGCTTCCTCCACTGAGGCATGGCTGGCATTCCCTTCGGTTCATTAAAACCCATCAGTGGGCCGGGCGCGGTGGCTCACGCCTATAATCCCAGCACTTTGGGAGGCCAAGGTGGGTGGATCACCTGAGGTCAGGAGTTCAAGACCAGCCTGGCCAAGATAGTGAAACCCTGTCTCTACAAAAATACAAAAATTAGCTGGGCATGATGGCAGGTGCCTGTAATCCCAGCTACTCGGGAGGCTGAGGCAGGAGAATTGCTTGAACCTGGGAGGCAGAAGTTGCAGTGAGCTGAGATGGTGCCACCGCACTCCAGCCTGGGCGACAGAGCAAGACTCTGTCTTAAAAAAAAAAAAAATCCCCATCAGTGGCACCCACCTCCTGGCGGCAACAAGTGGCCCTTGAACGCCCATTCCCCACTCTCCTCCTCCCCGCTGCTGCCTCCTCCCTGTCTTCGGACATTGTAATTGCGGTAAAAACCAGAGCCGAGCGGCATCGCAGTTGGGGAGAGAGGCCCGGCTGTCAGCCATTCCTCTGCCAGCAGGGCCCGCGGCTGTTTTATTATTGCCGCCTGGCTGTATTTCAGGTACGGTTTAAACATCATCAAACGCCACATCCCTTTTGAAAAGCAAGAGCTACCTTGCTGAGGACGTTGAGGAGAAACAGGAACATTAAAATCTACGAAGCAAATGGCCCAGAATTGACATTTGTGAGGAGAGCTTTGCAGCTTCAATTGTCAAAGGAGCTAAATCCCCTCTGGCAGCCTGCGGGGAGCTTTCCCCGTGAGGGTCACAGGAAGGTGGGGTATGTTTGCGCGGGAGGAGACCAGGCAGTGCCGGGGAGGGGGTTCTGTGGGTCAGCTGACTGCCTCTCAGGGCCTCCCTGGCCTCGGCCTCCACCCAGCCTCCTCTTCCTCCTAACAAGGAGGCAGGAGCCTTCCGGTGCGCATGGGACAGGGCTGGGTTCAAGTCCTGCTGTGGCCACTTGCTAGCTCTTGTGACCTTGGCCGGGATACACCTCTCCCCTGAACCTCAGTTTCCTCACCTGTAAACCCAGGAGAGCGATGTCCCCTCTGAAGGCAGAGGATGGTGCATGCAAACACTTGACAAGTCATTGGAATTCAGTAAATGGTGACTGCTGTCACCAAGGAAATGGGCATATGAGTTGGCATTAATTTTTTAAAAAACATTTACTTATTTCCACTGAAAAATAGGAACAGTAAAATTGAGAACCATTAAAACAGGAACAAAAAGAACCAAGCCACAGCAGGGGATGCTGAGCTGGGTATCTCCTAAGAACTGTGCTCCTGGTCCCACCTGGAACTCTGCGGCCTGGATGCCCTCAGCACGTGCTTTCCAGGCCACCAGCCTCTTGCCTGGTTCCTGGTCACGGCCTGCTCTCTGCCCTGGCACCTGCTACTCGATGCTGGTGTGTGGCCTTCCGAGGAACTACGGCTCATATCTGCCCTTGTAGTTTACACTCTCGATGGCTACTTGGGGGTATCTTGGCTCCTGGTATCCTCTCCTGACCCGGCCCAGATGACACCTCAAAACTAGGCTGAGCAAATCTGTTGCAACTGAATATGAGATGCAGCTCTGAGCTTCCCAGCAGCCACTGCAAAATTTGTAACAAGATTTTAGGATCCATAACTCCAAGCTTGGAAGTCAATTTAAGTTTCAGCTGAATGCCTTCTTTTCTTTCTCCTCTTGGCCTTTTTTCTTCATTTTTCCTCTCTAGTATCCTCACCAACTATTCTTTATCTCCCCCAAGGATGGTTTATCCCTTGCTCCAGAGCCCATCCCAAAGTGCTCGCCCCTCACATGGCTGTGCCCCAGCTCAGGAGACCCCCCCGCCGCTGCCCTCCTATTTGTCACTGTCGACTCCCCTGTGTCGTGCTCACGGCAGCTGGCCTCTGGGCCTCTTGTCTTGCTCAGGCCCACTGGGTCTGCTGTTGCTGTTTCTCTCAGATGAGCCTGTGACTAATAAGGGTTGCCCCTGGGGGGCTGGCAAAATCTTTCCCTCCTTAATATCGGAGTTTAAAAATGTGTCACCATCGATTTGAAGAAAAGCCTTGTTCCTGCTGAGAAAAGCGGCCTGGAGATTCGTCTCGCCTTAGGAATCACACAGGCGGCTGCATGAATTCAGCACCAGAGAGAGCTCTCCATGCAAATGCTGAGATGCCCACTCCAGCCCCGCACCAGCCCTCCCCGCTGCTCCCGGGGGCTGGCACCCCCACTTCCTCATCCCCCCATCCCTGCAGAGACTTGGGGAGGCCCCTGTGCAGGGAGGGGCTCCCTGGTTGGAAGATCCCCATCTCCCGATTCTCTCCACCTCTTTTCAGAGGCTGAGCCCGTGGCTAATTCCACGTCACGATGTGTTCTAATCCCTGAGGAAAAGGAGGATGAGTGACTTCCGGGCCTGGGGCTCCTGGAAGCCACCCGGGTCCCTCACAGGTCGGTGGCGGGGGGTCCCTCTGACCCTCTCCGGTGGGTCTGCCCTGAAGGCAGGAATGTTACCCCCACAGGCCTTGTCTCCTGGCCTTGTTGCATCCTTGCCTGGAAAGGACTGTTGGGGTCCTTTGGTGCATCCCCCAGCCTCCAGGCAGGCCCCTCCCCTCTGGACCTTGCCCTCATACTGGGCCCAGCCTTGCAGCTGCCAACGCATCCCACCCTCATCCAGCAGCTCTCCCAGCCCAGAATAACCATCACAGTCATGGCCTGAGAGGCGGCTATGAGTCCCACTTCTCAGGTTGGGAAGCTATGCTATAGAGACCATAAGTGACTTGTCTGGGATCCAGGAAGCTTGAACCCAGATCTTTTCCCTATGTATCCTGGGAAGTGCCCTTAACTGAATCAATGAATGGGTGAATGAATGAATGAGGAGTTGTGGGCACATGGTGACCACTCTAGGTGTTGTTCTGGTTAGTGAACTTGGTGACAGCCCAGGATGGGTGTGTCTGGAGAGCTTGAGGGAAGGCTGAGCTTTCTGGTCTCTGATGGGATCCACTCCCACTCTGCCATCGAGGTCATGGTGGCCACCTTTGTGGCAGTGTCCTTTCTGTTCCCCAGAGGGCTCAGCCGAGCGTGGCGGGGAGCAGGACGGTGGGTTTGGCTGCCTAGGACGTCCATCGGGCCGCCCACAGCATGGGCCATCCCCTGCGCTGGCTGCAGCAGGGGTGACTTGGACCAGCCGGGAAGCTGCTCCAGGGGTCCTTGCAGGGAGCTTAGTGGGGGAAGGGGAGAGAGGGCAGGCGCGGGGTGCCAACGAGGCTTCCCTGGTTCTTGGGGAACCACACAGCCTTGGGCAGGGGCACCAGAGAAGAGGGTAAGCAGGCAGTTTGCAGTCTCTCTGGCTGCCGTGGGCCCTCGGAACATGTGCTGGGTGGCCATTTACCACCTGGCGCGGGGAAGGCTGCAAGCTGGCCCTGCGCTGCTCCCCTCAAGCTGCAGAAGGGGCCCCTCGAGGACTCCTGGCAGCCGTTACTCTGGGAAAGGAGGGGCTTTATTTTTCCTCCTCCCTAAATGTTATTGCCTTTATAGGCTTTGGAAATCAGTTTTATGGCCTGCGTGTTTGTCCACTGAAATGTGGAATGCTCTGGAGGGAAAATAAAATGCAGGGATGGTTCTGGCCCTGAAAGGTCAGGTGGCCGAGGGCAAGCGGCAAGGGCTCAGGTGTCTCCTGCAAAGCTGAGGGTGGGGTGGAGGGTGGAGTGACTGTGATGGACATGGTGACCTCCAGAGCTGAGCGGCCCTGGCCGGGGTTGCTCTTTAGGGACCGTTGTAGTTGGAAAGGGGGACAGGGAAGGTGTGTGCCAGGACCGGGAGGGGGCCTGGAATTCTAGTGGGAGGGCCGGCCTGAGGCTTCAGGACCTGTTCCATTTGTCATATGGTCCCTGCTAGACTGACCTGGGATGGCGAGAGTCATTCTGTCCTCTGCGATGCCCGGGTATGCCAGCTGGCTCCCCTCAGGTGCCATCTGGGGCACCTTGCCAGCCACTGGCAGTGTAGACTTCTCAGTGTAAGTGAAAAATAAGCCCTCTGGGTTTTACCAGTCAGGATGCAGGCCTGGCAGGGGCCCTCACCTGCAGGAGATGCCTCATCTTCTGGCAGAGTTGGCTGATCGGGAGCCAGGCAGGGGGCAGAGATTCAGCGGGAGCACCCAGCAACCCACACAAATCTCTCTGCCTTCCCTGGGACCGAGGACCCTGGAGGGAGACTCTGAGGGCCCTGCCCTAGGAGAAGGCTGCTTCTCTACTCCTCTCTTAATATGCGAAGAGCTCCTACAAATCAATAAGAAAAATGGGTGAAAGATGTGGACAGGCAATTCCCGGTAGGAGAAAAACAAATGGCCAGTAAACAAGTGAAAAGATGCAGAACTTCGCAAGTAATCAAGAAAAAGCTAATTGAAATGAGAGACATCATTCTTCACCCACTAGAGAGGCGGGTGCTGGAAGTATTGCTGTGTACAGGTGTGGCGCAGCCGGGGAGGCAGGTGCTTCCTCAGGTGCTGTCCCCCACCCCTGCATCTCACACCAAACCCGCATGTAGTAGGTGCCTGGAAATACTTGCTTCATGCCAGGTAAACAGGGCTCCTCTCTGCTCACAGCAAGTCTCAGCGGGGCTGCTGCCGCCACTGCCTTTGTATCCTTTGCTTTCCCTCCTCCCTGTGGGTTCAACTTCCAGTCTCACCCCTACCCCCACCAGCTCCCTTGCCCTTGGGGTCCTCACGCTTCCTTGGCAGAGGCTGGGGTTTCTCTGGGCCTGGCCTCTCACTGGGGGAATGCTGCTTCCTGCTTCAGGGTTTCAACTCTCTCTGCAACCTCATGACTGGTGCCAGGGGTGTACTGCAAAGCTCAGGGTGGGGTGGAATGACTGTGATGGACATGGGGACCTCCAGAGCTGGGCGGCCCTGGCTGTTATCTTGGCTTCTTTGGAATCCCCTGGAATCCTCCACTGTGGGAAGCTCTAGTGGTGACCTCAGCCTTCTTGCCCTGATGGCCACCTCTGTCATCTAGCCCCAGAACTTCTCCTGCCTTTTCTCATTCATTCATTCCCTCTCCTACCCTATCCATTCTAGCCGGGTTGGGTGACTTTGGGCTTTATAGCTGCATGTTCTGTCTCTGCTCCTGGCCTTTGCCTGGGCACTTACCTCTGTCAGGAGCACCCTCTCCTCCATTTCCTTGGCTGACTCCGACCGTCCTCCAGGTCCCAGCTGAGAAACCCTCCCCTCCAGGAACTTCCCCAGACCTGGGTTTGCTGTCGCTCCCATGTAGTCTGTAACAGTCATTCATTCGTTTCATTAATTCCTGCAGCAGGTGCTGGGGCTGCAAGGGGGAACAAGGGAGATGTACCCGGGCAGCTGGGGTGCCCTAGGGTCCTACAAGTCACCCGTCATGACCGGATCCCAGGGGAAAACCTGTCTGAGAGTCAGGGACTGGGGACAGGGGCCCTGGGGCAGTCTGCTCTGGGAATGGCTCAGCTTGCTGCACTGGGAAGGGAGGCTGGGGCGGGTGGCAGGGCCATGCCCATGGGGTCTGGGTCCAGATGTCTTTCTCTGCCTGCTCTACCTGTGTCCAGTGCTTCCGGAGCACAGGGGAGCTGCCTTTTAGGAGGAGATCAAGGGAGAGAACGCGAGCCACACTTCACACGGCCGCAGCCCCGGGCATCTGGCTCGGCCTCCTGCCCTCTCACATTGCGTGTGCCTCCCTATGCAAGGCAGCCAGCAGGAGAGCTCCAGCCTGGGATCCCCAGCAGTCTCCTCTCTTGGCTCCCTCTGTCCCTGTCCCCCATCTTTTGAGGCATAGCCTGGCCTATCCTGTGCCCCTGGCTTCCTGCCAGTCTTCTTTCCAGTTTCCCAAGCTGAGGTGGACGCAACCTTCCTTTCTGCATTCAAAGGGCACGAAGTGATTAAGACCCAGTCCTTGCTCCCTGTGTAGCGGGGCAGCAGGGGCATAGCGTGGGGGCTCCGTGCATCTGTGCAGGAATCCAAGGCGCTGGGGGCTGCTCAGGGACGGCTTCCTGTGGGAGGTCTTCCTGGGGAGGTCTAGTTCCCCACAGGGCGCTCTGGCTGGGGCTCATGGGTGTGCATTTCCCTCCAGCTCACTGACCCTCAGCCTGGTCTCTTCATGAGGCCTCATGGGGCCAGGACTCGGGGCAGTGGGGGGAACCCGGACAGACCTGGTTCCAGAGCTAACTCCGTCACCATTGCCTTGGGCAAGCTGCTTAGATCTGGGCCTTGGTTTGCTGGTTTTAAAATGGGAGTAAGCCAGCCTGCCGCACCTCCCTGCCGTGAGGATGAAGCTCGGTGACAGATGCCTGGCGCCTGGCACCACTGGCCCCCGCTGCCTTGCCTCTCGCAGATGGGCGCCCCTTCAGGAAATCCCCCCTAATTATGAAGTTACAGATCTGGATGGTCACATGGGGAAGAGCCACATTCATTAGGAGACCCGGGCACACAGCCTGGACTGTGCCAAGCATCTCTCTGTGCCAGCTTCCTGAGGACCGCGGGCTCAATAGAGCACATCCCTGCATCTTCCTGGTGGCAGATTCCATCTGCCAGACCCCGAGGAGCCGCTGACTGGGGAGGGCCTGCTCAGGACCCGCCCGTCCCTGGCAACTGCCCTGAAGCCCTTCACCCTGGGTTTGTAATCTCTGCTTTAAAGAGGACTTCAATCCCTTTCCCCTCCCCCCGCCCCACCCCCAGTGACCAATCCATCCGCCAGGGCCCTGATCCAGGAGAAAGCTAATTAAAGAATTTCTGCTCTTGGCTCAGCCTGGACATAGAAGATTCCCCTTGGTCTTCCTGGAATATCTGAAAACAGGTGGAGAAAGGCATCAGATAAGCCCCGGGAGCCTCCATAATAGGCTTAATCCCCCCAAAGCCAGCAGGCATCAAACAGCTCTCCTCCCGGGACCACTGAGAAAGGGCTCGAGAGCTTGGAGGACGTGGGGCTGTTCCTAACCACATCCCAGACTGTAGGTCCCCTTGTCCCCAGCTCCCCATGAATAGGAGACTGTGTTCCTCATGAGTTCAGACGGAGTATCAGCCATTTCTGCATAGTTCTCCAGAGCAGGGGAAGGTGCAGAGACCTGGCCCCAGCAGCTCCGGCATGGGGAGGCCCCACTTCCAGGGCTGCCAGCAGTCACTGTGATGACTGGCATGTAGCAGATGCTCAGTCAAGTGCGCCCCTCCCTCCCGCCACTCACTTCCCTCCGGTTCCCCCTGCCCCCCTCCTCAGCTTCTTTTCTTTCAAGGGCCTGTTTGCCTGTAGGAGATTTTCATCAACCAACCACAAATATTTACTCAACACTTACCGGCAGGCAGCACGTGAGCTCCACAGGGCAGGGGGCTCTCGGTCCCATTTGCTGCATGTTCCCCATCTGAACAGGGCCTGGCATGCAGTAGGTGCTCAATAAAGGCTTGGTTGGTAGTCACAGCCTGAAACAGGGTAGTCTCTGCTCCCAGAGAGCTTACATTCCTGCTGCCTTCAGAAAACATCCTGAGGGGCTGGGCGCGGTGGCTCACTCCTGTAATCCCAGCACTTTGGGAGGCCGATGCGGGTGGATCATTGAAGTTGGGAGTTCAAGACCAGCCTGGCCAACATGGAGAAACCCCATCTCTAGTAAAAATACAAAAATTAGCTGGGCGTGGTAGCACACGCCTGTACACGCAGCTACTTGGGAGGCTGAGGCAGGAGAATCGCTTGAACCTGGGAGGCGGAAGCTGCCGAGATCACCTCACTGTACACCAGCCTGGGTGACAGAGCGAGACTCCATCAAAAAAAAGAAAACGTCCCGAGGGTCTTTGAGGGATCATGGAGCCCCCACACGTGGGTGGGGTGAGGGTCTTAAAGCCTGCCCTCCCCGTCACTCTGAGCTATGGCCAAGCTGGGTGTAACCCTGGAGAGAGTCAGGGTGTCCTCACCCGCTTCAGGCAGCTGGCCCCCATTTCCCTCTGCAGTGCCTGGGGCGGGGGTGACAGGGAGCATTTAGACCCGCAGCTCCCTGCACAGGGACCTCCTGGGGCACTCGCCTGCATCACAAGAATAAAAATGATAAAAACCTGCCACTGAATTCTGGGTGGCAGTAAATTACTTAACACCTGAAACAGGTTGAAATGTGGCCACTGTGGTTTTAATAAGCCCATCTCCGATGCAGTGCTTCCTCGCCGGGCCGGCCAGTTCTCTTCTTGAGGCATAATTTCATCTCGTCCCAGGCTTGGCAGCATTGCAAATAAGATTTCACTTCCCCTGTAAATCTTAGAGGGAGGGAGTGCAGGATTTCATTTGTGCTGTCAGTTAGCACTCCAGAGAGCCTGTTTACTTTGCCGCAGGAGGAGAAGGTCCTCTGGAGGTGCTGGACAGGGTGGCGGGTGGGGAGGTGGCAGTGTCAGCACTGGAAGGTGACGTGGGTGCGGCGGCGGGGAGGCAGCGGCATGTGTGGGGGGGTCCTGGAAGCATGCCTTATTTGGGGTGCCTGAAAGTGGATGAGCCAATGTCAGACCCACGGAGGCAGAATTTCAGGGCCAGCTGGGTGCCCTCCCATGCGTCCGGGACCCTCCTAGGCTGGGTGATAAGACTCAGCCACAGAACTTGGGTGTGGGGGTGTGGCCTGGGGTGTTAGACCCCTCCCAGGTTCCGACGCCTCTTCTTCAGGTTGCTCGGTGAGGCCAGAGACCCCTCCTGGGAAGTAGGGGCAGGAGAAGGGAAGCTTCCAGAACCCAGTGGTAGCCAGGTAAGGGCAGTTTCCAGGTACAGGAAAGCAGCCATGGAGGGGTAGGTATCACCCACTCTCTCTCTCTCATTTGAGCAGGAGCTTTTTAGTCCTGAGTCTGACAAAACAGACGGAGTCAGATACACAAAGCCGGAGCCCCGGGACTTAAGGTGCCTCTTGGCCGCAGGGCAGCCATTCGGGGGTCTTACCCACACGTGCCCCTAATCTCAGTGATAATGCAAGTCCTGAGAGATTTGTGGGGAAGGAAAGGGCCCAAAGTGGCTTGGCTGGAGGGTGGCACGGTGGGGGGCTGCAGCAGTGGTGTGGGGTAGGTTTCTCGGGGGACCACCCCATCTCCTGGCATCCAGCTGAAGACATGGTGTCAGGGCTCTTTGGGGCCAGCAGGTCCCCTGCAGTGCCTTTGAGGCACTGGCCAGTCCTGCTTGCTTTCCTGTAAGAACGGGAGGCTCACGGCCCCCCAACCACCCGGTCCTCTTCAGAACAGGTTATGTTTGGAGGGTTTTCCTTTCATTCCTGAAATGCAGGTCCTGGCAATTCCCTCCTGTGCGGCCCAAACCTGGCTGAGCCTCCAACTCCCCTGGGGCGCGTATTAAAACCTGAGATGTCCCCCACACCCACCCCCAATCCTGAAGCCTAAGGCTGCAGCCAGCCTGTCATCCTCTTCAGCAGGCCGTGGACCTGGGATTGTTGTGGGGGTGGTTTGGGGAACAGGCCCCACCCTGTACGGTTGCCTCTCTGTGCTGGACCTGGGGGCACTTTGCTGCCTGGGTCCAAAGGTCCTGCCAAGAACCTGGGCCTCCCTGCAAGAAGTGCCAACCAGCTCAGCACCTGGCTCCATCCCTGGGGGCCAGGAATGCGGGAGAAACCCCCCAGGAGGCTGTGCTGGGGGTGGGGGAGGCCTACACTCCCCAGACAAACTGTAGGCAACCCGGCCTCCCACGCCCTCTCACAGAGGCTCCGTCACAGCCGTAGGGTTGGTGCGGGTGGTTTCTGAGCTGGGCACTCCCAGTGGCATTACCTGTGTCGTCCCACCTCACCCTCCCAACAGCAGTCGGGGATGGAGCTGTTATCATGTACGCATGGAGGTGGAAACTGAGGCACAGAGAGGATGAGTAGCACATGTGGTAACTGGCGGAGCCCATGGGTCTAACCCAATACCCAGGGACTCCAAGGCCCTGCCCCAGGAGAGCAGTGGTGTTAATCCAGTGGTTCCCAAAGGCCTGTGACCGGGAACCCTTTCTGGGCAACACCTGTGTTAGCTCCAGGGGCTGAGGAACACAGTTTGAGAACACAGCCCTTCTTCCCTAGCTTCGAGGGCTCCACAGGTGTCCCCAGATTTGTGGCGCTGCCACACGTGGGGAGGGTGAGGTAAAGCCGGGAGCAGGACTTCCTGGGGAAGGGTGGGTTCACTGGGGTTGGCAAGGGCTGTTGTGCTTGGAGAATCATCCTCCTTGTACTCACATGGATCCATGGAGTGATTGGCTGATTGATTTACTGTTTATCGACTCACTCTTCATTCCTGTTTACGGGGCCTCCTGGTGCCAGACAAGTGCCCTCTGGGGATCTGGAGGTGTGGAGGGCAAGAGCTGCCAGTCTGGGCTCAGCCAAGCGAGGCGTGGGAAGGGGTCACCTGTGCAGGTGAGAAAGGCCAGCAGAGGCGTGGGAAACCAGTGCAGCATAGACCTGAAGTCTAAGCCACACTGGGCCTGGGGGGTGTCAGGCGTGGAGGGCAGAGGGTGGGGCTGCACTGAGGCTGGAGTCTGAGGGGGGCAACGGGGAGATGGGGGGACACAGGGCCTTCCTGAGTGGGGCGCAGAAGTGGACCTGCCCTCCTGTCTACCTCAGGCGGGCGGCGTGCCAGGCCTTCCCCATTGCCTCCTAGTCCTCCTTATCCGTGGAAGCGTCCTCTGTGGAAATCTGGTTCCCCACAGAGCCTCCCCAGCCCCACCCAGGCTAGGCCCTGACTCAGCCACGTAGATTCCTCACTCCTCCATGAGGCAGGAATACACCAGCCCCAGAGCATAGCAGGCCCTCAGTCAATATCTCCTGGCTGGCTGGCTGGCTGACTGTGTTCCAGAAAGAGCCCTCGACAGCCCCAGAGAATGGGTCTCAGGTGAGGGAGTGGGCACCCCTCCTGGGCACCCACTGTGCGCTGGGTCTCAGGGAGAAGTTGGAAGAACAGCCTGGGTCCTTTCCTGGGTGGTCACACTGTGTGCCACACCTTAGAGTGGTCTCTCTTGGGCTGCTCCTGCCCTGGCAGGACAGGAGGTGAGGATGGAGGAGGAGGGTGGGGCAGAGAGCACCTGTGGGGCCCACGTCACCCCACTCAGGGCCACCGGCCACTGAGAATTAACTTTGCTTCTTTGGAATATAAGGAAAAACCCGTTAACTGTATCCAGACATGAAATCAGATCTCAGGCAGAAGTAATGAGTTCTTGTTTTATGTTAAATTTAGCAGAGACTGCTATTGTTCTCATGGAAATTTTGTTCCTTCCTGTCCCCCTCCCTTTGGGATGTGAGAGAGGCAGATGAGGCTCCAGAGCTGTGAGTGTAATGGGTACATCTAGGGGATGGGGGGCGTCTGGGGTGGTGGCATAAGCTCATGTCCCCAAACACCCGGACAGTCCCACTTTTACCCCGGAGCCACTTGGTTGCTGGAGCCTCTTCCAGGATAACCCATAGCTCCTGCTGACACATACTTCTCCATGTAGAGACCCCTCGGAGTCTACGTTCAGCTCTGGTTCAGCTCTGGGTCCCCTTGTGGTGACTCAGGTGTCAGTAGACCTCTGGGGCCTGTGGGTGGGGACAGAGGGCCCTTCTTCCTGCAGCGGAATCATTTTGGTTGGGATGGTGCCGGAGGGAACAGTCTCCATCCTGCCGGGTCACCGCCTCCGAGCCAGGGCACCCCAAGAACAGAGCTGACCCTCGGGGGCAAGGCCCGGGGAGGGGTGGGCTGAGCCTCGGGGGCAAGGTCCGGGGAGGGGGTGGGCTGAGCCTCGGGGGCAAGGCCCGGGGAGGGGGTGGGCCGCTGAGACCACGTGTGCCCCGGACACCTGGCCCCTGGCCCGATGGGGTGCCAAGCCGAGAGTCAGCAGCAAGAGATGACCGTAAAAGTTAAATCTTTCTATTTATTTCAAGAAAGAACAAGGCAAGTGGACTTGGACATTTTCTATGAAAATAGACAAACAGAAAATAGGACCAAGTAGTTAATCACATTCATCTCAACATTGAAGTTTCAAGGCACCTACAAGAAGGAGGCCAAAGGGCGGTTCGCAGTGCACTTTGGTTTGTGTTGTTGTCGTGGTGGTGGGTGTTTGCGTGTCTCGGTTTTCTGGAAACCCTTGCCTGGTGGTGAGGTTGGGAGCGAAGCAGGTGGGCACGAGGCCAGGCTGGTCTGGGCCCTGAGAAGCCGGGCCGGGTCAGCCATCTGGTCGCATGGCAGCAGGCGGTAGCGGGGACGGTCAGGCCCGTCACTCAGGCCCCTGAGACGGCTTCCAAGAAAAAGAAAGGAGATAGTGCTGCACCTGGGCGGCTGATTCTGGAGGTGAGGAAGGCTGGGGGGCGTGGGAAGTGGGGGTACTGGCACAGGGGCCCCTTGGACATCAGGCAGGACCTCGGTCACAGGCTTGGGAGAGATCAGGCCTGCTCCCTCTGACCCGGGCGGTTAGCTGGCGGGCTTCCTGCCTTCTATAGAGCAGAAGGACCCACCCCTTGGCCGCCAGGGGCTGGCCAAGGACCCCTCCCTGGTCTCCTCCTCCTCTTCAGACCACCGGGAAGGGGATGACGTTGTGTGCCACTCCAGAATGCTTTACGACACCACATAAGATACAAATAACCTGTTAACATCCGGAAAGGGAATTACTGTTGGTGGCTCTTAAGACATTCCTCTGCCGTGTTTATAGGGGGTACGGGCTCTTTCAGATAACTTTCATCTTTGGCCTCCCTGTTCACACTTACCTCCTGGCTCCAGCCAGCAGAATCCCACAAGCACCTCTCTCTCTGGCTAGCCTATTTCGACGCCACACACCACTCCACCCTCCGTCACCTCTCTCCCCACTTCTCTCACTCTTGGATGACAAGCCCTGAGCGCTGGGCCGTGTGGCTTCCTCCCCATGGCTCTTGGCCTCTCCTTATGAGCTGGAAGGCACCAGGCAGGGTCCTCGGAACCCCCTGGCGGCTCACTTTGGGTACCCAGGTGGGCTGCTGGCGGTGTGGGGTGTGGAGGTGCGTTGTGTTGGGGAAAAACAGCCTAAGGCTAGTTTTGGGGTTTTGTGGGGGTGTCTTCTCACCTGCGTACTCAGAACTTTTGAAAATGGGACTAGCCCGAGGACAGGTGGGCTCAGAACATTGCAAGCCTGCGTTCCACACAAGAAAGGTGAGAGAGGCCTGGAGCCGCCTGGCTCCAGGGAGATGAACTGGTGGCGGCCCCGCATCCGCCATGGCTTTGATTGTCGGTTTGTGGTGCGTTTGTTTTTTCCCGTCTACAGAGGAAGCCCGATGAGTTCCTCCAGGTGGGTGGCTCCAGATGCAGGGATTCTGCGGGGGCAGCAGGCAAGGCAGCAGGTGTCGCCTGGGATCTGGATTTCTTGCAGCGCCTCTGTGGGGCCCTCCCCCAGTTCTCTCCCCCTTGTCATCCACTCAAGGCAAGTCTTGGAGAAGGGAAACTGAGTTACTGACACAGGTTGGGGCAGCCACCGGATCTCTCAGAGTGGCTACATTTCTCCATCTGGCTCACAGCTGGCAACACGTGGATCCAAGGCAGGGTGGAGCGAGGTGCTTCCAAGAGGTAAAGCTGCTGAGATGAGCCCCTCTCTGTGCCAGCTGCTGGCGGGGCAGGAGCAGGACGAGAGAAGCCTGTTTGTTGCCAACACTCGTGCCTGGGCCATCCTCAATGAGTGGGCAGATGGCAACTGGGGAGGAAGTGAGAGGAGGAGGCGGCCTCGTTCCGTTGGTGGCAGAGAAAGGATTGAGTACCCCTGTGTGCCAGGCACTGTGCTGGGCCCCAGTGACCCTGGGAAGGGCAAGGTGCTGACTCTGACTATCTACCTTGATGAGATTTAGGGCTGTGGCAGCAAAGACCTTCCTTTGAGGACTCTCTGGTCTTAGGCTTTGGGCTTTCAGGTGTGGGGAGGCAGGGGGGCCAGGGCACTGTGCCCACTCAGATGGCCACAGTGCTTTGGGGGCTGGCTTTGTTAGGACGTGGGGGCAGTCATCCCACCCACAGGTTGCCCTATGCCCTCAGCACACCCTCACTCTCTCCTGGCACAGGCCGGGCATTTCAGTGACAAGGGGCGGGAGGGGACAGTGACAGTGGTCTCAAAGAGCCAGGCCCTGGCCAGGGTCTCCAGCAGGTACCAGAAGCAGGAGCTGTCCCAGGCAGGGGTCTCCGGGGGAGACGTGGAGAAAAGACGAGGCTTTGGCCGGGCACGGTGGCTCATGCCTGTAATCCCAGCACTTTGGGAGGCCAAGGTGGGCGGATCACCTGAGGCTGGGAGTTCAATACCAGTCTGAGCAACATGGAGAAACCCTGTCTCTACTTAAAATGCAAAATTAGCCAGGCATGGTGGCACACGCCTGTAATCCCAGCTACTCAGGAGGCTGAGGCAGGAGAATCACTTGAACCCGGGAGGCAGGGGTTGCGGTGAGCCGAGATTGCACCATTGCACTCCAGCCTGGGCAACAAGAGCAAAACTCTGTCTAAAAAAAAAAAGAAAAAGACCAGGCTTTGCTCTGTGGCTTTGGGGGTCTCCAGGCACACCCGCAAATCTGTTATGGTGAGAAAGGGGGCCTGACCCCCACTTTTGGAATTTCCAAAACCAGGGAAAACCCACAGATTAAAAATGCCGAGGGAGGGGGAAGAGCAAAGGGAGGGGATGGAGAGCAAAAAGAATCTTTCTGTGAGTTTTTTAAAAAGAAGCAAATATGGGTATTTCAGGCACCTACTTGGAACATTTCAAAAGAAACAGTAAATGCTTAAAACCACAGAGTGAAAAGTGCCCCAGGCGCCATCCACCGGCGGTGATGGATGGATGGATAGATACAGTGGCAGCAGCAGCAGCATGAGCGTGTTGGACTGCACGTGGGGCAGCCCTGGCTTAAGAGACAGGTCCAGGACGCAGCCTGGGCTTCGGAGCTGCAGGGCCTGGGAGGCGCTCTCTGTCAGCCCCTCTGGCGAGCCATAGGTGCTGAGTTTAGACTCTGGAAAGGGGGTGGCATGTATCTGTACTTTCTTGGTGCCTCTTGGACACTGAGGATGGGTATTTTGCAGCCTCTCTGCTGGCACAAGTGGCTCTTTGGTGGGGCAGGATGGTCTGGCTTCAGGACTGCCCTGACTTGGGGTTTTCAGGGGACACCAGTGACTTTAAACAACATGGTGAACTTCTCTTGATATCTGCTCCCTTTCAGTGTCCTGGGGGATGAGAAAGCAAGGGTGGGAACCAGGATCTTCTAGTCAAAGCACCAGACCTTGGGAGGAAAATATCTGCCACGTCCCCATCTAGTGCTTGAATGCTCCCAGTGACGGAGAGCTCACTGCCTGTTTCCTTTGCTGGGCTAGAGTTTCTCTTCCCTGACCTTCAGTTTTCCCTTTACCCACTCCCCTTTTACTGGCCACAAGGAGTGGATTGGAGACAGACCCACCCAGAACAGAAAGGAAGCAGAAAAGCCCACGGCTCTAGAGTCCTACTTTCTAAGGACTGGATGGGCCACTTGTCCCAGAGGCCTGAGTCCCTTTCCCTAGGGCAGTGCTGGAGCCTCAAGCCTGAGTGCTCTGGTCCATTTGGTGTTGTCTTCAGAGACCCTGGCTCCCCAGGGAGCCAAGCCAGGGCAGGTGCCCCCATCTTGCACCCCCAACCCCCCCACCCCACCCATCGAGGCCCAGAAAGTCCCTGCTATGCAGATAGCCACTTGGGGCAGGTTCATAAACCACGAAAAATCCCCCTTTCCCTGCACCTCCAAGGAGTTTAATCTCTCCTAATCAATTTAGCAGACTTGCTTGGTTGTAAACGGTAACGATTTGCATTTTTGAGCCTTTTTATCCCTCCTTAAGAAAAAAAAATGCCTCCTCTCTGCACTCGGAAGGCCAATGCACGGCTGCGAATCGCCTGTGAGTGCTTGCCCTGGCGCCCATCCAGGGGCAGGCAGCAGCCACCGTCACCTGTGCCAATCGAGTATGAGGAGGCACGCGGACGCCCGTCACTGACCCTGGCTGCGTCCTGGCCCTGAGAGCAGGGTCTGGCCCTTGGGGGCACAGGTCCCTGCGCCCGGCCCCTCCTGCCAGCACTGCCCCTGCTCTCCCCGTTGCCCTCCCCGCCCCTTTGCTCCCTCTTTGCTGCATCCAGTTCTCCTTGTTGTATTTTTCATAAGTGCAAGGCTCAGAAGCCCCAGCCTCCTCTCTGGCACGTTCAGCAGGAAGCAGGTTTCTGAAGTGGGCTGGCTTTGGGACTTGAGCTGCCATTTTCAAGGGGGAGGGTCTGCTCTTTCTCCTCCTCTCCTGGCTCCTTGGCTCCAGGGCCGGAGGTGAAGGAGGGAGGCACAGGTTCCGAGGCAGCCTTGGGTCCCAGCCTGTCCTCTGCTCAGGCCCTGACCAGCCCCTCCAACCCTTCAGGGATCCCTCACCTGACTTGGGCCAGCTAGAACCTTTCAGCACCAGCAGCGGGGAAGGGCCCCCACTTGGCCTCTGGAGCACCAGTTTCCTGAGTGACGCTGGACCCCTCCCTAGCACACCCCCACTTTACAGAAGGGGAAACAGAGGCTGTATTCTCACCAAACCCTCTTTCCCTGCACCGCTCTGGAAACATCTCCCCGACCCCCTCCTCAGCTCTCTGCCTGGCTTTGTTCGGACAGGGCTGGGCTGGGCTCAGAGGGAGGGTTTCCCAGATCCCCAGGGGAAGGAGGAGACCCGGTGCCTGTGTAGAGGGAGGGAGAAGAGGCACACGGCAGGTGTGGGCTTTGGGCTTTGGGAGAGTCAGGTTGGGCCCCTCCTAGCTGCTGCCATCTTCCCAGGTGCTGTCCCCTCCCCTGCCAGCGTCACCCAGAGCCAGGAAGGTGCAATGCCCCTGCTCTTGGCTCCGGACCTGCATCCTGGCCCTGTGTCAGGGAGGCCCCTGGCCGCCGCATGCACCATGTTAGCGTGGAGCAAGCCCCAGCCTATTTAGAGAAGATGGAGGCTGTGGCGGGAGGCCGTGGGGAGGGGGAAGGAGAAAAGGGAAGAAAAGGAGCTTTTGATGCACATCATGTCTGTGGAATTGAGTATGACTAATTAATAGATTTTATTTTTAGTAATCTCTTAAGCATTCCATACATTGGGCCCCACGCCTGAGCTGAGCTTACAAGAGGCCTCATTCGCAAAATGCAAATGATTCCCGGCCTGCTGGTGCCTTCTCTCTCTCCTTCCTTGCCTTTTCTTTCCTTTCCTTTTTTTTTTTTAGGGGAGATTTAAAGGAAAATTGCCATGTAATAGAAAAGAGATTCCAATCACTACATCTAATTACCACGAAGGGTAAACCACTTAACCAAAGAAGCGTCATGGGCTTTTTTTATCTTTAACTTTAAACCTGCCTTAAATGCCACAAAACGTACTCATCAGTGCTGGGGCCGCTGAGGTTATTCTGGCTACTTAGAGGCTGTGAGGGTCAGCCCAGCCGCGGACGTTCCCTTGGAAATGTCAGCTGTGCACGGGAGCCCGGGAGAATTTAGACAGGCTGGGGTTGGCATCCCAGGCCTTGTGTCCTCACGCATGTCTGAGGTGTAGGGGAGGCTGGGTGTCCTGAAACATCTCCTATCTTGTGGTATGAGACCAGCTGGGAGGAGCTGGGCCAAGAGGGGATGGGGTTTCAGAACGGACCTAGCTTCTGGCCCCTCCCTGGCTGAGGGGCTGTGACACAGCAGATATTTGGGGGCTTCCTCTGGGAAAGCCCAGAAAGGACCCTGGGAAGGTGTCAGGATAGCTAAGGGGCAGAAAAGATGAGAAAGTCAGCTCTAGAGCTGGGTCCCAGGGCCCTGACTGGGTGGAGCATCTACCTTCCTCCACACTTAGAGCGCCAGTGGGTGGGTGATCCCCACGATGAGGCAGGCAGGGTCTGGTAAGAGGGGCCGAGCCCCGCCCTCGCCCAGTTAGTGCAAGAACCAGGAACAGGAGACTCGCGTGGTCCTGGGGCCCAAGGAGCTCCTCTGGGGCAGCTGCCAGGGCTCCTGCCTGCCTGGGCCTGCTCTGTGCAATGGGAGGGGAGGAAAGCTCATCACTCAGGCCTTGTCTCGGAGGGCGTGGCTGGGCACAGGCTGGCTCCCAGCTCTGCCTGCTCTCTAGCACTAAGTCTCCCGCACTCCTGCCCCAGCCAAGCAGGACCTTCCCAGGCAGCTCTCACGGTCCGGGCCACCTGCTGTCCCCAGATGCCTTCCTAGCCACTAAGGGCATGACCTGACCTGTCTAGGGTGGGGAGAGGAGACAGGGGGACCTAGGTGAGGTGGGGACAGTGTGCTGGCAGCACCGTGTTGCAGATGGGCGGGACTTGGGGGAAGGCAGTGATCAGAGTGGTGCCCTTCAGGGAGGGGTGGTCTCATTTTAGAATCAGCAGAGACCTGGGACTTCTGTCCCCTGTGCCAACGTGGCACACCTCGGGCACGCTCTCCTCCCAGACATCCCAGGTGGGCCCTTCTGCTCATCTCGGGGCTGGGGGGCCATGGTCCACTGGGAGGGCCTACTTTTTTTTTTTTGAGATGGAGTCTCACTCTTTGCCCAGGCTGGAATGCAGTGGCGCAATCTCGGTTCACTGCAGCCTCTGCCTCCCTGGTTCAAGCGATTCTCCTGCCTCAGCCTCCCGAGTAGCCAGGTAACAGGCGCCTGCCACCATGCCTGGCTAATTTTTGCATTTTTAGAGAGACGGACTTTCACCATGTTGGCCAGGCTGGTCTCAAACTCCTGACCTCAGAAAATCTGCCTGCCTCAGTCTCCCAAAGTGCTGGGATTACAGGCGTGAGCCACTGCACCCGGCCTGGGGCTGCCTTTTATACAGACCTGACATTAAGGCCTGGGGAAATTTCTCTCTTGACCTTATTGTGTGAGAAAATGATTCAGGCAGGAAAAGGAAAAACACGTCTAGTTTCGAGTGAAACGTGACCACGCTGCTCGGCTGTTCCCCAGGGCTGGGGAGTGGACCTATTTCGTGGGCTAGCCCCCCCAGGCCGTGCTGGGAGCCTGTGCCCATTTTTCCACTTTCCACGTGGCTGTTGTGTCCGCTCCTTTCAGCCCCATCTCCTCACTGAAGGTGGCGGTCGGGCCTTTTAACGTAACCCCTGCCCCGCTGCTGCTTCTGCCTTTGCTTTTCGCACGGTGGTGGAGGCCGTTTGAAAATAGCACCACCAGGCGCTCCCAGCCCTCTCATCCTCCTGCCCTCGGACCAGCATCTCCTCTTTGACGTTCCTTTTCCTTGGCGCAGAACAAGCGGCACAGTGACAGATGGTGACCCGGGCTCCCTGAGTACTGGGACGCAGGCACGTCGGAACCCCAGGCTCCGCTCTTCCTCCCTCTCCAATTCGCTGTCATTATTTCATCATCGTTTTAATCTCATGGCTCACCACACTGCACTGTCAGTTGATAAATGCATGATAGCGACATGGATTCCAGAGGGAGGAAATAAAATCTTAACTCTTCTGAGGGTCCCAGTCAGGGCCCTTTCGGAGGCTGGCATTTTTAGAAAGAGATCTGGTCTCTCCCTCTCAAGAAACAGAGTCCCAGGGGTGGGCCCAGCTGAGTTTTCTACATTCAGGGAGGGACTGCCATCACCCAGGGCTTTTTCGAGAATTTTTGTGTCTTTTTCTGGGCTTTGTTTGAGCAGCCATGGAAACCAATAGGTCTAATCAGCTGATATTTAAAAAAAAAATCCCTGCGCTAATTACCCGTCCTAGGAGGGAACATTCAGCACATGGTAAATGCTCAGAAAGTAGCTGTTAAGGTGATTGCACGTGGTGGGGGAGGGAGACGAGGACACTGGAATCAAATAAAGCTTTTATCTGTATCAGAAAGGAGAGCAGCCCAGTGCTGGCCAAGCTGAGCCAGGATGGGACTGGCAGCCCCAGCTGCGACGCCTCCCTAAGCCACCCGTCTGAGACATACACACCTCAGCCTTTAGGAACAGCAGCAGCCCCTGGAGACCAAGTCTCCTCCCCCACCTCACTCCCATCCCCAACACACGGTCTACTTACTCAAGGATTTCTAGGAGAAAGCAACACTTTCACAATTCTATTGTTCAGGAAATGGTAAGAACTGACCCAAGAAGAACGGTAAGGACCGTGCATGTGGCTCTATCTACCCATCTGTACTTAGAGACACCGCGACAGGGATAGACAGGCAGACAGATGCACCTCCAGGTGGCAGGGAAAGCTACGGCTTCCGCCGGGGCTTCTACGGAGCGTGGTGCATGGAACTGAAGAGGGCTTCAGCCTAGGAAAAAAAAGTTTGTTTTTTTTTTTTAATCGACTACATGATTGTTCAAAGAATGCAGTGAAAGATGCCATGTTTCTGCAAATCTGCAAGGGAAATGGTATGGAATAAGCCAGGGGAGAGATTTCAGGACCATATCTCCAGGGCAAAAGATCTTTTCTTCCCTCTCTCCTTTGTGAGGAGCCTGAAAACCTTCCATCGGGTCGCCAGCGAGTGGCCAGTGGCGGGAGAGCTGCGTGGGAGCTTTGAGAGCCGGCTGCTTCTCCCTGGCGGTTCCTTTGTGATGGCCTTGAACAGAGCATGAGGTGTCCACAGATGTTGTACAGGTAGTATCCTTCCAGTTCAGGGGGGAAAAAAAAAAAACCCAACCCAGCCCTGCCTGCAATATTATTTTTAGTCCTTCCCTCCCCAACTGGCATAACTTGGTATAAATTATGTCTTCAACAATGTCGAATTCCCCCTCCTGCCTTCTATTCTTTTAAAAAAAATTGTCACTGTTGTGTTCTACAAAATCGTCAGCCCTCCCCAAACTTTGCTTTCTGCGGAGGAAAGTCACCCATGGAATTTCTCTTCCTTGCTCTCTTGGATTGCAGCAGGCTGGGCAAAGCCACATGGCCACGCCAGGGCAGCTGGGGCTGAGGCGGGGCAGCCCGGGTGGGCGGGCATCATGTGTAGGAGTAGTCTATGTCGGGGATGCCGCCGTCCCGGTAGCCCCGCGTGGTGCCGTAGCCAATGGTGTGTGTGGCCTTGCAGAGGCTGCTGCCGTTGGAGGGGAAGATAGTGTGGACCACGTACTCTTCTTTGGCGCGGTACGGGTTGATGGGCAGCATCTGCAGCCCAGGGCCGCGGATTTCCAGGATGGAGTTATCCTTCTTGGTCCCTGACTCCATATAGTCATCCTTTTTCCTGCTGCCCCGGTTGTAGGCCCTCTCCCGGGTCAGCAGCTCGCCAGCCTGGTGCACGTACCAGCAGATGGCCCCCAGGACCAGGAAGAGGAAGACCAGAGCCACTGCCCCGCCGATGATGCCCGCCAGGGGCAGGCTCGCCATGGGGCCAGCGTTCTGCTCCTGGTTGAGTGTGGTGGTAGGGCCATAGCTGTCGGCTGTCTCTGCCTTGGCACACACGGGTGTCTCATCAGCTACGTAGGCATTGCTGGTCTCCATGGTGACCATGCAGATGATGTAGGTGGACTTGGGCTCCAGGGCTGTCAGCAGGTACTCTGTCTTGTCCCCCTGCACCAAGGTCTCCGTGATGGAGCCCACGGCTGGGCTGTGGCCCAGGCGCAGCCAACTGAGCCGGAAAGAGGAGGCGGGGAGCGTGGCCTTCCACGTGATGCGGATGGAGTCTGCCGTCAGGGCCTTCACGTGGATGGCCAGGGTCTTGGCGCCATCACCCGTGGCCATGGGGTAGTCAATGTTGGAGTCGGGGAGGCGCAGCCCTGGCCTTTTGGCCTTGAGGGTAAACAGGGAACCCTGGGGCGTGGTGGCAGAGGCGTGGTTGCTGGCCGTGGTCTTGGCAGCCGCATTGGCCACGCCGCCCTGCGGCCCCGTCTCAAAACACTCGTCCATCTCGCTGGTAATGTCCTTGATGGCCATGCCCCGGACCTTCTCAGGGCCCTGGCACATGAGGCCCCGCACGTTGACCACGGCCGCCCGTGCCTTCACCCAGTCCCGCAGCCACATGAGGTTGCAGCCACAAAACCAAGGGTTGTTCCTGAGCAGCAGCTGGGCCAGGTTCCCCAGGTCGTCGAACAGGCCGCGGGGCAGCGTGGTCAGGTTGTTGTTGGACAGGTCCAGCCGCTCCAGCTCACGCATCTTGGCCAGCGTGTTGTAGGGGATGTGGCTGATGGCATTGTCCTGCAGGTAGAGCTTCTGCAGGTGGGCGCTGGGCAGGTTGAGGGGTGGCGCGGCCAGCGAATTGCGCACCAGCGAGAGCTCTGTGAGGTTCTGTAGGCGGCTGAAGGTGTCGTCGGCGATGCGCTGGTTGGCCAGCAGGTTACCGTCCAGCACCAGGCGCCGCAGGCTGTTGAGGCCCTTGAAGGCATGCAGCGGGATGGTGGAGATGCGGTTGTCATCCAGCCGCAGCTCCTCCAGCGTGTGCGGCAGCCCCGAGGGGATGCTGCTCAGGTGGTTCCGGCTCAGGAAGAGCAGCTTGAGCTGTTTGCTGTCGGCGAAGGCGTCCTCCTCAATGCTGACGGTGGACACGGAGTTGTCATCCAGGTGCAGCTTCTCCAGCAGCGGGATGCGGGCCAGCGAGTCCCTGGCAATGGTGCGCACATTGTTGTCCTGCAGGTGCAGCTCCCGGAGGGAGCGGGGCAGGTTGATGGGGAACTCATCCAGGTCATTCTCGTATAGGTAGATGACCTGCACGTTGACCTTGGTCTTGAGGTCCTGGGGGATGCCGGCGTTGTTGATCTGGTTGTTCTGCAGGTAGAGGGTGGTGGCATCATCAGGGATATCTGCGGGGATGGATGTGAGTCCCCGGTCGTTGCAGTAGATGAAGCCGTTGTCGCAGCGGCACACCGAGGGGCAGGTGGTGCTGTCGATGACCTCCGTCAGGAAGGCGATGAGCCCGTAGCAGAGGAACAGCCAGTCCCGCAGGTCCATGGTGGCCGTGGTCATCACAACGGTGGCCGTGACAGTGGCAGTGGGCGTGGTGGTGGCAGTGGCGGTGGGGTGTGCCACCACCATGGTGGATGGCTGGGGGCGTCCGGCCCCACCTGGCCTGGAGCCTGAATACCTGCAAGGAGCACAGGACAGGGGCAGTGAGAGGGAGGCGGCGACAGCGACCCCAGGAGTGAATCGTGCATTCCCTCCCACCTGCCAGCCTGTACCAAGGGGTGACCGAAGTCCGGTCCTGCGGGGTGAGGTCAAGCTGGAGGAGTGGCCTTTGTGCCAGGTTTATGCCGCAGGTGATTGCTCCCGCCGAGGTCGGACTCTAACAACATCTGGCTAATGTTAAATCTTATCAGGAGCCAAGAGGCTGCGCATTAATGAGACCCGTGCTGCCGCGGCCCTCCTGGAATGTGATCCGGAGCCTCAGGGAGGTTAATTTAGTGAGAGCCATGCAGCAGGCTTGGTTTCTTCTCTCAAGACTTCACACAAAGCCACTTTATGGCCAACGCTAAAGGTACCAGTCAATATGGATGGGATGGATTTAGGGCGTGTTTTATGGATTCATAGCTGCTGTTTCCCTGGCACTGCACGAGGAGCACGCATTGCTGTCTGGCTCGGACCCAGGATTCGAAAGGAAAGCTTGTTGCTGGAAGGCCCAGGAGCTCAAAAGGGGGGCGTCGCCAGAACCTGCGGGAACGAAGCTGTCAGTGCCATCACTGGCGAGGAGTGGAGAGCAGGGAGCTTCATTGTCTGGTGTTAAAACAACATGTCCTGTTGTCACTCGTACATTCTACAGACAGAAGAATGAGGTGTCAACAGAATCACTTTCTCATGTATTTACAGAAATCTCTTTTCATCAGAGGTGCCTCCCTGGCCCTGGGTTCCGAGTTGTGTGGGAAATTGTCCCACACCTTGCCCCTTTCTCAAATCATAAACTTTCAGCTATTCAAAAAAAAAAAAAGTGGTCTGTTTTCTTGCACTTAAAGGAATGAGACAAATAAAAGGAGGGAGGAGTCACGTCTGTACTCTGAGGGAATTGGCTGCAAGGTGTAATTTTGGATTTCACAAATGGAAAAATAGCAGCATAGATTTTTCTTATATTATTTTACTGTTCATAGTGGTAAAAAATCAATTAAAGAGAAATTATCTTTCAGTCTCAGTGAGGAAGGTGTCTTCATGCAGCCAGCAAAAGTCTGCTGTAAAACACTGGGTTCACGGAGGCTTTTCAATGATGGGACATGATGGCCTCTCGGAACCTGAAGTCCCAGCCTGGGAGGGCAGCCCTGGTGTGCAGAGCAGAGCCGGCACCTGCTCACTGAGCCAGCAGGGACCTTATTTTCATGCCCCAGGGACTGAACATCTCTGTTACTCAACCAGGCCAAACTTTCTGTCTTCTCTGTCCTTCTCTATTCCTGAGCTGCTTTTTCTTTCCATCGAGCAAGCTACTCTTGCAGGACCCAGCTCAAATGTTACCTCCTCTGCTAGGTTTTCCTGAGGCCCCAGATAAAGCTTCCCTCTGCTCTGCCCATCCATCTGTCCACCCACCTACCATCCATCCACCTGTACATTCATCCATCCATCAATTCATGCATGGACCTGTCCATCCATCCATCCATTCATCCATCCATCCATCTATGTATCAGTCCATGCATCTACCTGTCCATCCATCCATCTATCCACCTGTCCATTCATCCATCCATCCATTCATGCATGCACCTGTCCATCCATCCATCCATCTGTCCACCATCCTTCCATCATGCATCTACCTGTCCATCCATCCATCCATCCATCCATGCATCAATCCATACATCCACCTGTCCATCCATCCATCCATTCATCCATCCATCCATCCATTCAACCATCCCTCCATCCATCCATCTATCCATCCATTCATCCATCCATCCATCCATTCAACCATCCCTCCATCCATCCATGCATCCACCTGTCCATTCACCCATCCATCCATTCATACATGCACCTGTCCATCCATCCATCCATCATGTATCTACTGTCCGTCCATCCATCCGTCATCCATGTATCAATCCATGCATCCACCTGTCCATCCATCCATCCATCCATCCATCCACCTAACCATCCATTCATCCATGCATCCATCTGTCCATTCATCCATCCATCCATCCATCCATCTAACCATCCATCCATCCAGGCATCCATGCATCCATCCACTTGTTCATTCATCCATTCAGGCATGCACCAGTCCTTGCATCCATCCATGCATCCACCTGTCCATCCATCCATCCATCCATCCATCCATCCATCCATCCATGCATCAACCCATGCATCCACCTGTCCATCCATCCATCCATCCATGCATCCACCTGTCCATTCATCCATCCAATTATCCATCCATCCAATTATCCATCCATCCATCCATCCATCCATCCGTGCATCAATCCATGCATCCACCTGTCCATCCATCCATCCATCCATCCATCCATCCATCCATCCATGTATCAATCCATACATCCAGCTGTCCATCCATCCATCCATCCATCCATGCGTCCACCTGTTCATTCATCCATCATGCATGCACCTGTCCATCCATCCATCATGCATTTACCTGTCCGTCCATCCATCCATCCATCATCCATGTATCAATCCATGCATCCACCTGTCCGTCCATCCATCCACCTAACCATCCATCCATCCATCCATGCATCCACCTGTCTGCCCATCCATCCATCCATCCATCCATCCATCCATCCATCCATCCATCCACCTAACCATCCATCCATCCATGCTATCCATGCATCCACCTGTCCATCCATCCATCCATCCATGCATCCACCTGTCTATCCATCCATCCAATTATCCATCCATCCAACCATCCATCCATCCATCCATATATGCATCAATCCATGCATCCACCTGTCCATCCATCCATCCATCCATCCATCCATCCATGCATCAACCTGTCCATTCACACATGCACCTGTCCATCCATCCATCCATCCATCCATCATGCATCCAACAGAGCTTTATTGAGCATCTACTATATTCCAGGCCCTGTTGTAGCCACTTGGGATTCCATTCTGATGGGATGGATGATAGTTCACACTATAATAAAGGCTTTGCTGAGAACTTTCCTAATATTTAAGTCATTTAACCCTCCCAACAAACATGAGGTCAGTGCCCTTAATCCCATTTAACAGATGAGAAAATTGAAGCTCAGAGATGTTAGCTTACTCAAGACTACTTGAGAACCAGGTAGGAGGAACCCAGGCCATCTAGGGAGGAGGCCAGAATCTTGGCAATCTTGAGGCTTGCAGCACTCTGTGGGTTGCAGGTCACACCATTTGGTGACTGGTGTTTTCATGTCACCAAACTGCCAGGGCAGGGACTGTGGCCAAGCATGGCTTTGCATCAGTGACCACCCGATGACAGAATGGGCCCTGCCGTGGTGAATGTCTCTGCCACTCACCCCTGCACACTCAAACGTTCCCTTCACACTTACAGGGTCTCTGCCCAGGCAGCCACCACAGTCATCAAGGTGGCTGCTAAGGCCCTGTGCAATCCTATGTGGCACCCCTGTTGGCCTGGTCCACCCCATTCCCCTCTCACTGACTGCAGCAGCCAGGCACCCCCTAGTATCCCCAGGGCCCTTGCAAGTGCTGTGCTCTCTGCCTGGACAGCTCATCCCCAGATCCACGCCTGCATCTCCTTCCAGTGAGGCCTTTCCTGGGCACCCTATCGAGAATTATAACTCCCAGATACTCCTCTCAGTTCCTTGCTTGCCTATAGTATTTACCACCAACTAACACACTACGTGTTTTATCTTTTTTGTTTTGTTTTGCCTTGTTTTGCTTTTTGAGATGGAGTCTTGCCCTGTCACCAGGTGGGAGTGCAGTGGAGCGATCTTGGGTCACTACAACCTCCGCCTCCCAGGTTCAAGAGATCCTCCTGCTTCAGCCTCCTGAGTAGCTGGGACTACAGGTGTGCACCACCATGCCCAGCTAATTTTTTGTATTTTTAGTAGAGACGGGGGTCTCACCATGTTGGCCAGGATGGTCTTGATCTCTTGACCTCGTGATCCACCTCCCTGGGCCTCTCAAAGTACTGGGATTACAGGTGAGCCACAGTGCCTGGCCCTTTTTTGTTTTTATTGTCTGTCTCCCCACTAGAAGGTACGCTCTACAAGGGCAGGGATTTGTGCATCTTATTCATAGTGTTTCCCACGTGGCAGATGCTCACTAAAGATTTCAAAGGAGAAACTGTGATGGACTCGTTCTGTAGATGAGAGAACAGAGGCACAGAGACCTGTCCATGGTCCCCTGGCAGAAGGAGGTGGGGTCTGGATTCCACCCCAGGGCTGCGTGGCTGCAGGACCTCAGTGCTTGACTCCACACTGCTGAGGGCTGTGAGTCCCTGGCCAGCCCAGACACAGTCCTGCAGCCCAGGCTGAGCATTCTCAGACCTTCATGGAGATGCCCACTCTCCTGTGAGCCTCCTGCTTCCTTTGCCCAGGGCCATCCCAGGCTGCTCTGACCCTTATCTGACCACCTCACCTTTCATTACATTGGGGACTGGGAAGGACACTGGCCCAGATCATGGGAAAGGACGGGCTTGAAGCCAGGACAGCATGCAGAGCTAGACACATCAGCCTTCAGAGGATCAGGAAAAGCCTAGGTGGTGGGGTGACCTCTCTGGCCAGACCTCACCCACCCCCCTTCACAGGCAAGGGTGCAGAGGTTGCCGCCTACACACAGGTCCACAGCCCTCATTTCACAGCCCAGCAGCCTGAGACTCAGAGACATGAGGGGCCCAGCCAAGGTCACAGCCAGCCCAGATTTCCCACTGCACGTCTGTCCCTTCTGCACTGAGCCAGGCTCGTGAAGGTTATGGAGCCGGAGGTCCTGCCTCAAGCCACTTATGAGCAGGTAGGTAGCACAGGGCAATGCTAGAGACAGGAAGACACAGGCCAGCTCACAGGTCACTTTGCCTCAGTCTCCAGGGTCAAGTCTGAGTCTAGGAGCACCTCTGCCAGGGGGCCCCCAGCGTCTGGCTGGAGGATTACCCCCAACCTGGTCTGTTGGCTGCTGAGTTCTGGCACAAGGGATACAGGTGGCCTTTGTACTCAGCTGTTCTGAGCAGTGCCCTAAGTAGGGGGCAAACTTGTTAAGGCCAAAGCCAAGGCAAGCCACCGCATTCCCTGGTATGGACATCTGTTCCCAGCGCCCGCTCAGCTCATGGCCACAGTCCTCAGCCTTCAGAGGCCTCAGCATCATAATAGAGTCTAAATTGCACCTTTCAGAGATGCTTGATGGATAACCAAGAAGCATTTGGGAGGCAGGGACCCAAGGCCTTTCCGCTCCACTGTCTGTGGGCCTCATCCATCTTGGCCAAAGGCTCCCCTGCCGCCCCCCTCCCCAAGGCCAGCCCGAGGCTGAGCCCTCTGGCTCCAGGAAAGTAGGGCGGGACCTGGGGGTGGGGAGGAAGATAGCACGCCTCACCAGAGGAATCTCTAATTGCCTGGGTGCCTGCTTGCCTTTTTATTCCCTTGTTGTGTGTTTCATAGTTTATGTGGCCATCAAATTAAACCTGGTAAATCGCCCATCTTTTATGGGATCGCTTGTCGCCCTTGCGTGGATCCCTCAGACTTCAGCGTGGTGTGAGTTACGACCTGCCAGCTCCATGACTGACAGCCGGATCCTTAGCGGGCCACGGGGGTGGGCGAAGGGAGCAGTGGGATGGCTCAGGCTGTAGGTGTCCATTACTCCTCCGCTTAGCTGGGGGCCCTGGGGCATTATTCTTGGCATTATTCTTGGCTCTATCAGTCGTTGTCCCCTGCCAACCTCCAGGACAGAGAGGCCTGGGTTCAAATCCTGCCTCTGCCACTTTCAGGTGGTATGATTTCTTTCTTTTTTTTTTTTTTCTGA
Organism: Homo sapiens; assembly: GCF_000001405.40. Taxonomy (NCBI): domain Eukaryota; kingdom Metazoa; phylum Chordata; class Mammalia; order Primates; family Hominidae; genus Homo; species Homo sapiens. Next base: position 64,110,445 of record NC_000011.10, on the reverse strand, counting down.
GACAGTCTCGCTCTGTCACCCAGTCTGGAATGCAGTGGCCCGATCACGGCTCACTGCAGCCTCGACCTCCCCATGCTCAGGTGATCCTCCCACCTCAGCCTCCTGCAGAGCTGGGACCACATGCTGCACCACCACACCCAGCTAATTTTTGTATTTTTTGCAGAGATGGGGTTTTGCTATGTTGCCCAGGCTGGTCTTGAACTCCTAGGCTCAAGCAATCTGCCCACTTCAGCATCCCAAAGTGCTGAGATTATACGCGTGAGCCACCACGCCGGGCCTCAGGCTGTGTTATTTTGAGCAAGCTGCTTGCCCTCTCTGAGGTTTGATTTCCTCATCTATAAATGTGGTCATAATAGGGGCCCTTACATGGGAACTTACAATTCAGGATTCACTGACATTATATGTGCAGAGTACCCCCTCCTGAGTGTGATCTGGATGCCCCCGACGCATCCAGTTTAAAAGCTGCCCCAAGTCTCTGCCTCCCCAGACACACGGCCTAGCTTCTGCAGTAGCTGCCCGTCTCTGTCCTCCGCGCTCCAGTGGCCCGTTCTCTACTCCCCTGCTCCTGCTGTGCCTTCCGGACAGGCTGACCCCTTATCAGCCTCTGTGAAGCTGAGGTGTTGCCCCCTGCCCACCTCAAACTGTGTGGGTGCAACCCTGCCCCTCCCCCAAGCCATGCTGGCAGCCTTGACCCTATGTCTGGGCCGCACAGAGCTGGTGGATGGGGCCATCAACCATCCCCTCCTGTGGGGCCGCACCAGCCTCCCATGGGAGGCCCTCCAGGCTGGGGGCAGGGTGGAGGAGTCCGGGGAGGTAAGAGGGTTTTAAATGGGCCTTCGTCACCAGGTCATCCAGTGGCCAGAAATAGTTCCCTACCTCCTCCACGCCACACTCACTCCCACCCCTGAGAAGTCCTGAGGCTTCTGTCCCTCCCCTTTCCACCCCCTCTGCAGCCCTCCCCAGAAGCTGTGCTCACGGTGCATTAGACCCTTTGTGGAGCTGCTGCCCAGTGTCACGAGTGGGGAGAGGCCGGCAGCCTCCCGGGTTTCCCAGGTCTGGGGGAGCAGTAGGGAAGCTGAGTGTGGGTGTCTACACCCAACTGCAAAGCCTTTATAAGTCAGTGACACCAAGCTTCTTCCCCACCCCTCGTGGTGGCTTATGGCCCACTGTCTGCTGCTCAGCCTTTGCTGGGGACCCTGCTGCTGGCTCCTGGCCCTCATGGAACCTGGGGATGCTATTTTCTATTCACAGGCATGTCCCAGGAGCTTCTGGAAGCCAGCAAGGAAATAGCCCCCCATCCCTGTCTGGCCTCACTCCCACGTCTCCTCTTTCACCTGTCCCATCCCTGGGATGGGGGCATCTCAGGCAGGGCCAGGCGGGGAGAGGAAGTGTCCTGCATGTAAACTCTGTATGTAGGAAAGACAAGTACATGCTCACGTGCATGGATGCTGGTCACGTCTCCCCCACCCCCACTTGCCCCTCAGCCTCCTTCCTGCCCACCTGCCTGCCTCTGTCCTTAGGAATCTGGCTGCCCATGTGGCCTGGCACTGGTGTGTGGCCTGGCACTGGTGTGTGGTTGCTGCAGACCCTGGGGTCCTTTGGCTTTTCCCCCACTTCCCAGCCCCCAGGTGGGGTCCCTTGCAGGTGTCTTTCCCCTGCCAGTCCCTCCCTTCAGCAATAATTCATGTGTCTCCCCTAAACCTTGCCATGCCTTCAATTCCTCACTGAGAATGCCGTGCAGGCAGACTGCGGGCAGAAGCAGTTTCTCAGCCCCAGAGCGGGAAAGGCCAGTGGGACCCCAGTCCCACCTCCCACTAGACAGGAAGCCCTACCAAGGCACAATCATCTCCAGCTCTGTGATGGGGCTTCAGCAAACCTTTGTTTAAATTAATGAAAGACCCCACCTTCCTGGGGGCTCAACTGCAAATAAGACAGAGGGAAGAGGGCCAGGAGGTAGACAGGGCAGGCCGCTGCTTCCTGGTGCTCAGGGAGACCCAGGGAGAGCTCCCCTCCTTCTCGCCAGGAAGCCCCTTTCCTGTGAAGGCAAGTAGCCAGTGGTCTGCCTGGCTCAACCAAGCTGCTCAGCCTACTGTGGGGTGGCCCTGGGTCTCAAGTCTTTTTTTTTTTTTTTTGAGACAGAGTTTCGCTCTTGTTGCCCAGGCTGGAGTGCAATGGTACGATCTTGGCTCACCGCAACCTCTGCCTCCTGGGTTCAGGCGATTCTTCTGCCTCAGCCTCCCGCGTAGCTGTGATTACAGGCATGCACCACCACGCCCCACTAATTTTGTATTTTTAGTAGAGACGGGATTTCTCCATGTTGGTCAGGCTGGTCACTAACTCCTGACCTCAGGTGATCTGCCCGCCTCGGCCTCCCAAAGTGCTGGGATTACAGGGGTCTCAAGTCTATCTGACCATAAACGATCTACTTCCCTGGGCTTTTGTGAAGATAAAATAAGGTTACTTTCAATGTTTAGCAGAGTCGTATTCAGAATGAGGGAACTATTACCATTACTAGCAATGAGCCATTCTTCCCTGAGCCCCAGACATGAACTGCAGGAAGGGAGGGGAGCCTTGAGTCGTGTGAGTGGGGCTTTTCCAAGCCCTAGTTCAGGCAGATGCCCCAGGGACTGCAGGCCCACCAGAGGCATCTCCTTAGGGCAGGGACTAGATGCCATGACCCTCAAGGACCTTCTAACCCCAGCTCCCGCCAGGGCAGGGTGCCAGCCAGCCACACCCATCACCCTGAACAGCTTTGCTCCTGGATCCCATCCACTGGTATCATTTAGAACTTGTGATGCATGGGGGCTGGGGCGGGAATTCTTTTAAAACCTAAAGTTAATTATTTTTCTAATTTCATGCTGCATGCATTATGCATCAGCTGTTATCACTGGCGGTAATTGCAGACAGGTATGCAAATCCACTATAAATGCACCTAACCACATAGGCCGGCTGGGTGGCGCTGGTGCCAGGCGGCGGGATGTCCTGAACTTCAGAGAATGTAAATCGCTTTTAAAAAAACAGGACTTTAGAATTGTGTCTTAGGAAGTTAATTATATTGATAACAGTGTTCGATATTAAACCATTCAAGGCCAGGAGGGGGTGGGGGGATGAAAGGAGACACGTGTAATTTTGTTCCTTTCTCTCTCGGCATTATTTAATAAGATGCTCCTACACCTGATATTTCTGTCTGTCTGTGTCCATTTTTAGTAAAGCTGCCTAAACTGAGACTTAATTCCTTTATGGAAGGGAAAAAGAAAGCCCAGTGGGCTGGGCAAGTTGGCTCATTGTAATCCCAGCACTTTGGGAGGCTGAGGCAGGTGGATCACCTGAGGTCAGGAGTTCAAAACCAGCCTGGTCAACATGGCGAAACTCTGTCTCTACTAAAAATACAAAAATTAGCTGGGCATGGTGGTGCATGCCTGTAATCCCAGCTACTTGGGAGGCTGAGGCAGGAGATTCACTTGAACCTGGGAGGCGGAGGTTGCAGTGAGCCGAGAGATCGTGCCACTGCACTCCAGCCCGAGTGACAGAGTAAGACCCTATCTCAAAAAAAAATAAAATAAAATAAATAAAAGAAAGCCCAGTGGAATTTCAGAGGGAAGGAGAGGGGCTAAAGGTCTTTATTTTGGGGGATGAGGAAAAGGAAGAGAGGCAGCACCAGCAGGGCTGGGGACAGTCCTCCAGAACAGGACTGAGGCTGCGGGCTCTGCACTGCTTCTCTCCTCAGCCGCCTTTAGGATCCTGGGCCACAGCAGAGAGCCTGGAGAGGAGCAGTGTGACCAGTAAAGGCTGGTGATGGGCAACACTCACTGATCCTAGATCAGAGGCTTGGCACTGGGCTCTGAGGGCAGGGCCTCTCAGGGGCTGAGAACAACCCTGACAAGGCAGGAGGCAGGCCCTTCTCCCAGTGGGACCCTCCCTATTTATTTATCATGAGTTTATGGATTGTCTCCTCCCCTTAGAATGTAAACTCCTATAGTTAGGACATGGTCTGCCTTGTGCCTGGCATGGAGCCTGGCACAGAAAGTGCTCAGTAAACATCTGATGAATGAATGAACAGGGCCACCAAAAGGGAGGCCCCTGAACCTAGACCCAGGGCTGGGTGGTAGAGAAGAGGGAGGCTGGCCTTCCTACAGCCCACCCCAGGACGTCATGGTGACCCAGGGTGCCCTCACCACAGCAGCCCAAAGAGGCAAAGGGAAAGGTCTGGATTGTGCAGCAGATGGCAGAGGGGTGGCCACAAACCCAGGCCTCAGACTCGATGTCTGGAGCTCTCCCCTTCCCAGGTCTCCTACCGCCTATCTCAGCTGCCCAGCGGGACCTCTCTGACCCCAAAGGGAGACTCTTGGCCATCCCTCCTCACCCCCACTGATATGGATGCTGGCCTGGCACTGCCCAACTGCCTGTCTGTCTCCAACTATCAGAGGTGATCCTCACTTTCCTACAGAGGGCCTTTTCCCCTCCCGCCCACCCCACAGATACACTCACGGATGGAACCCACCACTCAGGACCCTGGAATCATGAGATAAAGGACCTCAGCGATTGTCTGCTTTTTGCAGATGAGGAAAATCTGAGGCCCTGCATGGAAGAGACAGGCTCAGGGTGGAGACAGAGCCCTCCCGCAGCTGTGGGCAGCCTCCCCGCCCACCTCCTGGGGCCTTGGCGCCCAACTGTAACCCTTTCCCAGGGGTTTGGCACAGGGAGGATGCTGGGGAACAGTGTCTCAACTCCAGCAGGGCCTCATGGGAGCCGCTCTTCTCCACCAGCATGTCTGCAGCCCCTCAAGCCTGTGGGGTCACTCACGCCTGTGGGGTCACTCATGCCTGTGGGGTCACGCCTCTTAGCATTAGGAGTAGCTGGCAGGGCTGGGTGCCTGAGTGTTGGGCACGTCATAGAATGCTCTCTCCAGCTGGCCACAGCCTGTGTGGAGGGGACAGGCTGCATCCCCAGTGCAGAAAGGGGAGGCATACAGGGAGGGGCAGACCTGTCCAAGGTCACATGCTCACAACCAGAGGGCCAGGCCCCAACCCAGGTCTGTCTGCCCAGAGCGTTTGTTTCTTGCCTCCCTTTGCACAGAGCCACTGAGCAGACCTTTCATGGCAGCAGGCCTGGGGGACAGCAGCTGCTCCCCTCTAGCTTGGCTTCAGCCTGGGAATGACCCCCGAGCCCTCCTAGGGACTAGAGGGGCAGTAGGGACCAGGGCTGGGCACTGGGAGAGAAGCAGCCAGCCCAGCTCCGGCTCAGGCACGCTCGCGGCCCCGCTGTCGGGCTGGCGCACTTTTATAATAAATAACAGCAAATAGCCCATCCGCAGGGCATCTTTCACACCGGTGGCTAATAACATGGCTATTAATGCCCCCGCAGATGGCATGCATGCTGCGCCGTGCTGACGAATGTCCCAGGCCCTGGTGCAATCATAAATCAACCCCTCTCCTGAGGAAGAGCGTGGGAAGTGTCATTTTCCATCTTGGTAATGAATTGGGGCTTCCCTGTCCTGCCCAGGGCACAGAGGCTTGAGGTTGCTGGGATTTGTGTTTTTGGCGGTGCAGCCTCTCCCTCTGGCCTCCTGGGATCCCTGGAGGAGTCAGCCCCTCCTCAGCGGCAGGGAGGACTCACCGCCTGTTGTGTGACCCTTGGGGCACTCTCTGCCCTTCTCTGGGCCTCAGCTTGCTCCAGTAACCAACAAAGAGGCTGAACTGGAAGCCAGTGCAGATGGTGCCCAAGGGCCAACAGGAGCAGGACCTTGGGCAGTAGCTTTGGATCAACCCACCCTGGGTCCCCTGGCCAGAACAGGGGCGGGCCCTGATATAGACTTGTGGACTCCCTCTCGTTCAAGGGCAGCAGGCGCCAGGGCAAGTAGCCTAGGTTACCAGAGCTCCTGCCCACCACCCCGCCAAGGCCTCACTGCTACCACCTTTAGGGAGGGGGCTCAAAATGAGATTCCTCCACCCTGCTGCAGGGCCATTTACTCCAGGAGAGGCCACTCCATTACATCCTGGGTCCAGCTGCTGGGTAGAGCCCAGCAGCACGGGGACCACCAGGTGGCAAATGATGCTTATGCCGGCAAGCAGAAGCTGCCAGCTGCATGAACTGCGTGAGTGGGTGTGTGGGATGGAGCTGCAGACCCTTGGAGACCTGTGGAGCTCTGGCTGGGAAAAGGGGCCTTTGGAGGGTGCAACCCAGCTGTCTGGGTGCGAGGAACCCTGGGCCCACCCTGGAGCCCTTCTGAATTCGCGTCCCTCTTCCCTTGTCCTTGGGCCTTACCTCCTTCGTCGCTGCCGCCCAAGACCCTCTGGGTTTGACTGGGGTCACTGGTCCGGAGGCCCCTGCCAAAGTCACGAAGCCGCGACTCAGGACACCGTGAGCTCAGATGGCGCTCACATTCCCTGCCCCGTGGTCCTACCAGGCCTTGCACCACTAGGGACGCAGACCTCAGCCCTGGGGTGACTGGGCAGCACTGGGGCTCCCCAGGGCACAGAGAGGGGATCCGGTGCCTCGGTATCCTGGTCTCCTGGCGTTCAGATGAGGCTGTGGGCCACAATCAGCAGCCTCCTTGGCACCCTAGGCTGCAGGCGCAGCTGGCTTATCCCTGCAGAGTGAGGGTCCTGTGTGCAAGGGGTACAGGGACACCCCTCTGGACCCCAGGACTCCCGAGGGTGGCCTGAGGGGGTTCCGACTCCCTGTTCGTCGGGCATGCCCTGTGGCCTGGCACCCAGCCCTGAGCAGGGTGGCCTCTGCTGCTTGCTACCTCCACAGCCCTTTTCAACTCTTGCCCTTTTGTCTGCAGCCCGCCACCTCTTCTGAAGGGCCTCTGCGTGGCTTTTACCCCCTTTTTGTTTACCAAGGCTTTTTTTTTTTTTAATTCCTTTAAGTCACTTGGCAGAATGGGCTGGGTGCAGAGAGTGTTCTTGCATGACGGAGCTGAGAGGGAGCCACTCTCCAAAGGCTCTGTATTCCTGCCACTCAGGCTGTGTCTCCGGGGGAAAGGAGGGGGTCCATTACCCCGCTGAGGAGTTCAGATGTTCATGGTGGGGCTGGAGCTGCTGACACATGCAGCTGAGCTGTCAGGCCCCCACATGCCCTTCTTTGAGAAGATGCTTGGGGGGCAAGGGCCTCAGTCCTGCTTGGCTGCTCCTGTTTGTAGAGGTTTCCTTGCTGGGGAGGTAGGGAGGATGAGTTATTCCCGCTTCACTCTCTGGTCTTGTCTGTCCAAAAAGGAATCCATCTTCTCGCCCACTGCCTGCTTCCTCACCTGCCAAAAACAATACCAGTGATTAAGCCCAGAGACATGAGGGACCGTACTGGGACAACATCCACCAGGGCCACTGGGCTGCAGCCCCCTTTGCTTTGGATCCTGTTTTTTTGTTTTTTTTTTTGAGATGGAGTCTCGCTCTGTCGCCAGGCTAGAGTGCAGTGGCACAATCTCGGCTCACTGCGACCTCTGCCTCCCAGGTTCAACCGATTCCCCTGCCTCAGCCTCCCAAGGAGCTAGGACTACAGGCGTGAGCCACCACACCCGGCTAATTTTTTTTTTTAATTTTAGTAGAGATGGGGTTTCACCATATTGGCCAGATGGTCTCCATCTCCTGACTTCATGATCCGCCCACCTCGGCCTCCCAAAGTGATGGGATTACAGGCATGAGCCACTGTACCCAGCCTGGATCCTGTTTTTTTTCTTAATGCCACTTGCCTATGAGCCGGGGAAGGGGCTGGGGTTATTCTCCCTATCTCCTGCCTCTTTCCAAATCCTGACAATTGGCCATGCATGGTGCCCAGCCTTGCAGCTACCTGGTTTTCCCTCCCTGGGGGTGGAAGGACTGGGAAGAGAAAAATGAAGTTTTTCGAGCTCCTGGCCGTGCAGGGCCAACCGCCCAGCCCAGAGCTGGCTCCAATTCCCCCGGCACCTGCTCTTCTTGCTAAATGTCATTCAAAGGCTCCAACTGGGCCGCCATGGCCTGGGCTTCCAGAACAAGCACTGCCTTTCCCCACCATGGGAAGCAGGACCATCAGGGAACTGGGGAAGTTGGGTCTCCGTGTTTCTGGCCTCTGTCTGGTGCCCACCCCACTTCCTAGGTGGGGGGTCAGTCCTCAACACCCGCAGCCGCCCTCCTCTTCCACACAGACGGAGGGCAGGGCAGGCTGTTCTGGAATCCAAAACAAAACCCCGAGCCCTCCCCAGCACCTCTCATTAGTGCGGCATGTGGAAGGGCCGCGGCGCCCTGGTGTCTGTATTCCCCCTGCAGGAACCCCTCTTTGGAAAAGGGCTTTTATTACACATCTGAGAGTGCTCACTCTGGTTTGAAATCAGATCCAGATGGGCTCAGCTGCATCTGGGCACTTTTCTTTGTAGGGCCTAAGGTGGCTGATTTGAGAAATGCTTGTTGTCAGAGGCCGTTACAAATAAAAACAGGGATATTAGGGTTCATGTTTTAATAAGCCCAGCACCCAGATGGGGGGTGGCTGCCCACGGGGCTCACAGCCTGGCAGGGAAGGCATTTGGGAAGGGTGTGTGCCAGCCAGGTGGTGTGCAGGCTGAGTCTGATGGGGTGGACAGGGTGGCAGGGGGAGTTTTCTTGGGACAAGCTGCCCTAGGAAGAAGGAGGTTTCAGAGCCAGCAAGCCCCACGGGACATCGATTCTGAATGGCCAGTGCCTGGTGAATACTACAGGTGGGGCACAGGCCCTGGAAGGGGTACGGTGGGGCTTACGCAGGAGGGAAGATGAGGACAGAGTCCCTGCACGCGGCGGGAGGGCGGCCGGCTCTAGCACGAGCCCTTATTGCTATTACCACCCGCGTGATTTCATCCAATTATAAATTGTAATTTCTCCATGAAAGCGAGAGATGGAAAAAGTCCAGTGAGGTCATCCGCCTCCCTGGCCGGGGCGCAGAAATTGTTTTATACCGATGGGGGTGGGGCAGGGGCAGCGGGCCTTGGCATTTTGAGAGGATGATTGCCGTGTCCTGGGAGCCCAGAGGCTCCAGTCAGCTGTGGCCGCTGCCTCCCGATAAAGAGAGAAACCACTGAGCTCTGCTTTTGAAATTAAGAACCCAAAAAGGAGGCAGGTTCATCCCACTGGTGTGTTCACCTCAGACCCTTCCCATAGCTTCTCGGCTTTATCCTGAGAGCGTCCCATAGCTCTCAGGATAGAGGCAGTGCTCCTACAGTAGTCTCCAAGGGCCCTGCCCAGCCCACCAGCCGTGTCTCCCACTACTGCCCACTAATGCCCTGAGCTGGCTCCAGCCTGGCCCTTCACTGTACTGTTCCCCTTCTGTAAGAATCCATGCAGACGTCATCCCTCCCTCCCTGCAATGGGCCACCCTCTGCTTGGCTTGTGTGGTCCTGTGAACCATGACAGCAACAACGGAGCATGAAAAGAATTGTCTCCCTGGCTTCAAGGGAGGACCTGAGGCTGGATCCCCCAGCACCTGGCTCAGTGCCTTGCATGCAGTTGGTGCTTAATAAATGCACCCACCAAACTCTCCATCTGCTCCCTCATTTAGAAAACCAAGGCACTAAGTGAGGCTCTTGGTGCCCGTCCAGCTTTGTATGTCCTCAGTCCACCTTCCCTGCTGCAGCCCCCACCCCCACCTTCCCTGGGGCCTGCAGAGCCTCCTGGAACCCCAGTGCTGGGATACTGGGCTCCTCAGCGTCTGTGCCCTGGATAAGTGGGGCCTCTCAGGCTTCTGGGGTGTGTATTGGTTTTCCAAGTGAGTCTGGCTGGCAGTGGTTGGGAGGTGTGAGCTCTCCAGCAGCACTGTGGCTCTTCCCTTGTGTGGGCGCATAATGATGATCATTAGTAGCCACCTGCATTCACTGAACCAAAGGAGGCCCAAGAATAAATATGTAAATGCGTGCGCCTGGCAGACACCTCCCGCCAGAGCCACAGCACCCCCAGTGGCCACCCTTCTGGCTCGAGTGAGTGGAGACCATGCCGTGTGAAGTTAGTGGTTACACTCCTCGCCTTGGCCTCCCCCGTTCCCACAGGCTCCAGGTCTGGTCTCTGTGCTCAAAACCAATAAACCATTTTTTGAGTCAACATCATAAAAGCTTCCATTTTGAGTAAAAGTACTTTGAGATGCTTACACAATTTTCTACTTTTGTTGTCGTCAATCACATCACAACTGTATTAAAAGAAATTTGAAAGGAGGGAAAGAAAGCCAAGTGCCCAATCTCACATCTCTGCACCACCCTCTGCGTTTTGGCCGAATCTGCCCATACATATATGCCAGGGGACAATGCACCTTGTCCTTTCCCAGTAATTTCTGCCTTGCCATCTTCCCTGAGCTTGGGAAGACAGCATGGCTAGCAGGTCAGGGAGGACCACTTTCATTGTGTGGACTGAGAAGAGGGAGCAGGACTTGTGCAGGGTTATACAACCTGTAGCAGTGTCAGGGCCTCAAACTCCAGGCCAGTTTCCTTCTTGCTGCACTACTCCAAGACAGCGCAAGAGAAACGGACCATCCACCAAACACTGCACTGAGGGGTCCTGGGCTTCTCCTGAGGCTCTCTTGTGCACCCCTCCATCCATCCATCCCTCCATCCTTCCATCTCTCCCTCCATTTCTCGATCCCTCCATCTCACCATTTCTCTATTCATTCATCCATCCATCCATCCATCTATCCATTCACCTCTCCATCCGTCCATCCTTCCTTCTCATTTCTCCATTCACCTATCCATCTCTCCATCTGTCAACCCATCCATTCATCTCTCCATCCATCCTTCCATCTATCTCTCCATCCTTCCAACTCTTCATCCATCCATCCCTCCATCAATCTATCCACTCATCTCTCCATCCATCCTCCTATCTCTCCATCCATCCATCCTTCCATCTCTGTATTCATCCTTCCATCCGTCTCTCCATCAGTCCATCTATTCACCTCTATCCATCCATCCATCTCTCCATCTTTTCATCCATCCATCCATTTCTCCATCTATCCGTCTGTCCATTCATCCATCCGTCTCTCCATTCATCCATTTCTCTCCACCTATCCATTTCTCCATCTTTCCATCTACCCATCTCTCCATCCAGCAAACATATTCTGAGTCTAATCATGCTCCAGGCATTGTACAAGACATTGGGGATCCAAAGAGATGCCCTCATCCTCCAGGAGCTCACAGTCCAGTGGGGAGGGCATTGGTTTTCAGAGGGCTACAATGTGAGACGCACACAGGGCAGTGTGGGAGCCAAGAGCCCCGCCTTGCCCAGCCTTCGGGGAGTGGGGTGGATCATGGAGGCTTCTTGGAGAAGATGACGCTGTGCTGTGGTTCTGGGGTACTCTCATGTTATGACAGTCACATGTGAGCTCAGTGGCAATCCAGAGGGAGGCAGGTCTGGCTGTGTTTCCCCTTGACCACCTGCCTATCTTCTAGAGCCACTGCCCACCCTTGGCACTCAGGGCTTCCTCCCGAAGTAGAAACGATCCTCAGGCCCTCAGCTTTACAGTTCATAGCTGCCTTAAAGATCGGAGCTCTCTGATATTAATTCCTATATTAGCAATTAGCCCTCCTGTTTCATTTCAACCTTTGGCTCTTTGGGATGGATTTTTATGTATGTGTCATTAATCAGATGGCTGGTATGTGCTGCTAGAAACCCAGGTGGGCTTTATGGCTGGTGACTTAGCGAAGTGGTGTTTTAAATGAACAACATGCCTGCCCCCTCCCTGGGAAGAGCTGCCCTGTGGCAAAGAGGGCAGAGTTTAGATCATTGTAAGCAGGTCAGAGCTGGTGCGAGCTAGGAGACCCAGGATTTTCTTTCATTTTGGACTTCCAGGCTGAGGTCAGCATCTGTATCTGACCTTTATAGATGAAAAGGCTCTTTGTGACTCAAACTGGAGTTTGTTCCATGGCTCTGACTTCCCCCTACCAGGATGGCCATCCACAGAGCCTGTTCCTTTCTTTCCCATTGCAGAGAGCAGTCTGGGGGCTGCTTATTCCCTCTCTCCCGAGGGCACTGGAGACAGAAGGCTGGGGGCAGGGAGAGCATTGCCGTGTGGGGGCTAGGACCGCTCCAGTAATGGGCTCAGCATGTTGGGAGTGGGACGGGAAGAACATTTCAGGCTGAGGGAACAGCCTATGTGAAGACTGGAGGTGGGAGGGCTTGGTATAGTGAGAGGTCAGTGTCCCAGAGCTCTGAGTGAGTGGAGGGCCGTGATCCGAGCTGAAGCAGGGCCCGGAGCCTGGCCTTAGGGGCGCTCTGAATGCTGCACTGAGGGGCCTGGTCTTTGTACAAGGGCAGGGGGGAGGCTGTGAGGGTGCCGAGGCATGGAGGAGCGTGACCAGACTTGCAGTTTAGAAAGAGTGTTCTCGCTGCTGCATGGAGACCTGGAAGGTGCCCAGGTGCACAGGAGAGGACCAGTGAAAAGCTGGGACCATGTCCTCAGGAACAGGGACAGGGACATGGGGTAGGGACCTCATACAGTGAGGGGTTGAAGGGAAGGGGCCAACTTGGGAGGCCCCCAGGTTTTACTCCCTGAAGACAGGCCTGGGTGCTGAGTGGGTTCCCGCCTCCTTCTCCTCACTGGAGGGCAGCTGAGTGCTCCCAGGAGCACCACCAAGAGAGCCATGGACAGCCGGCTTGCTATGGGCTCCAAGCCTGGTCCTGATCTGCAGCCTGCAGCCCCAGGCCTGAGCAGGAGCAGGAAGGCCTCTGGAGGCTGTGCCTTCTGCCCTGTGAGATGGGCCCACCCCATTCCCTGCCCACTCGCTCCGGGCCCCCAGGCTTGGCACCGCTGCATGGCACCCGAGTAGCAGGGTGAGAAGAGGCGGAGGCGAGAGCCTGCTTGTGTGGTGCGAACCCTCCCAGCCTCCGCTCTGCTAATTAAACCATCTCCTGACAAAACCCAGACTTTCAGGGTATTTGCGAGAGTGTGCGAGCCAGGCCGTGGGTGGCTTCAGGAGTCTGTGCCGCCCGGCCGGCGGGCCTGGGCCTTTGCCAGCGCCCACCCTCAAGATGGCCATCAGAGAAACTCAGCAGGCAGCGCCCAGAGCAGGGCACTTCAGGGGTGCGGGGCCCACTCGCCCAGGACGGAGCTTCTCTTGCCACGGGACATCTCCCCTTCTTTATTTTCTTCCTTCCTTCCCTTCACATGTGGGCAGCTCTGGCCAGAGGTGGCCTGGGAGTTCACCCATCCCTTGGTGCTGAGTTGGCAGAGAAGCCCAAATTGGGCGCAGACCGTAGCCACCTGCCCCTCCCTACCTGCCCCACTGGACCCAGCAGTCCCTCCCTGTACTTTCTGGGGGGTCTGGAGGCCCAGTTCTGCCAGGCTCAGGATGCTGCAGAGGGGGAGGGTTCCCTAGCTGAAGCTGCCGTCCTCACAGTGCAGCTGAGCAACAGGGACCTAGAAACAGCTGCCAGTGGGCACCGCCATCCCCGGGCAGCAGGGAGACAGGAGCAGGCAGGCGCCTGAAGAGTTCTCATCCGCCTGGAGTGCTCTTGTGCCTTTGCAATCTCCTCCCAGCAAGGGTAGGCAGGAACTCCCGGGCCCAGACGCTGAGAGAGTGGGTGAGCGGGGGACCAGCAAGGGCCACTCGCACCCAGCTCACGGAGGGACAGGCATCGGCTCTCAGCTCTGCCGGGGGAGGCCCTCGAAGGGACACAGCTGGCAGTGTGCTTGGAGGGTATGGGGACACGGCAGCCCCCCACAGGCCTGCCCTCTTCCCCTCAGGGAGGGGCACTGCGGCCAGAGCCTGCCCCTTCACAGAGCAACTCTAGGCACAAAAGGGGGAGAGGGTAGGGTGCGGTGGCTCATGCCTGTAATCCCAGCACTTTGGGAGGCTGAGGCAGGCGGATAACTTGAGGTCAGGAGTTCGAGACCAGCCTGGCCAACATGTTGATACCCCCGTGTCTACTAAAAATAAAAAAATTAGCTGGGCGTGATGGCAGGCGCCTGTAATCCCAGCTACTCGGTGGGCTGAGGCAAGAGAATTGCTTGAACCCGGAAGGCGGAGGTTGCAGTGAGCCGAGATCATACCACTGCACTTCATCATCCTGGGCAGCACAGCGAGACTCAGTCTCAAAAAAAAAAAAGAGGGGACAGGAACGACCACTTGCCTGCCAGCTCTACCTGGCAGACCTCACTGTAATGCGTCGCCCGTGCCCATTAGGGACCGTGTCCAGCCTAGAGGAAGCTCGGGGTGATGAACCTGGCGCCACCAGCCAAGGCCGGAACCTCTTCTTTCAGGAAATTGGCCTGCTTTTGTCGGCAGAACAGTGGCTGTTCGACCCCCTGCCTGCCCGTCACAGTGCTCTTGGCTGGCCCTTGGCCAAGGCAGGTGGTGGAGCCGGCGGGCAGCCCTGGTCCCCTCCTGGCCTCCAGGGTCTGGGCACTCTCACAGCGTCTCCTGGCAGCCTGGCTGTGAAGTGGGCCCCACGCTGTCCCCACGCTGGAGCTCTCAAGTGGCAGTTTGAAGCAGCACTGTGCTGGCTGCAGCGCGACATATCCTGCAGGCTCATGGGCCCCTGGGGGGTGGGGGGACCACTGCTGGAGACTCCCCAGGGAGAAAGCGAGGAGCTGTCAGAGAACCCAGGCTCTGCCCAAAGGCAGTCAGCTCCCTCCCTCGGCTGCCCCTTCCCCAGACCCTCCCCTCAGCCTCGCGCTCCTCCATTCAGGTCTCAACCCCTGACTTGGAGCCCCTCTTGGCCTATTTCAGGAGCCCCCTGCTCACTTCCTTCAAGGGCTCCGTGCTAGTGCTGGGGGTCCAGTGTGCAGCACCTCCCTCCGCCTGCTGCATCTAGAAACCCAGCCCTCCTCAGACCTCCGCTGTGAGCTGGGGATTCCAGTCCACACATATGCCATCATCCGAGTTACTCAGGTGCAGCTGGGGGAAGCCGCCTTTCCTTCCAGAAGCATCCACTAGCAACCTCAGTTCTCTACTTCCCTCCCACCAGCTCTGCCAGCCTCCAGCCCCCAGGGACAGGTGCCCTCTCACTCAGCTCCCAGCTCTCTGGTTTCCCTGCACCAGCAAGAGCCTGTGCCAAGGGATTTTTTGCCTGTGTTGGAAATCTCCCACCCTTTCCCTCCTTCCCATAAACATGCTCTCTCTGGCCGAGAGCAATGCTGTGCGCTCGGCCCAGGCGGCCAGACTTTGTTAATATTTACAGCGAGTGGCTCAGGAAGCTATTAGCTTCCTTTTCTTGTTGTTAATTGAAAGAGGAGAAAATGGTTGTAACACTTCAAAAGAACTTAAAGTGCGCCTGAGAGACTAGCTGAATTGGGAGGAATGGGGGAAAAAGAGAGACTATTTTAAATAAATAAAGCAAGCAAGCCAGCCCACACCTCACACGAGAGTGGAATGTCGTTCCTTCCCCATCTTTGCAGACGCCTGGCTTTCCTCTGAGGTTTCCTTAGTGCCTCTCATTGTATATTTTCCTTTTCATTTGGGAGCCTGCCTTAAGGAGAGAAGCAGGAAGAGAAAGCATTCGCGGCACACTTTTGTTAATAACGAGGCTCTTTGAAGCCACAGCTAACGAGGCCCCTAGTACTTTCACTCCTGGAGCACACGGGGCTGGGAAACCTGTGGCTACCTCCCCTCTTGGGACACAGGCCCAGATGGGACATTCGGCGAAATCCACTCCTGGGCCCCCCAACCTGGATGTGACCTCTGGGAAGTGCTTCAGCCTCAGTTCCCCTGTGAACCCCAGGCACAGCCAAGGATGCCGTGGTCGTGGGGTCAGGGGTGACTTTCTAAATCCTGGTAGATAGGGGTCAGCATTGAGAGGCCTCTGGCCTCTGTGGTCAGCCTCCCTGAACCACTTTTCCCAAAGACAAATGGTCCCGCCCGCAGCAGCCACACACTGAGCCTCCGGAGTCTGCCCCATGACGTACGCGACCCAATGGCTCTGCCAGTCAGCCTGCGGTTAGGCAGGGGCAGGGATGGATGACTCAGGAGGCCTTCACTCCAGGAGCCTGCCATTCATTTCTAACTGACAACTGTTTCTTCCTCCAGGAAGCTTCCCTGACCCTTCCTTGTCCCCAGCCTGCTTAACTTTGTTTTTTGGGATTTTTTTTTTTTTTTAAGTTGGAGTCTCACTCTGTCGCCCAGGCTGGAGTGCAGTGGCATGATCTCAGCTCACTGCAACCTCCGCCTCCTGGGTTCAAGCAATTATCTGCCTCAGCCTCCTGAGTAGCTGGGATTTCAGGCGCCTGTCACCATGCCCGGCTAACTTTTTTTGTATTTTTAGTAGAGACGTGGTTTTACCGTCTTCCAGGTTGGTCTTGAACTCCTGACCTTGTGCTCCACCCGCTTTGGCCTCCCAAAGTTCTGGGATTACAGGCGTGAGCCACCACGCCCAGCCTAAGCTTTGTATTTTTAATAGAGTCGGGGTTTCACCATGTTGTCCAGGCTGGTCTCAAACTCCTGACCTCAGATGATCTGCCTGGCTTGGCCTCCCAAAGTGCTGGGATTACAGGCATAAGCCACTGCGCCCGGCCCTGGCCTGCTTAGCTTTGGCCTCTCAGGCTCCCCTGGCACCGTGCTTTCTATCAGCCAGCTATCCTCTGCTTCTGCAGAGCAAGGTGATTCACTGTACCAGACACAGAGGGACACCTTGCCCCCAGCTTCTGGTTGCTGCACAGGCTGTATTAATGGAGGAATCAATGGTATATTGAAGGAGGTGATCACTGTACCACCTCCTCCCTCCTTCCACCCTGGCCAGGCCAGACTAGAACACTGTTCTGTTCTGGGCTCTTAGAGACACACAGCCACACTACAGAGCGGGAGGCCCAGTGGGTGGGGAGTGACCTTGGCCATGACCAAGAGGGGGTGGGGCTTGTTCAGCCCTGTCCAGGGAAGAGGGCAGTCTCCTGTCTTCAGCAGAGAAGGAAGACCGACCTGTTCTGGGAGGCCCAAGAACTGGAAGGACTGGGAGGGAAGGACTGGGAGGGATGGAGTTAAGAAAGAAATCTGTACCAGGCAGAGATGCCCAAAGGTGGGCCAGGCTGCCCCCACCAGGGGCATCCATACCTAGTCTACATGGCCACTGGCAGAGATGCCAGGCAGCGGTGAGCATGCCAGGTGGAGGCCTGGCTTCCCGGCTCACTCAGCCCTTGCCCTCTCCACCGGGGAGTATAATTGTCTTTTCCCAATGGGCCGTGAGCTCTTACGGGTAAGGACTGTGTCCGCAGCAGTGACAACACCAGCAGCTGACTCGATCGAGTTCTAGATGGCCCAGGCACACAGAGCTGAGATGTTGATGTGGATAATAATAATAATACTAACAACAGTAGTGGCCGCCCTGTGTTGTGTCCGAGGCAGACACTATTCACACGTCGCCTCACTGAATGCACAGGCACTGTTATTACCATTCCAATTTTCCACCTGAGAAAACAGATATTCAGGAGCCTGCCCAGGGTCCCACAGGGGGTCTGCTCCAGAGCCTGGATGCAAACTCACTCCTCTCTCCACTCCGGGTCCTCAAGGCCACACCAGCCACTCCGGTGTGGCCAGGGACTAAAGGTTGGCTGGAGGCTGCAAGCCGAACTCCCTCTGCAGGGTCACAGGGCACATTAGCATATTAAAGGATCTGAGAAGTCCTGCGGCAAAGATGCCAATTGAAGTTTGTTCACTCCAGCGGTTACCCATTGACTTTGTCTTTGGTGACACGTGTTAACCTCCCAGCGTTCATGTCTTCTTCAAACCATGCTTGGGGAGATGCTGTGGGTGTTCATGCACCCGTTTACTCAGGCTTTTGGTAAGGGGCTGCTGTGTGCCATGCAGGGGCCTGGTGCTGGTGACATGCAGTGGTGAGGATAGGCCTGTCCCTGCCCTGTGCCTCCCTGGTACCCAGCTGGTGGCTGGCACACAGTGGCACACGTGCCTGCAGCAAGTGAGGGCTGAATGAGAGTGGGAGTGGACGGGGCAGAGGAGCCGGGCTGGGCCATGGGAAGGCACGTGTCATGACCACACGCGGTCTCTGAGCGGCCCCATCTCCTCCCATCGTGGATGCTGTGTCAAGACCTCTGGCCACACCCAACCTCAACCTCTCCAGCGGCACATAGGCCCCTGGGAGGCCCCACCAGCCCTCCATAGGCAGGGTCAGAGCCCTCTGCCCCCACCCCAGGACCCCTGCCAGGCCCAGCACCTCTTTCCTTCCCTTCAGGCTCTGTGTCTCTGGCCTTGACATTCTGATCACATCCCCTGGCCTGCCTGGAATACTAATTCTCCCCATATGAAACCATCCGTGTTTAATTTTTTTAAGAGGCAGACAGAAAGACAAGAACAGGGGAGACGTTAGTGGGTAGGAATTAGAGCCCTCTTTGGAGCCTGAGACTGTGCAGTGACTCCACCCACTCGGGATGCCACGGCGACCCTAACACGGGCCAAGCTTGGAGGCCAGGAAGGACGGTGGCCTTTTGAATACACCAGAGTGTGCTATGGTCCTGGCTTGGGTGGGAGGATTGTTTTTTGGGACCCTCAGGAGCTGAGATCACGTGGGGATAGAGGGCCGGCAGCCCCGCTGTCCTCTACCACCTGAGAGCCCAGAGTGACGCCACTGCCCTCAGTATGCTTCCTGCAGCCCCAGAGAGAGGCCTCGGGACACAGAGAAGAGTGGCCAGATGGTGGGATTGGCCCAGCAGCCGCTCTGGTGCTCCTGCCTTTGGCTGTGCTGGGCCTCAGCAGCCTCCTGGGGGACTGGGGTAGTGGCCCACTGTCAGGAGGGCTGTTGTGGGAAGAACAGTAAGCCTTGCTGGAGGGGACAGGACAGTGCTAATGGCCAGTGTCCAGGTGGGGAGTTGGGGCCCCTCGTGCAACTTCAGCAGCTGTGCCCCTTGGGCCGAGTGTCTTCTGAACATCAGTCTCCTTATCTGTCGGATGGGGGGATGGTGGCGGCAACGTCCTAGGCTGTGGCAAGGACTCCAGGAGGTGCTGTGCAAACGCCCGAAGGACTGGCCCAGCTCTCCCTGGGCATGCACCTCAGCTACTGTTGTAACCCACCAACCCCAACCCCACCCCAGCCTCACCCCTGTAGGCTCGTCCCCCACATCCACCTCCCTGGCACCAGTGCAGCCCTGGGGCAAAAGCTGCGGTGGTGCCACCCGCCCCCCAACCTCCCTACCTGGCATCCTCATGTCCCCAGAGGAATGAATGAGATTGTAACGGCAGGAAACTTGACAGAAAATGAAACGTGATGAAATCAGCTACGTGAGTGATGAAATCCAAATCCCAGCCTCCTTCTGAGGCAGGATGAACTCTGTCCCACACTCCGTGGGCTGCAGACCCTGCAGCGGAGGCTGCCACTGCCCACTTCCCTTGCCCCAGGAGCTGGAGTCTTAGGCCCCCTCCCCATCCCTCTTCTATCCTCCTCCCATGCCCCCTCCCCACCCTCTCTTCCCTCCTTCTCCTCTCCCTTCTCCCCTCCTCCTCCCATGTCCCTCCTCATCTTCTCTTCCCTCCTCCTCCTCTGTCTTCTTTCTCCCCTCCCTCCTCCCCCTTCTCCTAGGCACAGTCAGCAGTCAGTAACCAACTGACCCAGAGGTCAGAGGTCAGTGCTGCAGATTCTGCCAGTGCCCCCTACAGGGCAGACCAAACTGTGACCACCCTGGCTGTCCCTCCCCCTGCCCTCTCCTGCTTTACTTCGTCCCTCAGGGCTCCCTGGGAGTGCAGGGCTGGACCCGACTCGGGCTCTGCTTCTGCAGAGCCCCAGAGACAAACCCCAAGTGCCTGGTGGAGAGACGCCGCCACCCCGCCCCCCTTTTAGTCTTGGGATGTGGTGGAGAGACGCTGCCACCCCTGCCCCCATTTTAGTCTTGGGACGTCCCCGCCTCAGAGAAGTGGTCTGTTGGTGGCTGGGGACAAGGCCTGGGGCTGCGCAGTGCTCCAGCTGGGACCCCTCCTGCGGCGATGGCTGGCCACAGCCTCCACTTCCTGCCTCATCCCGGAGCCTCCTGGCCCAGCCACCTGTGAGCAGGCAGAGCCGGTCGAGGGAGGGCCCGGGGAAGCAAATGTGGTTATTTGGCCTCCTCCTCCTCCTCCACCTCAGGGGCTGCCTCGTAAATTATTATCGACCCACTGCTGCCCGGGCTGGAGGTGAGTTGAGGAAATAAAGCACCAGGCTCAGTAATTGTGCCCTGCTGCCTGAGTTTACTTATTTGTGGCTTTCCTACCCACTAAGAAACGAGACGATAAATAACTGCTGACTATTAGACTCCCAGACGGGAAAAGCAACGCACGATGCATTTCCCGAGGATGAGCAAAGGCTGGAGACCCACACGCCCGTTGGCCTTTCCCACACCCTGTCACCCTGTGGACTCAGGCTGTTCGGGGCCTGAAACCTGGGGCCTGGGAAGACAGGCAGAGATGAGTCCCTAGCCCCGTGGGGAGAGGGTGCATATCTTCCCCTCCCCCAGCCCCATTCTAGAAGGTTCTGGGCTCAGGATGACACAGCTGTTGAGTCCAGTCACAGGCTTTGTGTTTCCCTTTTGTTTGTTACTTGGATGGAGGGCCTTGTCATAAGTGCTGAAACAATGAAGACGCCATCTTATCCAATCCTCTCACTTTACAGGGCGTGGGGGGCAAACTGAGGCTCAGAGAGGTGAATGCCCTGCCCAGGGTCACACAGGGCAGAGCTGGTCTCGACTCCAGCACCATCATCCTCCTCATTCTTTCCCTGGGGGCAGGACACCTATGAGTGGGCACAGAGACTGGCATTAGGAGCCCTTACCCTCCTCTCAGCCCTGCCCCCACGGGACTGGCAGCTTCCCCGATGGCACTGTCTCAGGGCCTCTCACCCTCCCTCAAGAGCCCCACTTTGTCCAGGCCCTGGGCCAGCTTCTCTCAAGGCATCACCTCCACCCCAGGAGTGGGGCCAGGCTGGGACTGGGGAGTTCCTTGCTCTGAGAACAGTCTCCCCAAGTTTTCAGCCGCTTTCTCTGGTCCGTGGCTGCCGACCCGGCAGCTGGGAAGGAAAGTGCATGGATAACAGGAGGAGGCTGGAGAATGCCCTGGGGGAGTCAGGGGAGGGGGCTGGACCCACACCTGTGTTGAATCCCACCCCTGCTCCGTGAGGTGACGACTCCTCCATGTTACAGATGGGGAATCTGGGCTCAGAGATGATAAGCCTCCTGCCCCAGGTCTAGGGGACTTGCGGGCCCTATTTTGACCGAGTTTGGGTCCGAATCCCTGGCACACTGGGACACTTGGCTGCCCTACCCCGGTCTCACAGCTGGTAAACAGCAGCACCAAGCCCTGCTCCCCCACCCAGAGCCCGGGGCCCTCACCTCCGCGGTGCAATGCCAGCCCCTCAGCAGAGCACTTGTCCCGTCAGATCACTCCCCGACCCGCCCTGTGCCTGGAAGGCTGCTGGTCACCAGCGGGCTCCTGGGCTCCTGCCTTCCGGCTGGGTTCACAGAGGAGCCACAGCAGCAGGCCGGAGGGAGGGAGGACAGCCGGCGGGGCACGAGTTCCTGAGGCTTCCCTCTCTTGTCAGTGGCCCTCCCAGTGGCTTCGGTGGCTCTCTCTGAGTCTGGTAACCTCTGCCTCCTCCCCAGCCTCCATGGTGACAGCTGCCCACCTTCCCCTGTTGGTTTCCTAACCCCGCCCATGACTTTGTGAACCGCACCTTCAATACACCCGATTCCGCCTGCGATCCTGCCTAGTGCCCCTGCCAAGTAATAACAGAACAGCCACTCCCACCCACCAAGAGCCCATCATGTGCCAGGCTCTGTTCAGTCTCTTACTGTCTGCTGTCGTTCATCTCGTGCTCTTAGTGACCTGGGGAAACACACGATTATCCCCATTTCATAGACAGGGCAGCCGAGACCCAGAGGGGTCGAGTGACTTGCCGTGGGTCACACAACCAATAAGGGTGGCCTGGTGGTGTGTGCTGATGGAAAAACAAAACCCGGGGAGGAGGAGGAGAGACCTGCTCCAGGCCAGGAGAAACACACTGTAAAGGGTGGTGCCACCTGCAGGTGAGAGGAGAGTCAGCCTCTGCCGTCCTGGTGAGGAAGGGGAGGCTAGGCAGCCAGCTCCTGAGCGCCTGCCCTGCCCCAGGCCCACAGCCGCACCTGCAGGGCTCACAGGGAGGATGCTTGTGCCGGCCTTCCACAGGTGAGGACCCCGAGGCCCGCAGACAGTCACGCCCAAGGCCCCACTGCCCCCTGGTCTATGCTGCCCCTCCCTGGCCCCGCCTGGCCACCGAGCCTAGTGACGCAAGGTCCCCCCATCTCCTGGCTACGGCTCCCCTGGGTGCTTGCCTGGTCCCTCCCCAGAGGAGGCAGCGACTTTTACCAACCTCCCCACCCTACACCCCTGGAGGAGTCTGGCTGCTTTGGGTCCCTGCGGGGTTCAACTTTATTTTTGCAGAGCACTTTCTGAGTAACAGAACTCCTGGGGCCCTGGGGTGGAGATAGAGGGGCCAAGTGCCTATGGGAAGAGCCAGGGGAGGCCCAGAGAGCCAGTGACAGGGCCACCAGGGCCTCCACCACCGGGGTGTTTCCACACCACAGCCCCTCTCGAGGCCCTCCCAGCTCTGGCCCCTCGAACAGCTGAGGAGGCCCGGCCTCCCCTCCTGACACAATCCAGGCCTCTCCACCTCTCCCCTGTCGCAGAAAGAAGGAGCTAAGCCCTGTGTACCCACTGCCTTCATCTCCTGAAACAGCCCCCAGGAGAGTGGTCTGTGGACCCCACAGTGCAGAGAAGCCAGCCCTGGGCAGGCGTCCAGCCTCCGGTCATTCAGACGTGCACAGCGTGCTCTGTGTACTGGGTGGACAGGGTGAGGGACCACAAGGACCAGGCCAAGCATGCAGCATCATGAGATCATCACAGGAGAGTGAATATGAGGACAAGGACCCGTGGCTGCATGTCCTGCAGGGTGGCTGGGGCCGCGGGCAAGGCCAGCCTTGCAGGCTGCAGCGAGTGAAGCTGCAGGATGCTGGTACCAGCTGCGCCCATTTCTTGGGGACTGCGTGCTTGCCTCCAAGCCCAGAGCTCCAGCAAGGGGTGGCAACTGTGGAGAGGTGTGGCCAACTGGACCCTGCCCAGTCTGGTTCCCAGAGAACCTGGCTTTCTTGGGAGGCAGACGCACCCCGGAGTCTCCTCGGGCTGGGGACAACCGGCCTGTGGTCAGGGCTACAGCCGTGGCAGGGGTGGCAGGGGTGGCAGGGTTGGGGTGAGGTCTGGGTGGCGGACCCTGTTCCCACATCCGAAGTGACAGGAGCAGGTTGATTTCCCTGCACAGAGGGCATGGAACTGGGGCAGGGGCCCAGGAGAGCAGTGGGGGCGCTGCACAGGTGCACTTCTGCCAGATCCAAGAATCGGAGACCTCACTGAACCGTGCCGTCATTTATTTTAATGCCTCTGTGGCCCACATTTGGGTCCAGGTGAAATATGGCCCCATATCATTTACCAGTGGGGATGTTAATTGTGCTTTGCTGTGGGAGGACAAACACATCCAGGGGGTGTCGGTCACTGTGGCAGCTGTTCAGGGTGGCCACGTGGCTGCTGTGTAGGTGGAGGCCGGGGAGGGGTCATCTCCCTGCGTCAAAAGGCTTCTCTTCATACCCCGCCATCAAGGAGAGAGGCAGTGACAGCTCCTGCCAGGACAGGGAAGGGCTAGCGGGCTGCCTGCTACCTCCCCTCCCAGCTCCATCCCCAGCCGCCACCCCTAGCACCGCCTGTGGAAGTCACGGGCTAGTTGGAGGAGCGGATGAGGGCTCACGTCCAGCTCCACAGCTGCTTGGGTGATCTGGGTGTGTCTACATCTCTGTACTGTGAGCACGAGAACCTTCCTTCTTCATGCCCTTCTCCCCCTCTCTGTCTTCCCTGAACACATGATGTGAGTCCCTGGAGCATGAATAGGAGTCTCAGACAGAAGTGGGGCTGCAGGGGCCGGAAAAAGCACCCCAGTCGCAGAACCGCTGTGCAAAGGCCCGGAGGCAGGAGGAAGGCTGGCTTTGTGGCTGTCCTGAGACAACTCAGCCTGGGGCAGGGCGGTCAGCTAGGGGACCTCAGGGAAGGGCCTGGACTTCCTCCTGAGGGCATGGGGAGAGCAGAGGGACAGGTTTGGACTGGAGAGTAGAAAGCTGGGGGTGGGGAGGGAATGTTCCATCCTCTGAGCTCGGGGGTAGTCACAAGGGCACCATATGCATATGTAAGATTCACAGGTCTTAGAACTGCACACCCCAGGCTGTGCAGGTGCCGGTATGCACTTTACGCCTCCTAAAACCACAATTCAACAAAGGAAGCCTCCCTCTGGCCCCGAATGCAAGACCTGGGGCAGGGTGGGCTCTGAGCTAAGCCCCTCCTCCCCACTCCAGCCCTGGGGGATCCCACTGTTGAGTCCCGGCTTCCCCTGAATGGCTGTGTGTGCGCAGCCACCCACCCCACCAGTGCTGAGTGCTCATGGCCTGGCCCAGCCGACTCAGCTCACAGCCCCCAGGGCTCCATAGGGAGGGAGGGCAGGGACAGGCTGTGGCCACCTCCACCCCCACCCTCCCTCCCTGAGCCTCCTTTGAGGCTGCAAGCCCACTAACCATCTGCTGAGGCAGGGGCTGGGGGCGCAGGAAGGGCACCTGAGCCTCCCCTTCTGTGGGGGTGGGGTGGCCCCTGAGAAGGGCCCCCTTTCCTCACCCCCCAGGACTTTATCTGCATCATCTCTTATTCCTCCTGCATCCCTGCTGGGGATGCTGTTATTCCCCGACTTGCCCAGCTGAGGAAACTGAGGCCTGAGAAGTTAAGGTTGCTGGGAGAAGCAGGCCCCCAATGGACAACACTGAACTTCCTCCTGGGACAGCCTGCAAGGTTGCCCCTGGGCCTGTCTGTGGGTGACCGTCCCACTTCCCAAGGCAGGTAGGCCCAGCCTCCCCACAGCCATGTGGGGCAGAGGAACAAGGCTGTCGCTGTGCTGGCCCACGCTGCGGCCTGGGGTGGACCCGGGCGGGCGGCAGGGGACGTACTTAGTGGAAGATTTATGAGCTGGGTTAAAATTTAATTTGGGTGGACAATCCCAGCCAGCTAAGCCGGCCGCCCCAGACACATGGCCTGGTCCCGGCAGCCCCGTGGTTGGGCCTGGCCTCCCTGCCAGTCTCCCCCGCCCTCCGTCCCCGGAAGGCAGGCAGCCCGCCGCCCCCAGAGAAATATTAGCACGAATTCGATTTGGGGTGGGAGCAGCGGGCGCTGAGGCTTGTTTGCACTTCAGTTCAAAATTGAACAGGACAGAATCAGCTCTGGCCAGGAACCACCTCCGTGGTGCCCAGGGACAGCGCTGCTCTCCAAGGAGCCCCGCTAAGCCTTCCAGCTCCCCACCTGTCCACTCGGGCGTGCTCCTCCAAGCTGCCCTCTGCCCTCAAGCCCCATCCTCTGCCCAGAACCCCCAATCCTCCCTGGTGCCCCACTGCATGGGCTTGAAACCTACTGATATGTTGGGGGATCTGTGCAATGACTGAACCTCTCTGAGCCTCAGTTTCTTTATCTGTAAAATGGGGATAATAGGACCCATTGTTATAGTAAGGCAGAGTTAGAACTGTGTCTGCATGTGGCCTCCCCATAGACGGAAACCCTTGTTGTGGGAGGGCAGCACCAAGGCTGGCTGGAGGGAGCAGGGGGACTGCAGAGCCCCCACACACGCAGCTCTCCCTGTGAGTCCTGTGGTCTTGCGCCCCTCCCGGGCCGGGGCATTACCTCTTTGGACCTTGGGGCTACGGTTCTTGGTTGCCCAGTCTGGGCTGGCGGGTGAGGGAGAATGCTGGGGTCACCAAGGCACGAGGTGTGGCCTAGGGCTGAGCCGAAGCAGCACGGGCACGTGGACAGCCCTGCTCCCTCCTGACTGGCCCTGCCCAACCTGCCCATCACTCTTTGACCCCACTGCCATGCGCTGGGTCCCTTCTAGGCGCTGTCCTAAGTGGGTACTGTCCACCCATTTTACAGAGAAGGAAAGTGAGGCTCAGAGAGGCAAAGAAACTGCCTCAGGCCTGCAGCAGCGATGACCCAAGCCCAGGCCCCGTGACCCCAAGGCTCACTGTCCTCCCACCCTCGCTGCCTCTTTGCTGCTGCCTCCACAGCGCCTGCCCACAGTGCAGGGAGGGGGCTTCGCGGGAAAGGTAGGCAGCTCAGGCAGCGGGGGCAGAGCAGGAAATGCACGTGGGCAGAGCACGTGGCAGGGGCTCCTCGAGGCTGGGGGACAGGCATCCCCCACTCTCACACATGTGTTCCTGCTGCCTCTGGCCAGGATCCAGGCATGGAAATAGCCGTGTCACCTTTGGAGGCTGAGTCCCTGTCACTGCTTTGCCCCAGGCCTGGGAGGGGGCTGAGAGGAGGGGGAGGCAGCATCCTCCAGGACTGCAGAAGGCGCGCGTGCCATGCACTCATGTACAGGTATACCTACACGCACACGCTCATAGATGCACACACAGGCCCGTGTGCAGGATGGCAGGGACACACTATGGAAACCTCAGTCTCTGCCTCACCACCAGCTCTGCCTCCTGAGGGACCAGTGAAAGGCCGGAACCCAGCACGTGTTCCAGTTGTGTAAATGACACTCTTCATGTCAGCCCACAGCAGCGCCGGGCTGCCGCATATGTGCCCCTGCCCACGGGGCCGGCCGCACGCCCGCCTGCACGCTGCTCACACTCGCCCAGCACCCCCCAGGTCAGCGCCCCTCACCGGCCCTGGCAGATCCGTCGGTCTGTTGATGCCAACCCCTGCTGACTCACCCCTTGACCTTGGGAATTTGGGGCTGGGGCCCTTCAGGAGTCACCGAACCCCCATTCCACACACTAGCAGAAGACCTGGAGCCAGTCTGGCGAGTCCCATTCCTATTTTGATAACCAGGTCCTAGCTCTGACCCGGCGTTGGCATCTCACTGCGGCCTCTCATTACTCACTTACATGCTTATTTATTTATTCCCGGCTCGTTCTCGAAAGGATTTGTGGCAGCTTACAGAAATACAACATAATACGAGAGGATCAAGAGGAGGGAGGGAGACGGGATGGAAAAAAGCCAGGCACCCGAAGCGGACAGGCTGGGGTTCAAATCCTGCCATTTGCTTCTTTTATTTTTGGGGGACAGAGTCTCACTGTGTTGCCCAGGCAGTGTTGCCAGGCTGGAGTGCAGTGGTGCAATCTCAGCTCATGGCAATCTCCACTTCCTGGGTTCAAGAGATTCTCCTGCCTCAGCCTCTGGAGTAGCTGGGACTATAGGTGCCCACCACCATGCCCAGCTGTTTTTTTGTATTTTAGTAGAGATGGGGTTTCACCATGTTGCCAAGGCTGGTCTCGAACTCCTGAGCTCAGGCAATCTACCCACCTCGGCCTCCCAAAGTGCCGGGATTACAAGCATGAGCCACTGCACCCGGCTCCATTTACATATTATACTGCTGTTTACTCATTCATCTTTGGCCTGTGGAGTCACTTTGCCCCCCTGAGCCTCAGTTTCCTCACCTGTGAAATGGGGATGATGATACCCACTGGGTGGGTTGTTAATGGGATATGAGAAAACGCCAGGGGAGACTAAGCCAGCACTTGGCACACAGGAGGTGCCAATGGCACACGGCAGCTGCTGTGACGAGGAAGGAAGGCAGAGAGAGGTCAGGGCAGGGACAGATGAGGGCAGAGAGGCAGGGGGCCCTGGGCTGGAGCAGGCACAGCCCTGCCTACCTCGGTGTCTGGTGCCCTGTGGGTCGTGGTGATGTCTGAGCTGAGGGAAACAGGGGAAATGGGAGCAGGTGACTTTCAGGGGTCCCAAATGCCAAGGCCCAGGAATCCCCTCTGAGTCCTCTCAGGAGGATGCTCCACATTCCTTGTGTGAGACCCAGGGGCCTGCAGGGTGGAGCAGGACAGGGGTCTGGGGCTCCAGGCTGGGGGTCCCCACCCTCCCACCTGGTGCCTGCACTCAGAGGTTCCGTCTTCAGCCCAGGGACCCCTAAGCTTCACCTGAATCTGAACCCTACTTCCGCCTGGAGCTCTGACTCCCACGGCCACCACCGTTAGGCACCGAGCCTTGTTTCACCCCCTGGGACCAGCTCTTGGCCCCAGCCTGGCCCTCAGTCCCTCAGCCCTGCCCTCAAGCCCCTCACCTGCCTGCCCCTCACCTTAGGACGCCCCCACTTCAGGCTCCCTCCCAGCCATCAATCACTCCAGCCATGCTCCTGGCCCCCGTCCTGCCTTCCACGGTCCCCCCGGATCATCCTCCACCCAGCGTCTCTGCTGGCTGCTCAGAGCAGGAGGCAAGATTTTCTCCACCCCCCAGGCTCAGCCATCCTCTGCTAAGCAGGGGCCCAGTGCTGCCGAGAGCACCAATATTTAAGGGATGTTTCGCGCCTGCTCCTGGCTCTGGCCTGCTCCTGGCTCTGGCCTCCCTCCCGGGAGGCTCCAGGCGCAGCCACAGGAGGGCCTGGGGAGATGGGCACAGCCCCATCTGTTCTCGCCACGGCCCCTCTGCCCCAGCCCAGGACGCTGCAGCTCACACACTTTTCAACCTGTCACGGGATCCGGCGCCCGCTCTGTAAATGGCTGCTTTATTGACACAGCTGTGGGGATGGCATGTCCATTTAGAACACAGCAGGTAGAACGCGGCACTCGAGAGCCGGGAGTCCAGAGGGCTGCAGGATGCTGCCAAGCTCCAGCCCCACCACCGAGCAGCCACTGGAACCACGGCCTCAGTCTTCATGTCTGTGAATTGGGGAGAACGGACCCGGACCTCTCTCCGGCAGCTCCAGGAGGCAGTGGAGGAGGGCTGTCAGGCTCGGCTCTGGACCTGGAGTTGGGATGCTGTGTGGCCAACCCCCAAGCAGGAACAGGCTTCAGCCACACGCCCTCACCTGCATGGTTCAAGCAGAAAAGCATGTATGGGGCGCCGACTGAATACCAGAGTCTACACCCAGAGTGGTCCCCTTCCTCACCTTGCTCCCTGTCTTTGGCCTGTGCCTTCAGCCGCTCTGATAATACCCATGATATGTGTGGTTTGCGATGGGGTCGGGGGGGTGTTACACTGATGTTCACTGAACCCCACGTACCAGGCAGGGCTTGTCCTGAGCCCTTGCTGGCACTCTGCCAATCCCTGTATGAGGGTCACAGCTGGGACAGGTCCCAGGACCACAGTGCTGTTGTAACGTCCCTGAGCACGCCCAGCACTCTAGACACCTCAGGATATGCGAGTTCATGGTCATTGATTTTAAAATATGAAGTGTAGGCTGGGCGTGGTGGCTCACGCCTGTAATCCCAGCACTTTGGGAGGCCGAGGTGGGCAGATCACCTGAGGTCAGGAGTTCAAGACCAGCCTGGCCAATATGGTGAAACCCCATCTCTACTAAAACTACAAAAATTAGCTAGGCATGGTGGTGGACACCTGTAATCCCAGCTACTCCAAAGGCTGAGGCAGAAGAATTGTCTGAACCTGGGAGGTGGAGGTTGCAGTGAGCTGAGATCATGCCACTGCACTCCAGCCTAGGGGACAGGGCAAGACTTCATCTCAAAATAAATAAAATAAGAAGTGTAACCTTGGGGGAAGATGGCAGAATGTCCCCTCATTAAACAGACTTCAACAATGTCACATAATTCCAACAGACTGGAGGGACTTCAGGAGCAGTGGGGATTCTCTCAAGGTCTGCCTGCAGCCCGAGTCCTCAGTGCCAGAAACAGCCACTGATGGCTGCTCAGGGTGCCTCTTCCCTCCCCATCACCCCAAGAGTTCTCCCATCACTGAGCCCGAGGACACTGCTGGTCCTCTCTGAGCACCACTGGCTCTAAAAGCCACCCCTGGATCCAGCCGGGGGCCTGTCCCCTCTGCACGTCCTCCTTCCCCGGTCCTGGGTCTGAGAGGTCCTCAGTAGTTGAGGTCTGTGTAGTGGATGCAGGGAGGGGAGGCTCATAAACGTAACTGTATCATAAACGTAACCCTCCCTTGCTGAACGCCTACGTGTTGAGCACTGTACTGGGTGTCTTGTGTTCAACCCTCGCCACCTCTCTTTGATTTAGGTGCTTATTTTTGTCCCTACTTTACAAATGATAAACCTGAGGCTTCTTTTTAGGGGATGAAAATGTTCTGGAATTACATAGGAATCATGGTTGCACAACCTTGTAAATACACACAAAAAAACCCGCTGAATTCTACACGTTGAAGGGGTGACTTTTATGGTATGTGAGTTATATCTCAATGTTTAAAGATGAATTTGAACTAAGCTTATAAAGAAAAATATTCAGCCAGGCACAGTGGCTCACGTCTGTAATCCCAGCACTTTGGGAGGCTGAGGCAGGCAGATCACTTGAGGTCAGGAGTTTGAGACCAGCCTGGCCAACATGTTGATACCCCGTCTCTACTAAAAATACAAAAATTAGCCAGGCATGGTGGCGCACGCCTGTAATCCCCGCTACTCGGGAGGCTGAGACAGGAGAATCGCTTGAACCTGGGAGGCGGAGGTTGCAGTGAACAGGGATGGTGCCATTGCACTCCAGCCTGGGCGACAGAGTGAGACTCCATCTCAAAATTAAATAAAATTCCAGGCTCAGAGAGGGAAAGCAACTTGTTCAAGGTCTCAAGTGAATAACACAGCTGAGGCCTGATCTCAGGTCAGTTTGTCCCTTCCTGTGATACAACCCTGCCTCCCTCATTTACGACTGAAGACAAGCTTCTGTCTTGGTACTCCCTCACTCTGGAGCTGTTGCTGGCTCCCTGTGGCTCCTTCCTGGGGTCCAAGTGGTCCCCAGACCCAGCTGTACCTCCAGATGGAAGTGCCTTCTTCTCCCTCCTTACCTCCACTCCACATTTCTCTGAGCGTGCGCCCCACTCTCTCCCTGAACCCAATCCCCAGTCCTTCCTTTCCCCAACCACACCTCCTCCAGGGGTCTCTGCTCCCACAGGCTTTGAGTGAGGGGCCTCTAGGCCCAACTCTGCCTCCGTCTAGCCCATCTCCCACCCCACGCCCAGGACCCTGGACTCCTCTCTGTGCCCGTGGCGGCTGCGGTCTCTCTCACCTCCAAGCCTTTGCATTTGCTGGTGACTGCTTAAGGCACAGTTCTCATCCCTGCCCCATTCCTGCCCCTGCGTGCCCGGCTGCTCATTTCTTGGATCTTGGCTTCAACACCCACTGTCTTCGCACACCCCCCCATCCCCAACGACCCCCTTCCCTCCTATCATCCCTTGCTCCAAATCTGTCTCCCCTTTAACCGTAACCTCCCAGAGGGCAGACCCCTGTCTGTCTCATTCCCAGAGGCATCTGCAGCGCCAGCTGCACACAGCACAGGTGGGAGCCCCTGTGACCCCTCAAGCCACATGCCAGAGCAGGAAGGGGCCGTGGGGCTCCCTACACACCCTCTTCCCTCATCCCACACACAGTCGTCAGCAAGTCCTTTCCAAATCCAATGAATCCAACCACCTCCCTCCCTCCCGTCCACCGCCCCCCACTGCACCATCTCTTGCCAGGAGACAGCAGCGCCTCCCCACCGCCCCCGGTCTGTCCGCACAGCGGCTCAGCAAGCCCCTGGGAACCCAGTCCCATCACCACCCTCCCCTCAGAACAAATCCATGTTCCTTGTCGGAGTCTACAGACCTCTGTCTCCGCCATTCACCACCCTTAACCGCACTGGCATAAAGATATGTCCTGGAACCTGCCAAACTCCCACTCTGAGTTCTCGCTGTCCCCTCTGCCGAGACAGTCTCCACGGCCAGCTATGTGTCCTCAAGCTGGCCCCTGCCCCCACACCCCCTGCTCAGAGAGGCCTCCCCCCCTGCAGTCACCCGTCTTTTGGGTTTCCTTGTGGCCTGTCTCCCCAGCTTGGGGTGCCCTCCCTGAGGGCAAAGCCTGGCTCCCCCTTTGCTGCTGGGGCACCTCAAAGCTCGGTGAAGAGCACATATTTGTAGGACAAGGATGCAGGAGCCATGATCACCTCAGGAGAGGGCCAGGCAATCCTGTGGCCACCCCCCATGGGACCCTGTGGGGCACAGGGCCGCGCTCACACCACTGCCCACCCAGACAGCTCCCCTCCCGGGTATCCCTCCGATGCTGCAAGGGGAGGCCGGGGTGGAATAACCAGATTAGCCTAAGTGGCTCCTCTTGTTTCCTGGCGTAATTGGATTGAGGCCATGTTTCGGTGCAGCTGCATTTAATATTGTAATTCTGCAGCCGTTCAGCCCCCTGAGAGCAGCTGCTGAACGCAGACGGGCCAGGGACTGGGAGGGGAGGCAGGCCTGCAGGCAGGGGTCCAGGCTGGAGAAGAGGCCAGGGCAGGGGTCTCATGCCTGGGACCT
The DNA here is from genome assembly GCF_000001405.40 of Homo sapiens. Lineage (NCBI taxonomy): Eukaryota > Metazoa > Chordata > Mammalia > Primates > Hominidae > Homo > Homo sapiens. The sequence goes on along the minus strand of NC_000011.10, from coordinate 64,078,266 downwards.
GTGCTGAGAGCACACCTGCCCACCTCCCTTCTGGAGGGCACGTCCTACTGGGCATGGGCATGGCCAGTTCTTTCTGCATCTCTGGGGCGGGCACAGAGCTGGGCACAAGGAGGGTTGAGGTTGAGAGGAAGGAAAGGAGTGCTGCCTGCAGCCCCAAGCCGGCAGGTGCGCAGGGCAGTGTGACTGTGAAAGGGAAGGCCATTCCCAGAGCTGCTGTACCTCCCTGTGCCCGATGCCTGGGCCTTGGGCACGGGGAGAGCGTCTGGGACCCCCGCTGAGGAGGAGGCAGGGGAAAGGAGGCCAGGCTGAGCACGGGCCCATCAGGGCTTAGCTGGCTGCAGGCCACAGTCCCCAGAGGGTCTAAGGGCCTAAACATATCTGCTGTTGCCACCAATCAGGGGGCCCTGGGCTCCTGAAGCCCACCCATAGCCAAAGGAGACTCCTTGCCCAAATGTCCGAGCGGCGGCCGGAGGCCCAGCCAGGGCCCAGTCCAGCCACGGGCTGGGGACTCCTCCCTCGGCAATGCAGTGAGGGGTAGTGACCCCCTGAGACCTGTTTGAATGCTGATGCTCCCAGACAACAAGGGGGCACGGCAGGTGGGGGTGTGCCAGCATGTGCCTCTGAGCGTCCATCTATGAGTTCTGTTCGTGTGTGCCCGTCAGTCTGTGTCTAGGTGGAATGTGTGCACATGTGCACTGGGAGTGAGGGACCCCCCCTGCCCCGCCCCTCACCTTCCCACATGCGGCCTGCAGCCTAGTCTGTCTCCACAAATGCCCATCAGTACCTGGGTCCTGAGGCAAGGCTGATGGGTCTTTAAAAACCAAGAAGCTTGGGGGGAAAATCCGAGGACGGGGCACAGCTGGGGAGGGACAGAGGGCAGGGCAGCCCCGTGACAGGGGCCCCCAATTCCCAGACATTGCTTCTGGAAGCACAGCCCCTGAGAGATGGTGCTGGCCTCCCTGACCCCCTGGATGCAAACATTTCCAGCTGGCCGCCTGGGGTACCTGTTGGGCAAATGAATCACTGGGTCCCTGTGGCTGGTGCCTTTCCAGGTAGCTCCTCCTGGAGGCTCAGACCCAGTTCTGAAGACCTCAGCTGCAGAACAGTTTCTCCATCATCAGGGAGAAGGGGTTCAGGCCTACCCGAGGCTGGACTGAGGTGGAGGGCACTGGGCTGAGGCCTGTGGGGTCTGGGGTCTGTGGACCCCCCTACCCTGCCCTATCTCCCTCCCTCCCATCTACTCCCCACAGCTCAAGGGCCTAGCGACAGCTCCCATCCGTCACTCAGCCCTATTTTTAGGAGGTGATAACCCAGCTGTGAAAATTCTCTCCGTGCTGATCCCTTCCACATGAAGAAGTCTTAGCCCCAAGCCGATGAGTAAGTGTGGCAGCTTGGGAAGGCAAGGGATGGAGGCAGGAAGAGGCTTGCAGGAGGACCGGGGGGCTGCTCACGCAGTAGGAGGGACGGGAGCCCAGAGCCTGGGTCCCACCTTAGCTAGCTCTGCCAACAACAACATGCTCATCGCAGTGTTGTCCTGGATCAAACCTCCGGCTCCTGAAAACATGGAGGACCAACCTCTTTCTGAGCTGTGTGTTCTTAGGCGATTTCGTCTCTCTCTGTGCCTCAGCTTCCTCCTCTGGAAAATGGAGATAATGATAGTATCTGTCCAATAAGGCTGTTGTGAGGATGACTAAGTTCTCTGGCCGAGAACTTAGAGAAGCAACTATGTCTCCAGACCCCAGTGCCAGCACAGGGCCCGGCACAGATGAGACATCATCCGTCCATCCATCCATTCGTCCGTCCGTCCATCCATCCGTCCATCCATCCATCCAGTACAGTTGACCACCTGTGATGTGCCAAGCACTGCTGTGGGCACTGGAGACAATCACGGTCTCCAGGCTGCTCTGGGCACCAGGGAGACTCCAGACCTGTCCCTGTCCCTAACCCCAAGTCAGAGCATGGCATGTGGGGTCTTTTGACCCATGCAGTGGAGGGTCATGGGGGCACCTGGTGAGGGCTGGAGGGTCTTGCTAAGGAAGCAGGACCCTGCATGGTGAGATGGAGGGGCAGGAGCACAGCAAGGGAAGGGTGATGTGTTGGGAGCTGGGAAGGTCGCTGGGGTCAGGGCAGGGGCAGGTGACTGGCAGGGCCAGCCTGTGCTTGAGGGAGAGGCCTCTGGCTGCAGGCTGGATCCACCAGGAGGCTGTGGGAAGGAGGGATTGAGAGAGCGACTTGGAACCAGGGCTTCCTTCACCCCAGCCTGAGGTAGCAGCATGCCAAGAAGACAGGGCCAGGCCGGGCACAGTGGCCCACGCCTGCAATCCCAACACTTTGGGAAGCCGAGGCGGGTGGATCACTTGAGGTCAGGAGTTTGAGACCAGCCTGACCAACATGGTGAAACCCCGTCTCTACTAAAAAAGTACAAAATTAGCTGGGCATGGTGGCTCAAGTCTATAACTCCAGCTACTTGGGAGGCTGAGGCAGGAGAATCCCTTGAACCTGGGAGGTGGAGGTTGCAGTGAGCTGAGATTGTGCCACTGCGCTCCAGCCTGGGCAAGAAGAGCGCAACTCCATCTCAAAAAAAAGAAGCAGCAGCAGCCAGGGCCAGATTCGGGGTCCCCCTTCTTCTCAGCCAGAGCTGTGTAGGTTGTCACTCCATATCAGGATGGAATGGGACAAGGATCTGGCTGCTGAGGGAAGGAGGGCAGCAGGCCAGATCATCCCTCCACCTCTGCCTGTTCCCTCGGTTTGAGCCCAGCTGGGGCCCTGCCACCTACTAGCTGGGCAGCTTTGGGGAAGTTATTTAGCCTCTCTGAGCTTCGGTTGCTTCCATCTGTAAAATGGAAACAATATTGGATTGCAATGAAGAAATGATGGGTATAAAGTGTCAAGCTTGGGATAGTGCCCAGGGAACGGTTTAGACCCAGAAAGATGACTTCTGTCTAAACAGGGTGATGGGATGTCACCTGGAGGGAGGGGCCAAGGGCCAGCCAGGCAGGTCCCAGCCTATCTAGACATGGTCCAGGAGTCCCTGAGAGGCTGGAGCTGGCATGTGGATCAGAATGGTCCAGGCTCATGGCCTCAGACCCTCATGCGCTGCCCTGTGGGGTCAGCCTCACCAACCGTTTTCTCCAAGTGAGAGAAAGAGGCCCAGAGAGACCAAGGTGCTTCCTGAAGCCACAGTGGAGCCCAGGCCTTCCCCAAAGCCAGAACCCCCTGTCCGCACACAGGTGGCTAGGGTGGGGTCTTGAATTCCTGGACCTCCCTTTTCAACCTTAAGGAGAGGGGTACAGTGGTCAGGAGCCCAACTGATTTAATGGGAAGTGACCCCTTTTGCCCCAGGGTGGCATCTCCCTGACCCTGCAGGAGGCTCCCAGATGGAAAGGGGCATGTTCAGGATCCTGGAGTGAGGTCAGAGCTCACCAGGCAGGCCACAGGCTTCCCCACCCCAAGCCCCAGGAACTGGGGAGTGACTCCATTCAATAACCTGCTTGTTTCATGAGAAGCCTGGAGCCTGGTCACCCCTGGGCCTCTGGGGCAGCAGCTCAGGGACCCACAGGGCAGTTTGGTGGTATCTAGCTCCTGGGATAAAGGGGGTCCCACTACTTGGACATGCTGTAAGGGCACAGCCCCCCTTGGGGAAAGCCCAGTTCAGCAATGGGAGAAGGGCTGCCACGGAGGGCCTGCGGGGACATGGAGGTGACATCGGAATTGCTTCTCCACACGTTATTTGCTGCGTGACCTTAGGCCAGAAACTGAACCTCTCTGAGCTCTGTTCCTCATCTATAACATGACAGGTCCTCCCTCCCACGGCTGTTCCTAGGGTCACGTGGGATCCTGTGGGTGGACCACACCCCTGGAGCTCAGCACAGGAAGCTGCTATTAGAAACTGCAGAGGTGAGAGGGCAGTGGTTGGGAAATCCTCCCAGAGCGGGACCTTGCAGAATGCATAGGAGCTCGGCAGCTAGGAAAGGTGGGGAAACCTTCCTCATGAGCCTCACACCTGAGAAAGAGGAAAGAACCCCACGAACTGCATTCTGGGGCCTTGGGGGAAGCCCTCCTTTCTCTCTGCCTCGGTTTCCCCATCATAAAAGGAGACCATTGCCCTGAGCCAGCTTCATGTCTACTTGTGACATTCTAGATGACTCTTTCTTTGAGAGGAGGCAAGGCCAGAATGGGGAGGGGGTATTCCCCCCACCCCCATCCCCAGCTGGCCGGGCTGACAGTGGCCCTGGAGCAGACATGCTGGGGACTCAGGGCCTGGCCAGACGCCTCTGCCTTGTGCCTGGGCCTCCAAAGCACCCTGGGGGCTCAGGGCCCCAGCCTCCCTCCCTGACCTTCAGCCCAACCAACCCTTCAACCCCAGAGCCCCTAAGTGGCTGGGCTGGATCCGGGTCCCCAACTGCATCTCTGGCCCTGCAAGGCTCTGGGGGCTGTGGGCCCCCCTCCCCAACACAGGGCTGGATGCGGCTGCTGGGTTTCTCAGTGGGAAGCTCCAGTGTTTACCCTGCCGAGGCCCAGCTTTTACTCCCCAAGGAGTGTGTTTGGGAGGCGAGAACCCACGCGCACGCACACTCTCGCATGCCATCTGATGTGCCAGACCTCACAGGCTCCCGGCCCAGACGTACATGTGCACCCCCAGCGCTGGCTCTGGCCTGCACCTGCCGTACCTGGGCCAGGCCAGTGGCCTCAGCACGGCAGGCAACTGGCACTAATTTTGAATTAGTTAAGTTAATTAGTAAGTGCCACAGAGGACCTCAGCTAATCCTTCCACCAACCTCCAGTTTCATGCTGTCCACCTGACAGGTGCCCAAACTAAGGCTCAAGGGAGTTAAGAGTAGAAGCCAGAAGTTGCAAGTGGGGTTCAAAGACAGGTCTCTGGGACCCCCAAGTCTGGTCTGGGCTGCCTCAGAGCAAAGCCAGGATGGGCATGGGGGAGTGGGAGTCTGCTGGGGGCACAGGACACTGGTTAAGTGACAGCCGGTTGATCACAGCCAGCTCCATCAGCACAGAGCGGGTACCCAGAAGTATCTCTGAAGAAACCGATGGCCGGATGAGGGGGTAAACTTAGGCAGAAGCAGGCAGCCCTGGGAGTCTGTGCCTGGTGCCCCGTGGCCCTCAGAAACCCACGGTGGGGGTCCCTGGCCCCCTCCGCAGCCTCTTTGCATGTGTCTGGGCACCCTGGAGCAGGGACAAGTGGCTCTGTGCCGTCAGGAGCTGGGCCTGCTGGCTCTGCCTCTGGCTGCCTGTGGGTGGGTCCCGACCCCTCTCTGGGCTGCAGGACCCTTCAGAAGACAGGGCAGTTAGAACAGATCAGAGGGTTCCACTTTGGGGAAGGTCACCTTGAGAACCTGACTCTTTTGAGAAAAAATAAAGCCCCTGCTCCACACGTAGGTTTATGTGGGATTCGGGGTTCACAGACCCTCAGACGCTCTGGTTGGGGACCACTGAGCCACATGCAGGGTGGAGCTGCAACACAAAGCAAGACAGAGATCAACCCCAGATTCCAAAAGCAGTTGCTTCTTAATGTATTTCTAGTGCTTTAAGACATTAACTCCTCTAATCCCCAGAACAGCCCTATAACCAGGGCATGGGGAGAACAGCCCTATAACCAGGGCATGGGGGCGAGGGGGCTTTGTTATCCCCATCTGATGTTTGTGGAGACCAAGGCCCCAGCAAACATGGCCAAGGCCACACGTCAGGATGCAGCGCAGCTGCTATGTTATTAGTTTCTGTGGCGGGTTCACGGGTGCCTGGTTTATCATCATGCTCGTAACTTATGGAATGCCACATGTACGTTTCATATTTATCCAATGTTATGTAATTATTATTTTTTTTTTTTTAAATGAGCCGGATCAGCTGACCTTCTAATTTTGGCTTCTGGGATTCCTGCATTGCTGGCTTCCACGGCCTCTGCCAGAGGCAACCCCCAAAGGCTCGCCCTGGTGCAGCCACAGGCTGCTACAGTTCTGGGGCCTGGCTCTCCAGGGCCGGCATCACCCCTGTACCCATCTGTGGGTTGGGTGCAGAACCAGCCCCTCCATCCCACAGCAGCTGAGGATGAAGCAGACCCTGCTCCCGACCCCCAAGTCCCCCCAGGCCCAGCCACAGCTCCCACTCACTCCCACCCCTGGCTGCCAGCCGGGGCAGGCCCCAGCGGTTATGAGTTCAGCAGTCGATTCGATTCGGGCTCACATCATCTTGTCTGCCGGGAGGATTTAGTGCGCGCGGCGGTCAATAGTGCGTTTGTTTTGCTATCGACCTGCTGGAGCGGCTCAGGAGCCAGCCCGTTCCCCTCGGCAGCTGAGGCCTCTCCAGACTGCAGAGCCGGGACCTAGAAGTGTCACTGGGCAGATTAGGGGTTGCTTCTTGAGGCGCCCTCCCAGGGCTCTCGCCACTACTGCCCACGGCCCACAGCCTGGCCTGGGTGAGTCTCGATGCCCCTTAAAGATCCATCCCTACCCCTTGGCCTTTAGGCCCCACAGGCCCTGAGGAGGATGGGGCAGGCCAGTCTCCTGCCATCTGTGACTCTAGGGCCTCCTGCTTGACAAAGGGCCTTGGTCTCATGACCACCCCATAACCACCAAGCTGGGGGGCTCTGTGGTTCCCACTTCACAAATGGGGAAACAGGTCTGGAGAGGTGATACGACAGAACCTGTAGTGGGAAGAGCGGTCATTTGGGGAAGGAAACTAAGGGGCAAGGTTTCCCACCCTGCCCAGAGTGGGCCCCTGGTCTGGGATGGGCCCCAGGGTGACTCCTGGGCGAGCTGGCCAAGGGGACAATGCTCTCCTTGGCCTCAGCCCAGCCCCAGCCCTGGCCATACCAGTTAAGGGGAAGGGTAGACACTGGGTCTCCATCCGTGAGTTTCATTCATTCATTCAACAAACATTGCTAGAGAGCTGCTCTGTGCTGGGCCCAGAGATTGAGACCGCAGGTCTGGGATCCCAGCTGGAATCAGGGAGCACCTGAGTACCCCACACAGGCCTGTGCTGGGTGGGAACCCTGTGGGTTCCCTGAGAGAGAGAGGTACCTGACAGGGTCTTAGGGAGGAAGGCTGGGAGGGTGGTTTGCAGCTGGGGGAAACCAGGGGCCTTAGAGGAGGTTATTTTGAGGGGGCTCTGGGGAAGGATGAGTAGAATTTTGACAACAAAGGCAAAAAGCCACCCCAGGTGGAGGTCCCAACAGAGACAAAGGCCTGGTGTCCCCAACAGGTGCACAGAGAAGAATAAAGAGATGAGTATGGCCGCTCTGTGAACTGTGGAGGTCTGAGGATTGAATAGTCAAACCCTTCAGAGCCTGGAATAAAGACAGCCCCTCCTTGGTCTACTTAACCAACCCCTAGAAGATGTGGACCCATGGGTACCCCTTCCCCAAGTGTCCCAGAGGGGGGCCCCATTCATTCCTCCTTCCTCCTCTCCCCTCTTCCAAAACGAGAAAGAGCAAAAAACTATTATTGTTCACGCCTCGTCTCCCACCAGTTATTAAATTTCATTCCACGAACAAATAAATCCATTTTTATTGCAGCGGGAGGAGCAGGCAGCTGTTTTGCTGTTTTACCTTTTTTATTTTTCAAAGTCCTGTTAAATCTGCCCCGATCAGCTGGGAGGCCCCTGAGGCCCCAGCCCGAGTGTTAGTTATGGTGCTTTCTCCTCCTCTGGGAAGGGGGCCCCTCCGGGGGAGAGGGGAGGGTGAGGCTGGATCCCACCTGACTTGCTTCGAGTTCTCGAGCTCTGCTCTCGGGCAGCCTTCCCATGGCCTGCATTCCTGCAAGGAGGGTCCGAAAGCTTCCCACCAGCTCCTATTTGTTTGGCGTTTTATCCCTTGCAGTCCCTCCCGGAGGCCTCTCCTGGAGAGGCGTGGCCGGCTCTATTTTATAGGAGAGAAAGCTCAAGCTCAGAAGGGCCAGGAGGATCATTGGAATTCTCAGTCACAGCTCCGAGGCCCCCAGGGAACATGAGGAGGCTCCGATTCCTTCCCCAAGGCTGGGCTGAGGACTGGCAGCCCAGGTAGGGCTCTGATCAGTAGACTCAGACACCCCACTTGGTGCAGCAGGGATTCACCTCACATCTCTGTCGCCCAACCAGCTGTGTGACCCTGAGCACACGACCTGGTCTCTCCGGGCCTCAGTTTCCACATCTATGTAAGGGGTATAATAGTGATAACAGCATCCATCTCTCATGCTGCCCTGAGGATTAAGAGGCTGCAGGGAGTGCTTAGCACAGAGCCTGGTCTGGCGGACACCTCTCACCATCCCCGCCTGTCCCCCAGCTTCCTGGCCCCCTGCTCTGCCCCCTGCAGAGGGACATTGATCCCACTGGGCGCGAGTCGGGCTCAGGGTGACATGTGCCTTCTCAGTTGAGGTCTGGGAGGGGCGCCCAAGATAAATCCTCATCGTGGCTATTTTTTCTCTCTGAACCATTTGCTAAAGACTTAATGACTGTCGATAAGAAGCCTGTTGCGTCTGCTGCGTCTGCAGTGGCCGGCAGCGTGCGGAGGTTTCCTGGCGAAGCATTTAGGTGACACAGCTGCCGGGGCCGGGCCCGGGGGTGTCACCAGCCCCACCACCGCCTGCTCTGCCTGTGCCCCTGCAGGGAAGCCATGGAGGGGCTGCCTCCCCATGCCCAGGATGGGGTCAGGCCACTGCAGGAGGCATCAGCAGCCCTGGCCCCCTCCACACCTGGCCCCACAGCTAGGGGCACCACACGGGCAGGGAGAGCCCCTCCCTCCCCACAAAGGCTTCCTGTGGCTGTGCTTGCCCTTCCCCTACCCCAGAGCCAGAGGCTAAAGGGGACCAGACTGGCCAGCAGCTTGTCCTTGGGGAGTGGGCTCCAAGACCCCCAGGGTCCCTGAGCCAGATGGCAGGGAGAAGGTCTGGCTCCTGGGGCTTTGGGCCAGAGAGAGACCCCCATCCTCTGGCAGCCTCCTGTGCCCCCCAGGCTCTTCGGCTGACAGCCGTGCCTCATCCAGGCCTGGCAGCACCTTCCCCTGCGGTTCAGAGCTGTCTCCGGTGTCAGGTAGAACTGCGGATCCAGGTGAAGGCGCCCACCTCGGGCCCCCGGCCGCGCGCAGTGGCCCTCCTGCTCTGCTCCCCGCACCTCTCCCTCGACCCCTGCAATCGAAGGTTGGGAGAAGTGCTGGACACCGTCACCCTCACACCCCTAACTGGTTCTCCAGGGCTCCTTCTCCTGCCCCCATCCTGCCCCACCCCCACCTGCCACTGCCCCCGGAGGAATCCCTCTTCTTTTCTGTCCCAAGCTGATTAGTGAGTGGCACTATCAGGATAGGCAGCTCTAGATAATGTTCCCAGTGCTGTCTGTTGGCACCTGGGCCACTCTGGGGTGGGGGTTCACACGGATGCCCATTTCCCGCCAAGTCCCCACACTTCTGTGAACCTCCGGGGAAGGCCGAGGCTCACTCAACCAGGCTGGGAGGGCTGCTCAGTGACACAGGCCCACAAAGGATGGGGGAGCATGCCCATGGGGGTGCTCCCAGGTTCTGAGCCCATTATCTGGGCTCCCAGGCTAGCAGCTGTCCCAGCTGCAGCTTCTCTGCCCTCAGCTGGGAGAGACAGACACGTGAGATCAGGACCCTTGGTGCAGGCTGGAGGGGGTAGAGACAAAAGCCCCTCTGCACATGGAACCCTATCTATTCTGCCTGGGCTTCCCTGGCTTCAGTTTATCTGCCAATCAAATGGGAATGCGGGGCTCTGTAAGAGTAATCGGCAGTAAATATGTGCAAGGGAGACAACCATCGTTATCCTAGGACCTCATGTTTGTGGAGGGCTCCAATCTGTGCCAGCCCTTACCGTGCCCAGACTCTTTTATTCCTTGCTAGCAGCTGGTGAGGTCAATGCAGTAGATACCTCCATTTTACAGCTACTAGGGCATGCGGGCAGCTGGGCCTGAGCCTGCCAGGGCCTGGTAGGCATCACTGTCCCCAAAGGCGGAAGAGTGGGACAGGCGGGTGCTGGGTGGGGTTGGGGTGGCCTTGCCACCAGCTCCCCAATGCCTGGGACTGAAGGGGTTTCTGACACCGCGTGGAGGTGCCACATCACCTGAACAGAAGGCAGAACCGTTGCCAACACTCCCGAAGCGTGAGTCCTGCCAATTTGAACGCCATATCTTAATGCCATTAATTTACATTTTGATTCAACTTTCTTAATTTTACTTCAACTTCGCCCGGCTCCGGTTTGAGAATCATTTTAATGTATTTATCTGTGAGGCAATTTGTTAAATAACCCCCAAGACCGGCGGTTTTCCGTTCTGAGCTTTTATTGCAAGGCTGTTTTAAATTAAATTAGTTGTCAGGGTCCCTGAGTGCATTGTAACGGGGATGGGTTCACCGCCAGCCCCCTCCTAAAAGCCGAGCGAACCGCTGGCTAAATGGACAGCAGCAGGAAGTGGGCCGCTCAGCTCCTCCCCCAACCCCCTCATCACCCATTTCAGGAGTGTGGGGGTGGCACAGCCGCCCCTCAGTCAGGGAAAACAAACAGCTCTGGGGCCACCCCCAGTTCACAAGCTGGGGGTGGCAGCCTGCGGTGCCTCGCGAGGGGCGTGTCCGCAATCACTGCAGGCAGGGCAGCTCCAGGCACCCCAGCCCTCCAGCTGCCTGCTTGGGGACCCTGTGTGTGCACCGGAGGCCACGGGCATGTTGGTGCGTCACCCACCTAGGGACAGGAGGGAGACAAGCCTGGGTCCTGGTCCCTGCTTTGGGTCCCTGAGCCCCAGGGGGAGGGGCTGGGGAGTTGGGGAGGTGCCGTCTGTCCCCGTCCCCGACCTATCTCCTCCCTTCTGTTATCTGAGCTGGGCGTCTGTGCTGGCTGTCACCTGGGCCGGGGGCATGATTTGTGAGCTGAAAGGCTCAGGTATTGAATCTATATTTCATTTTCACGTCAGCAGCTGCTATTTTGCCCGATAATGGATTCCCCCCTCACCATCCTCCGGGAGAGGCTGAGCAGTGGGGAGGAGGCCATGTCGTGTTAATGATGCTCCTTCCCTCCCTCTCGTGCCGCACAGGTGGGAGTGGGTGCCATGCAAGGCCTCTCCCCACCCCTCCCATCTGCCATCTCCTTGGAGCCGCATGTGCCTACAGGTGGGTATGGCCGGCCTCCCACCCCCACCAGCCCTGCCTACTTGGCCCTGGCCTGTGGTGTAATGAGAATGGCTTCCATTCTGCCAGGCCTTAGTTTACCCAAATGAGCCAGGACATTGGGCATGGGGGGTCCCTGAGCCCCTCATCCAATCTCCCCAGGGACTGCCTAGCGTGAGGGCAGAGGCTTGGGATGCCAGCTGGGCTCTGTGTGACCCTCCGTAGCGCACTGGGGCGGGCAGCACCTGGGCTGGGGCGTGGGCTCCGGAGCTATAGCCTGAGCCTGAATCCTGGCTCTTCAGCTTCCAGCAGCCTGACCTTGGCCATCTGCTTCACAGTCTGAGCCTCAAGTTGCCTCTCTGTCTAATGGAGTTCTCGTAGGATAGTTGTTAGGATTAAGTTGATCTAAGTACTCAGAAGGGCCTGGAAGGTAGGAAGGAAGCCTCATGCCTGGGGGCTCTCATCGTATTCCCACCTTGCAGGCAGACATCTCAGAAGGAGCGTGATTATTTACATTCTTTTTTTTTTTTTTTTCTTTTTGAAGACATGGTCTTGATTTGTTGCCCAGGCTGGAGGCTGGAATGCAGTGGCTATTCACAGGTAGGATCATACTGCACTGTAGCCTTGACCTCCCAGGCTCAAGTGATCCTCCTGCCTCAGCCTCTGGAGTAGCTGGGACTACAGGCGCATGCCACCACACTCCGCTAATTTTTTAAAATTTTTTGTAGAGATAGCGGGGTTCTTGCTTTGTTGCCCAGGCTGGTCTGAAACTCCTGGCTTCTAGTGATCCTACCACCTCGGCCTCCTAAAGTGCTGGGACTACAGGTGTGAGCCACCCATGCTTGGCCTAAATTCATCTTTTTTTTTTTTTTTTTTTTTTTTTGAGACAGTCTCGCTCTGTCACCGAGGCTGGGGTGCAGTGGTACAATCTTGGCTCACTGCAACCTCCGCCTCCCAGGTTCTCGCAATTCTCCTGCCTCAGCCTCCTGAGTAGCTGGGATTACAGGTGCCCACCACCATGCCCAGCTAATTCTTGTATTTTTAGTAGAGACAGGGTTTCACCATGTTGGCCAAGCTGCTCTTGAGCTCCTGACCTCAGGTGATCCGCCCACCTCAGCCCCCACAAAGTGTTGGGATTACAGGCGTGAGCCACCACACCCGGCCTAAATTCATCTTTATAGCCACTTGGCAAGCTTCTTTTTGTCTATCAAGACTCATCCAAAGGTCACCTCCCCTGGAAAGCCTTCCTGAGGCAGGATTAGTTGTGCTCTTCTCCCTGCCAACCACTCTGCACTGGGGTGAATGGTTGTTGCGATCTCCCACCTGCCTGCCTGTGCATGGAGAGAGGGGGAGTCTCCTTGTTCATCTTTTTTTTTTTTTTTTTTTTTGAGGCGGAGTCGTGCTCTGTCGCCCAGGCTGGAGTGCAGTGGCGCCATCTCAGCTCACTGCAAGCTCCGCCTCCCGGGTTCACACCGTTCTCCTGCCTCAGCCTCCCAAGTAGCTGGGACTACAGGCGGCCGCCACCATGCCTGGCTAATTTTTTGTATTTTTTAGTAGAGACTGGGTTTCACCGTGTTAGCCAGGATGGTCTTGATCTCCTGACCTCGTGATTCGCCCACCTTGGCCTCCCAAAGTGCTGGGATTACAGGCATGAGCCACCGCGCCTGGCCCCTTGTTCATCTTTTAAGTCCTCTGTAGCTCAGGACAAGCACACACCCTGCCAGGCTCTCTGGAGCCTCAGTAAATGTTCTGTTTTGGAGCGGAGGTAGTGGGTGAACTCTTCGTACATGGCAAATCTGTGAGGACCTGGCTTAAAACCCTCCAAGGCCCCAGCCGCCCTCAGAACAAAGCCTGGCCTCCTGCATGTTGAGGCAGCTGACGCTTGCCCGCCACCTGCCCGATCCTGCCCACCCACCGCCTCACTGCTCCGATCGCTCAACACTCTACCCGCTCTTCATCTCTGGGCCTCTCTGACCCCAGGCCTGCTTCCTGAAACTCTGTCCTGCACCCGTTCCCTGGGCCACTTCTACCTCACCTCCAGGCCCACGTGTAGCCCGTTCTCCTCTGGGAAGTCTCTCCGAGGCCGCCGAGTCTGGCTCAGGTGCCTGTGCTGGGCCCTGCTGGGCTTCTTCACCCCTGCTCATGTCCCTAGCACCAGCATTGCCCGCCTCTGGCTTGTTCCAACTAGCCTGTGCTCTGGAGTGTAGGGAAAGACCCTGAGTCTGTCTCAGTCACCATGGTGGCCCTCCTGCCTGCCGCCTTGCCTGGCACGTCATAGGTGGGCTCTGGAAGCACTCATCAAATGAATGAATGAATGAATGAATGAATGAATGAGGTCCTTGTGAAACTCTAGCCTCTTGGCCACCGGGTGCCCAGGTTTTAGTTGGCAGCCTCTGTTCTGTCAGCCTTTGCTGGATGGTGGGTCCAGGCCTGGCTGCCTGCTGGGGGGCTGGCAGGGAGGGGAGAGGAGAACTCAGGGAGGGCCCCCCTCCTTCTATCTCGGTGCCGTTTAATGTCCTGCCAGAGGCCCCTACTCTGCATCCTGTTCCAATGCTGTCAGGATACATTCTGGGTTTTAACAGGGCCAGGGAAGAAAGCCAGCTCCGTGTCAGCCAGCAGGCAGGACTCAGGCAAGGACCATGCCAGGCACATACGTACATATGCACCCTGCCTGCGTGCCCATCCGGGGCAGGCCTGAGGCCTCCGGTTCTTTGGCCAAGAGAAAACAGAGATTGCCTGCCCAGTGCCCAGAGGAGCTGGAGTCCCGGCACTGGCCCTGAGCCTCCTCCATCCTCCATCCAATGCCTGTGGCCCCATAGGATCTACCTGGACAGGCAGGCCCCTCTTCTGATGAGACATCACCCCCCTACCCGCCGCCTGAACAGGGCTGCACGTGGAGACTACGGTGTGGCTTGGTTGCTTTTTGTCCCCAACCCTAGGCTGTGCAGTTTGGGATTTTTTTCCCCTACACTGATGTTTTATTCATGTAAACCCAGCCTGCATCTGTCCTCAGAAGACAAGAGAGAGAAGATGCTGAAAGGGAGAGTGGGAGAGACCGAGGGGCTTGGAGAGATAGGGGGCGCAGAGAGAGAGACCTCGGGTTTGTGTGGGTGTCGCTGTTCAAAGCTGGCTAACCTACAAAGATCCAGTGAAGATGCGCTCTCTCCCTGCGGCTGCCTGACAAGAGGAGCCGTCACTCGGATGCGATTCATTGTCACCTCTTAGTCTATCACTGGTTCCTTTCAAACCTCTCCGCAGCTCACTGGGGAGGGCCCGGCTGGTCCCCCTCCACCACCCTCTCTGGGGCTGGGGAGAAAGCGGGAGGCATTGTCTGTGCTAATTGCATTGTTAGAGTGAAGGTGCTCCTGTTCGGCTGTCTCATTTGGGGCCTTTATTAGGCATGATTGCTGGCTGACAGCCGGGCGAGGACCGCGTGGCTGCCCATGGAGGGGGGAGTAGGTTTCAGCACCCGCTGAGGTGTGTCCCTTGACACCCCCAGGCTTCTGCCCATCCAGCACACACTCCCACGTCACACAAACCCCACTCCTCCAGAGGTGGTTTCATTCCTACGTGAGCTTCACCAGGAAGAGACGCCGGGGAAGAGGCCGCATTGAAGGTTGCTGGCTGCTGGGCAGTAACGGAGACTTTTGGGGGGCACCTGGGACTTTGCCAGGATGCCTTTCCCCACCCCTTGATGAACTGTTCATCCTTCAAGAAAAGCACAATTCGCCACCCCTGGAAGTCCTCCTCCTCTCCCTCCATCGCTCCTTGGGCTTCCCTGACATCTGGCATGGGTCTCTGCTGGATTTTCAGTTGACACGTGTGTGGCACCTCCCTGCACCCAGCAATCCTCTAGGTGTTTTACAACTGTTAACTCATTTGGCCAATATTATCCCTAGGAAGAGGGCGCTAATATTGCTCTCCATTGTTCAGATGAGGAAACTGAGGCACAGAGAGGGTAAGCGACCTCTCTGTGTACCCTAAGCAGGGCGCACAGAGCCTTAACACACCCAGCTCCTGCATCTGTGCCTTTGATCACCATAGGGTGGCCTCTCTGCTGCCCGCGTTGTTCTCTGAAGTTTCCACTCATATGGAGACTAAACTAGAACGACTGTCACCAGGCATGGTGCTTTTGCTCAAGTTATATCTCACTGAATCCCTCACAGCTCGGAAGATGGGCCGGGAGCCCTGTCCCCTTGCAGCTGTGTTGTCCCAGCCCCAGGCCATGCTGGAGCACGGAGGTGGCTCAGGTGTTTGTGGGGAATGAAGGGTCACACTGAGTGCAGGGCTGGGAAGGACTGGCCTAGGAGGCGGGGCCGGGGTGGAGGTGCCCCTGCTGAGTTCTGCCCCTGCTGTGTGAGCTGTGTGGGCAGGCACCTGATAAAGCCAGGCACCCCAGACCTGCCCGGCCTGGTTTTGGGGTGGGCATCTGGGGCCTCAGCCTGGGTCAGGCTGCGCGGGGCAGGACGGGCACACTGGAAGCCTTCAGCACTCTGGCTTCCCTGAGAAACCTTGCTGCAGAGCTGGAGACTGAGGCAGGGCCACGTGCCTTTGCTGCTCCATCCCCAGCGCCCAGGACAGTGCCTGTACATGGTGGTGTTCAGGAAACAGAGACCGAGCTTGTACAAGAGTCTCACAGTCACCTCTGTTTGGGTGCCAGAGTGCAGGAGGAGGCTGCGCCAGATTGGCTGAAATCTGTGATGCTTCCTGCAGCCCTGTGTGAGGCGAGCCTTCCGCCTATGCCCAGTTGGTTCCAGGGTGTGGGCAGAGGGCTAGGCAGACATAAGACCTCCAGGTGTGGGAGGGCCTCTGCATATGTCTGAGCCAGCCACAGACGCAGGACTCCCTCTGGGAGACACCCAGGGCTCATCACTCACTCACTGATAGATGCATTTACTGAGCACCTACTGTGTGCCAAGTACTATGCAAGGCACAGGGAGTACTCCAAGAAGCAAAGGGGAGGTGGAACCCTCATAGTGTGGCAGAACCAGGCCCCTGTGGGTGCTCAGCCAGAGGAATCCCTGTCTGGGGAAATCCAGGAAGGCCTTGCGGAGGAGAGGGGCATTTCAGCACAGCTAAGCAGACATCCCCCAGGCAGAGAAGGGGCAAAGGCATGCCAGGCAGAGGCTTTGGACAGGACAGAATCTCAGGACAGGATTTGTTTGGGAAAGTAACTAACAGAAGCAAGTAGAAGGGGGCAGGGGGGTGGGGGTGGCATGGTGGTGGCAGAGGCCCAGGAATTTGAGTCCAGCCTGGGCAACATAGCAAGACTCCGTCTCTACAAAAAAAAAAAAAAAAAAAAAAGCCAGCGTGGTGGCACACGCCTGTGGTCCCGCTACTTGGGAGGCTGAGGTGGGAGGATGGCTTGAAGGATGGCTTGAGCCCAGGAAGTTGAGGCTGCAGTGAGCTGTGATCGTGCCATTGCACTCCAGCTTGGGTGACAGAGTGAGACCCTATCTCAAAAAAAAAAAAAAAGTCTCATTTACTCCTCTAAAAATTAAAATTGGACCTTGATAGTATCATATCAAAAGTGCCCTAGCTGCCTAACTTGGAGCCAGAGAGGCATGCAGATTCGGACCCCATCCACAGATAACCCAATGCAGCAAATGGGGGGTGGTGCTCAGAACCCTGAATGGTGAACAAGACCGGTGATCACAGTGCAGAGCCGGGGAGGAGCTGCCTGGGGACTGCGGGGTCAGAGGCAGGGGACTTGGAAAGCCCACGAAGCTGTTGGGCGCAGGAGGCACCCCAAGGTCCTGGGAGGCCGGCCTGGGGTCTGGGCGGGCCAAGCCCATTCCTCTTGCCTAGCAGAGGGCCCTCACCTCCAGGCTGCGGGCTGGGGGCGGAGGCTCAGCGTGAAGGAAGGGCAGACGGCTGCAAAGTCGGCGCGCGGAGCATCCATCTGCCCTGACAGCCAGCAATTACACCGCGTGATCGCCAGATTACTCCAAATGCATTTATTACAGGGGTTAGAAGCGGGGGACTTATTTACTGGCAAATCCATACTCATTACAAGACTCAGCCTAGCCTAGACTGAAAACAGCTCAACTGAAACAAATAATTACCAAAGTCCTTCCAGCGCGAGGCTCTCAGGTGGTTGGGAGTGGGGGGGACGCCAAGCCCTTTCCATCAAGACAAGGGAGGAGGAGGCCGCGGTTGAGGATGCCTGGGTCGGGGAAGGTCGACGCCGGCCCGCCCGGTCGCCTGGCGGCCCGGGAGCCCCGCCGCCGCCGCCGCCGCGGTGCGCATGCCCGCCAAGGTCATGAATATGCAAAGAGCCTCGGGGGCGGGGCTGACACGCCCGGCCTGGAGGGCTTTGGCCCCGTTCACACCCGCCGGCTCCGGGACCCGGGCGACCCGGGGGCTGCAGGACTCAAAGACTGGGCATTCGAGAGGTAGAAATGAAAGTCTCGCATTTTCCGGTGAAAATACAGTGGGCTCGGCACAGAGCTCAGCCTCGAAGTTGATGAATGAATGAATGAATGAATGAACGAATGAACTAAAGAGAAGCGCAGACAGACCTTGCCCCAGGTCACGGCGTCCGGAGGAGAACCCAGTTTCACCAGTTCTAATCCTCAGGCTGTGCGCGCATGGGAGGCCACTGCCCAGCGTATCTCCAGGCTGGGGCCTGCTCTGGGTACCCCTCACAGCACACACAGCTCCGACCTCGGAGCCGCCAGGCATCTGTGAGGGCCTGGAGTCGCGGGCAGCCCCGACAGGGGCCCCAGGTCCCACATGCCTCCCGCACCTGCCTGGGACTCTAGGGATCCGGAAACACAACCAATCCGAGGCCTTCTGGGTCTGGCAGAAAGGCTGGTGTTCTGCTGGACTCCTGCCCCCGATTTTACAGATGAGGAAACTGAGGCCCAGATCGGCCTGCAGGCGGAGGAAGACCTCCCGCCGCTCCCGGAGCTCTGGGGCCTCCTGGGCGCCCGCGTGGGGAGCTGTCAGGCCGCTTGAAATGTGGGCCTGGCCTCTCTGCCCGCTGGGCAGATGCTGGCACCGCCGTCCGCGCCTTAAATATTCATTCACTTGACAGAACACTAATTAAACAAAGTAAGGTGCATTATTACTTGATTAAATTTTTTATTGGCAGCTTAATTGGTCTGTTAGTTGCCCCTTAGGGAGTTGTTCGCCATTCCCCCCTGCCGTGTGGGAGGGGGGCCCCTGGACGTCCCGCACCGCCCTTCCCGGCCCTCAGTACCACAGGGTGCCCCGGCCCCCCAACATCCCCCAAGCGCCCCAGCTGCTCAGGAGGTCGCGGTTGCCAGCCTCGCCTCGCCTCCTCGGCCTTCAAGGGCTGGACCCTATTGGATCAGTAGCAACCAATCAGCGCCTAGGGGCGGGCCTCTCGGGGTCAGGACCCTTGGAAGACCCAAAATGATTAACTGAGAAACTCAGGAGAGGGAATAGACCCGGACTCAGAGGGGAAGGCCTGCGTTTGCCTCAGCTGGGAGTAGCTGAGTGACCTGCCCCTCTCTGTGCCTAGGCCTCAGTTTCCCCATCTGCACCACTGCAGGGCTGGACTTTTCTGGCCCACCATCCATCCAAGAGTCCAGGTACCCCGAGACCCCTGCGGAGGCACACACACCTTCCAGCCTCTGAGATGCCTGTTCCCCAGATGAGGGTGGAAGTACCCTGCAGGCAGGGATGGCCTGGGGGGCCTGGGTACCCAGGGTCAGCCTGTGGAAGGGCATGGGATGCCCTCTCAGAACAGGTGGGCCCACGCTTCCCTGTCCAGCCTCCAACCCTGGGGGGACATCTCTTCCCACCCCCACTACAGGGAGCAGGGCAGCCTGCTGGGCTGCGAGCCTCTTGGGATAAGCCCGCAACGCCTCCCATGTCGGTGGCTACACGCATCCACCTTCAGTGGAGCCAGGACCCGCAAGACCCTCTTCACAGGGCGGCACCTCTCACCTGCTTCTCCCCTTTCCCCGCTCGGCAAGAGGAATCTGGAGCCAGCCTTTGCCCCCTTTAGACAGGCTGCCCCTCCTACTGCTCCCCAAGTCTGTCCTCTGGGGGAAACACAGAAGAGGAAGAGAAGGACCAGGGGCTGTTCCGTCCTTTCAGCACTGGTCAAATTTCCATGTGAGCCTCAGTTTCCCCCAGTGCAAATTGGGTGCCCATCCTCACTCCATCCAAAGAGCATCAGGCACTCCTCAGCCCATCCAGTAGACAGTGAGCCCCTGTTTTGAAGGTAGGGGCAGAGGGGGAAATGGAGCCCTCCCACGGTAGCCTGGGTCCATGTGTCACTCACCCCCACCTCCAGCTGTGCCTGGGTGTGGCCCAGGCCAGAGTGAAGATGGAAGCTCCCCTATCACTGGTCCTACCCCCCCTTGCCGGCTGCCCTCTTCACGCCCTCCCACCCGTCAGAGAGGATCCAGGCCCTGGCCGATGACAGAGGAATCGTCTGGCCACCCTAGAAGCTGCCGCTGGCAAGCAGGAGGCGAGGTAATTGGCATCGCTGGCCAGGGAGCAGGAAATGAGCGGTTGCAGCCGGCGTGGAGCGGGAAGCTGTTCAGTGTCATGGGCCTTATCTGGGAACAGGCTGCCCAATTACAGGGCCGTGCCCGCTGCACCCGGCAGCTGCCGGCTCCTCCACCACCCCCTCTTCAGTGTCCTCGTGGCATCTCCCAGGCCTGGGCATCTGCTGCCCCTTCCAAAAGGCATGAGGCAGCTGCCTGGGAAAAGGCCTGACCTGCTCTTCGCCCACCCAGGTGGCAGCTACAGGTGCCCCCTCGTCAGGCCTGGCATACAGGGGAGGACCCCCCCCCAAGCCCTCCTCACCTGCAGGTGACTGTCCAGACTAAGCCCTGCCTGGGCTGCCTCCTCTAAGCGTCAGCCTTCGGATGGGGGCTGAGATGGGCACCAAGGAGCACAGCAGAGCCGACAGTAGTCCCCAACTGCTCATCCGAGAGCACCCTCGGGGCAGGAGCAGGTTACCCTGCTCAGATGCCCACCTCTCTACCAGCCCCAGAAAGAGAGGATTAGTCATTTCGTGGGTGGACAGCATTCCACCGTCTATCCCAGAAACACAGTCGCTGGGGGCTGCAGTAAGGTGTCATGGATTAGGAAAATAGGCCTGTAATGGGTTCGCAATTGTTCCTAGCGCAGCCCAGTGTCGCAGATTACATTGCGCATTACTCAGTGGCTCACAGATGGTGGCAGGCCAGCTGTCCCAGGAGGCTGAGCACAAGGTGGGGTGGCAGTGGCAGCGTTGTCTTGGGAGCCCAGGGGTGGCACAGTGGAAAGAAAACTGGCTTTGGGGTTGCACCCACATGAGTTCAAATCCTGTGACCTCACGAATTCGTGCCTCGGTTTCCACAACTGTAAAGTGGAAAGGGGTGCTGCTGCCTGCTGGACCCGCGAACATGCCCAGCACCAAGTACAGAGTAAGCGCTCAACAAGTGGCTGTCCCCTTCCTCCTCCTGGGCCATGTCAGGCACCCCTTTGTGGGAAGGTCTCCCTCAGGTCTGGGTACAGATAGAGTGGGGGAGCAGACACCCTGGGGACCCTGTAGCCCCCTCTCCTGACCTTGATCTTCAAGGGGTCCAGGCCCTTGGGTGTAGGTCCTGCTCGGGCAGTGACCAGCCAGATGGCCTCAGGATGCCAGCCCCTCTCTCATCTGTAAAATGGGCGTGGCAGCTGTTTGGCCTGGAGAGCTGGGCTTGCCTCCACGCCAGCCTTCCTGGCTGGCTGGGGCTTCCTGAGGGGAGGGACTGGGTCTGGCCTCTCTCTGTCCTCAGAACTGGCATGAGCTGGCACCATGTGGGTCACTCCCCATGAGGTTTTAAATCTGCCTTGGTAGGTGAAACTGTTCACCGAGCAAGAGCTGTGCACATACAGGGTGGATGAGGGGTCCCTGCGGCCTGAGCAGAGGGACCCCACCTGCTCTCAGTCTGCAGGGAGGAACCACCAATGGGCTGTCCCGTCCCCTACGTTCAGCCCCCAGCCAAGCTGGTCCCAGAGGCTGCCCTTTCTCCCAGCCTTATAAACACGGGGCTGGCTGTGGCCTAAAGTGGCACAGGGGCACCCGGGTCCAGCAAGCACTTAGGGAGCCGATGAACACACAGGAAGCCCTGTTTCGTGAGAGCTGGTGCGACGCAGGCTGGCCTGCAGGGAGGCCTGGAGCCTGGGAGCCCAGGGCAGGCTTGCTTAGGGGGGTGACACGGGCGCAGAAGCTGAAAGGAAGGGCCAAGGCTGTACCCGGGCTGGGTGGGGAAGCTGGGAGCAAAGGAGGGGCTGTCCTGTGGCAGTGTCAGCCCGATGGGTGCAGACCAGCTCCGACCCTGGTACCTTGGGTCTAGGGAGTGTAGATGAGTTTAGAAGGCAGAGTGGAGGTCATCCCAGGGGGTGGGACAGGCCTTGCACCAGCCAGAACCCTTCCTTCAGCCCAGGGTTCGCACTACCCCATCCCACACCAAGGGGTCCCCAGGATGGGCCTCACACCCCTGCCGGGTTCTCTGCTGTCCCCTATGAGTGCTGCTGGTGGGCACAGCCCCGGGTGGTGCCTGTCCCCTGTGACCTGTCGGCCATGTTTCTCCATCACAACCAGCCCTGGCTGCTGCCATCCGGACTCAGGGCTGGCCACCCTGGCCGCAGCCTTTGGGGCATGAGGTTTGGGCCAGGCCCCCGGCTGTTGCCTACAGATGGAG
The DNA here is from genome assembly GCF_000001405.40 of Homo sapiens. Taxonomy (NCBI): domain Eukaryota; kingdom Metazoa; phylum Chordata; class Mammalia; order Primates; family Hominidae; genus Homo; species Homo sapiens. The sequence continues at coordinate 64,056,522 of NC_000011.10, read as the reverse complement.
ACCCAGGCTCCGTCTCTCCGTCCGTCTGTCTTCTCTCTAGTACAGCCTCCTGTTCCCGCAGCTGCTCCCCCTTCCTCCCCACCCTCCTCCCCTCAGGCAGCCTGGTTGGGCTGTGGGTGTAAATTTCCACTAGGAGAGGGGGCCTGTTCATTCTGGCACTGAAGCAGAGCCTGGGCGGGGAGTGGCGGGGTAGCGGGAGGAGCAGGAAGCAAAACGTGTAGGGGCTGCAGCAGGGACCCTGGAGACAGGCTGAGGCCTAGCTCCCTCAGCCTCTCCCATGGGCCCACCTGCTGCAGCTCCTCCAGGGAAGCCAAATGGGCAAAGACACCCAGGCATTTTTGCCTGCACAGCCCAAAAGATGGGAGCAAAGTGGGCGGGGGTCCCAACTGCCGGGGCTGCTTATTGCCGGGGGTGGAGCAGACTCCAAGCTCCCTTCCTCCTCCTGTCTGAATACAGCCTCCTGCCAACCCTGGCCCACAGGGAGGACAAACTGTGCTCCCATTCTGTGGACAGGAGGCCTGAGGCCCAGAGGACCGACAGCGCGTCCCTCCCAGGAGCTCCCCGGGTGCTGATACGGCTGTCGGCTGCAGGCAGCATGGCATCTGTCCCTCACCTGCTGTGCCCTGCCTGCCAAAAGCCCTGGAAGGACAATAGCAGACCCAAGAGTCACCGGCCTGGCCTGGTGCTAAGAATGGTACCCAGAAAGAGGCTGAATCCCACAAACCAGCATCCTCTGTATGAAAGGGGAAACTGAGGCAGTGCAGAGGAGCAGGGAATCCCCCTGCCACTCCCTCCCATGGCCCATCATCCATCCATCCATCCATCTGTCCACCCATCCATCCATCCAGGCTATTTATTCCTGGTCTAACATGCAGGCCCCGGGGAATAGAAGCAAAAGATGATGTCCCTGCCTCTGCTGGGCTGGCTGCCTCGTGGAGGGACAGAGAAAGTCCCCTTGTGCTCCGTGCTGGAAAGGACACCAGTGAAAGGTTCCCCCGCTCCTCTTTAGCCCCCTAATGGGGCAGGGGAGCCACTTAGGATGGGGACAAGCAGACCCTGGGCCCCAGGAGCTACCTGCCCTGCCACTAGCTCCCGTCCTGGCCTGTGCAAAGCACCCATCCCCCATCGTTTCTTGTGAATGAAGGGCAACTCCACCCACCCAGAAACCGGGCTGCTTCCAGCTGGTATTTAAAGAGGTGTCTCTGAGTGTGATGATGGCATTTGTTCCTGTCTCCCGCCCACTGCATGGTGTCCCGCTCAAGGCAAATTCGAGGCAAAGCTACTGGCTGCCCCTCACCCTGCTCCCGGCCCAGAGGAGCACCTCCTGCAGGCTGGGCTCCATGCCAGGCCCTGTGCTGGGCATGGTGGATCTGGGGACAACTAAAGCCCAGGGCTGCTCTCAGGACACACAGGTTGGCGGTGATGAGGGTCACCTTCTGGACCAGGCTGGGGGGATCTAGGAAGGCTTCCTGGAGGAAGGGCTGTCAGCATGGGAAAGAAAGGAGAAGACTGGCAGAGTCTGGATGGTAGTGGCGGTAGGAAAGGGCTGGTAGGAGATCCTGAGCCATCCTGAGAAATTCAGCGGTGAAGAGCAGGGGAGAAAGAGGGCGGTCACCAAGACAGAAAGAGTAGTGGGGGTATTTGTCACGGGAGATGCTAGAATTCCCTTAAAAGCTGGCTGGAAAGTACCACCCAAGGAAGGGGTGGCCACTTGAGGAGACAAGATGAGTGACACAGGAGGACCCATCAAGGCAGGAAGGGGCTGGCCAGGTGGGGGTTCAGGCAGGAAACAAGGAAGTTTGTTGATTTGGGAGCAAGATAGAGGGGAATGTCTTCTTCAAAAAGCAGGAGGTGAGGTTGTCTCTCTCCTCACCAAGTACTCCACCCATTTTAAAGATGAGGAAACGGAGGCCCAGGAACCGTGGCTTGCCCTGGTAGATGGACCAGCCTGGGGCCTGCTGGCTGGCTGCCACTCTGCACCCCATCAGGCACCTCTGAGCAGAGAGAAGATGCAAGGGGTGAGGGCTGCCGAGGGTACTGCACAGCGAACCCAGCACCCACTTTGTTGATATTTACTGGAAACACCCTGGATTTATAGTGCGGTGTTTGCAGAAGAGCTCAAAGCCTATCAGGCTGGCTGCCGAAAGCACTCAGTCTCCTGGAGAAGTGGCCGCTTCTTTCCTTTGCAAACTTGTTAATAATCCCCGTTGTCAGGCAGTTCTTCCTCTGTCTAACCTAAATCTCTCCTGTCATGACTTGAGCCAACTGTCTCCTGAAGCAGGCTATGGTCTGTCCTCTCAAACCTGGAAGACCTAAAGACGTCCCCAGGGAGGTTGGGGCCTCCTTTCCGCTTCCCTGCCCTGACCCTGGCTAGCCGTGGGGCTCCAGGCTCCTGCCTGGTAGAACTCAGGGGCTGTGGAGCTGGGATCCTCATCCCCATTCGCAGGTGGAGGTGACAGCTGCTTGCTGCCACCAGGGCCAGGGCCTCGCTTTCTGAACCACGTGGGAGCAAGGAGTCAACTAGATCACAGTGCAGAGCGCCCAGCACGGTGCTGGAACGCAGGAACAGCTCCGTGCCATGCAAGGATGACTCCGGGCCAGCAGAGGTGGTGGGGGGGATGACGGAAGCAACCGGGTATGCGGCCTTGCATCTTAGCCCTGCCCCTAACTCCCATGTGACCTTGAGCACTCCCCTCCCCATCTGCGGGCAGGCAAGGGGCTCGGGATGCCGCTATAGGGCTCAACCCCACTGGGCTAGAAACAACCAAGGCCCAGCAGTCCCAGAGAGCGGAAGGCAAGGGAAGGAGAAAGTAGGGGCTCCAGGCCCCTTAAGCCCCTTCCCCCAGGCAGTCACACCTGCTGAGGACCCCGCTGAGCCAGCTGCCCCCTGTAGATCCCCAGGGTAGGGGCCCCACATCCCTCCCACTTCCTGCTCCCACTCTGGCCCTTGTGTGCTGTGGTGTCTGAGTCCAGGGTTGTCCCTACAGCCTCAGACCAGCCTTGCCTCCCCAACCCAGGCCTGGGTTCCTGGCCACACTCCCATCGGGGCCACAGACATCCCCAGCCCAGCCTAACCCTGCACCTCAGTGCCCCTGGAGGGAGGGCCGGCCTCTAAGTACAGATCTGCAGGAAACCATGGGCTGTGACAGCCCCAGTTAACAGAGCCCAGCCTGCTTAATCTGCTTCATTAAAGGCACTAATTAATTGGCTTAATTAAAAGGGTAACCTCAAAGCCAGGAAAACTACCTCCTAACGAGGCCCAAGGTGTACTGAGGCACCAGCCTAGCAGCTAAAGAGGGGAGCCTCACCCCACCCTGCTCCCCAGCACGCCCACCCCAGGGCCCCAAGCCCAGCCCCAGCTCTCCGTCTGGGGCCCGCATGAGCCTGGTGACTGCACCTTCTTGGTCCCTGCACACCCCTCAGGCAGGCCCAGCGTGCTGGAGGGAATCAGAAGCCCCACATTCGGAGGCTGCAGCGCACTGTTTGGCTGCAGTTGAGAGCCCGGGGTGTAAGCAACCGAATGTAATTATACCCAAGCACAGGCAGGTTGCAGCCAGGGGTGGGGAAAGAGAGATGGCCCTGACCGTGAGGCCAAGCCTGGCCATACTGTGCCTATCTGGAGGGTAGCTGGGTGGAGTAGTGGTGGGCTCTGGCAGGGGCATAATTAAAGCTGCTGGCACCACGGCAGAACCCCACCTGGGCAAAGGGCCCCTGGACCACCAGCTTCCATGATCACAAAGTTCTGGAGTCAGGAGAATCAGGTTTACATCACAACTCCACCCCTAGAAGCTGGGAGGTTGTGGCAGGCTACTTGGCTTCTCTAAGCGCCATTTCCTCATTTGCAAAACACTATCAGGGATGCCCAGGTCAGTTGCCCTCCCAGGTGGGCCCTCCCTGGACTCAGCAGGAGACAGGGCTGGGATTGATTAGCCATGTCTGCCAAGAGCAGCGGGTGAGGAGTGGAAGCTCAGATACTGTCCTGCTCCTGACCATCCTGCCAACCTCAGAAGGGCTAACTTCATGTCAACATTTAAACCTTCCCACAAGCTTGGCCCAGGCCTGCCCCTGTAGTCCCAGCAACTGGGGAGAGAGACTAAGATGGAAGATCGCTTGAGGCCAGGAATTTGAGTCCAGCCTGGGCAGCCTAGTGAGACTCCCATCTCTTTAAAAATTTTTAAAAACTCTTTCCAGGGTCACAGGGAAATAATTCTCACAACTTCTCACATTGTTTCAAGGCCTCACAGCAAAAAAAGTTGTTTTTTTTCCCCCACCCCGACAATGCTTATTTGGGCTTCCTACCACCCTTCTAGATTTAGAACTGAGCATCCCTGGTTTGGCACCGGGGCTCTGGGTGCCTTGTTGGGAGCCATCTTCTGGCCCCAAGGCCACTCTTTCTCACTACAGGGAGGAGGGCCAGGGCTTCCTCCAAGGGATTTGCTCCAATGCAGGGACTCTGCCTTCCTCCTTCCCAAAATGCCCCCCTAGATACCAGCCAAGTTCATTAGCAAGCCCCCAGCTCTCGCCTGGACCCCCTCTCATCCAAGCAGGAATGGCACAAACACATAACACTGTCCGGGCACCAGTGGCCTTGGAGTATCCAGTCTCTACCTCTCTTGCAGCCCCCGAGAGAGGAAAGGCAGGACCCCACGATGGGACGGCCATGGCCCCCAATATCCAGAGGATCCCAGCTAGGCCTTGAGGTCCCTGGGGGTGGACAGGCAATGAAGCCATGGGCAATGGGCACCCTCAGAAGTTGTCCTGAGAGGGACTGGGCCGCAGGGCTATCTGGCCAAACCACTGTTCAGGGAGGAGCTCACCAACCTCGGCCCCTGCCCCTATAAGCTCCGGGCCGTGAGCTCGGAGAGGGCTGATGTACACACTGCCACCAGCCCACTGCCCGCTCCACGCAGGAATGGCGGTGGTGGCACAAGGCCGTCTGTCAGACCCGGACAGATTTAGTCTCTGCACAAACAGCTGTTAGCCTGCCCGGCCGACAGCTCTGCCGCCCAGGAGCCAGGAGCGAGGCTTCCGAGAGGGTGCCCCCGCCCCACAACAATGAGACTCAATCAGTGCCACCCTGGGGAGGGTGGGTCCGCCATCACTGTCACCACTGAGTGTCAGGCCAAGCCGCCAGAGTCCCTGCTGCCTCTCTAGCTCGTGACCACACGCACCCACCCCACCACATCAGCACCCAGAGGGCCGTCAAGGCAGGTGTCTGCCCAGAGCTACTTCAAAAGAGGGACCAGCCCCTCCCCTCCCCTGATTGGGCACCTACGTGGGGTAAGGCTGCTGCCCACATCATCCTGTCTTGGCACCCCTGGCCCCATGTCACAGATGACAAAACTGAGGCCTAGTAAGGTGGCTAGGTGAGTGGTCAGGGGGCCTCAAACCTGGGGCTTTGGGGGCTGCACCCACAGGCAGCATCCATGGAGTGAATCTCTCCTCCAGATCGGTGGGGCACAATACTTGAGCCTCAATCCTTGGAATTTACCAGGCTGTCCCCCTGGGCAAGGCTGGTCCAGAGGATTCAGGAGTGGGGCTCAGGGGACAGGCCTGGCTGCCTGCAACAAGAAAGTCTTGGAGGGTCAAGAAAAGCAAGGCTGTGGCCGGGCGCGGTGGCTCAGGCCTGTAATCCCAGCACTTTGGAAAGCCAAGGCAGGCGGATCACCTGAGGTCAGGAGTTCGAGACCAGCCTGGCCAACATGACAGAACCCCATCTCAACTAGAAATACAAAAATTAGCGGGGTATTATGGCATGCGCCTGTAATCCCAGCTACTCAGGAGGCTGAGGCAGGAGAATCGCTTGAACCCGGGAAGCAGAGGTTGCAGTGAGCCATGATCGCGCCACTGCACTCCAGCCTGGGCGACAAGAGTGAAAGTCAGCTGGGCCATGGTCACTGCTGGGTCATGGTCACCGCTGGACAGCCCTCACTGTGTGCCAGGCCTGTCCTTAGCGCTGTGAGGGAGGGCTGTCCTCACCAGGTGACCCTTGGGAACAGAAGCAATAGAGGGTATGGGGGCTGAAGCATCCATGGCCACACAGCCAGGAAGGGGCAGAGTGGAAGCAGTGCCCGGGCATCTGGGTCCCCACCACTGTCACACTGAGGGCTGGCCAAGGGCCTGGCCCCAGGACCCCTACGTGTCCAGCTGCCCCTAGGTGGCCTGCACATTTCAGAAGGGTCAGTGGGAAGAGCACTAAACTCAGTCAAGCTCTGGGCCTCGTGGTAGCTGTGAGTCCTGGGGAGCCACTCATCTCTCGGGGTCTCAGGTCCCTCCTCTTGTGGGGATGGGTCATCGGCCCTCCCTGCATCCCCAGGCTGGGGTCTAGGGAGGGAGGGATGGGTGGAGGGAGAGGTGGGAGTGGCAGGGTGAAGACGGAGCCTGCACCCGGCTTCCCTGTGGGGCATAAGGACCGAGGGCCTGGTTTCCCAGCCTCCGGAGAGATCTCGAGGGAAGAGTAGGCCATCACCCTCATCATCACTTTACCAGGCCATTTCTTATTAATATTAATAGCATTATTTATAATATGGCATCCAGGCCTGGGCTGGCTCTGTGCGATCGCTAGGCCAAGAGGGCTCTGAGAGAGGTTTGGCCTCCCCCCCGGGGCCACAGCGTCTTGGTCTGGGACACAGCCTTTCTAGAACAGAGCTGGGGGATGGTGGGGTGGATCACAGCTCAGCCAGGCCCCAGCCCTAGCAAGCAGGGAGTCTGCAGAGACGACTTCACTTGTGGGTCCCCCACAGGCTGGCGCCCATTTCACAGATGGAGAAACCGATCCCCCTCAGGATGAGAAGGCAAGACACTGGGCTCTGGGGTGTGCAGCCTGCCCCGCAGATCACTGAGCTGTCTGTCTGCACCCCCAGCGTCCACCCCCTTCAGCAGGCACCTCCAACCCTGAACCATCAGGATGTCTGTGCGGGAGTCAGCAGGTCCTGCAGGACAGGAAGCCAATAGAACCAGCTGAGCTCGGAGACCAAGACCGCTTGGGGAGGCTGACCTTGGAGGTGTGGCCTGGGGAAGGGGCCTCAGTTTCCTCATACCTCCCCCATAAGGTTGTGAGGATGAAGCGAGTCATGCGGGTAATGCTCAGAACTGGGCCCAGCGCACAGGAAGTGCTCAGGGGGCCTGCTGACCTCCCTGCCCAGGACTGGCCGTGGGCACCGCTGTGAACAGCACAGCCTTTGGGCATCGGTAGGACCCTGTTCAATCCCCAAGGCTTTGGGGATCCTGGGCCAGTCCCTTTTTCGCTTCTCTGTGCCTCAGTTTCCTACTACACAATGGGGTGTTAACAAACACAGTGGTCTCTGGGGGTCCTTCCAAGAGTGGGACTATGAATGGGGTGGCTCAGCCCTGAAGTCCCCCAGACCTCTCAGGGGCTCTGTCACTTTTCCTCCACTGTTCCCCACTCCAGTGAATGTAATACCTCACCCACAAAGTGCAGGCAAAGGCCCCACCCCCTGAAGGACAAATATGTGATCTGCCTATCACCCACACTCAGGGCAGGAGGCAGCCGGCACCCCAGTCTGTCTCTCTGAGCATCAGTTTCCTTGGCTCTAAAATGGGATGACAGGCTCTCCCTCACACCAGACTGCTTTGAGGGTCTGGCGAGCTGGCTGGGAGCTCTGTGGGGACAGGGCAAGGGCGGCTTTGGGTTTGCACCATGGGATGGCCCTGGTGCCTGGCCCACCTCGGGTGCTTGGTGGGGATAGCAGCCCCTGGGGCTCAGAATGGGTTCTGGAGTGGGATCCAGCTCCGCCCTTAGAGTTATGGGATCTGGGTTGAATTTCCTAACCCTGCAGAGCCTTGGTTTTCTCATCTCTAAAATGGAGCAAAAACTGCAGGCACTTTGTAGGGCTGCTTTAAGGAATCGGTGATGACGCATAAAGTGCTTAGCGGCAGGAACAGTAAGAATTCCGCTGGGGCTGCAGCCCCTGCTGCCATGACTGTTATTAACCATCCTGCTTGACTTCTGCACCTCTCCAAGCCTGAGTCAGGCCAAGGACTAGCCTCCTCCATGGCTGGATCTGGGAGCTGGAAGGGCTCCTGGGTCCCTGGCAACCACAGCCTGGCAACACAGGCCACACCCGTCCCAGGCCAACGGAGGGTCCAGGGCAGACCCTCCCCGGGAGGCCCCCAGCCTCCACAGACAAGGGCCTCTGTCCTGCTGACCCCGGGTCAGGGCAGGGACAGTGCACTGGCACAAAGGCTGGGCTCTGTCTGCACCTCCCATGGGGGCAGCTGCCCATGGCAGACTCTCCTGCCACAATGAGGCCTTTGAGTAGCTGCCGGCGGGAGCTGAGCTCTCCTCGAAGGCCCCCGGCTCTCACAAGCCCTGTCTGTCTGAGAGGCCAGTGGGCCAGAGAGGCAGCTGTCGTGGGGGCAGGGCCCCTGCCCGGCCCTGCTTCTGGGCCCACTGCCTCCCGCCGGCCAGGGCAGGCTGCAGGCCTGAGAGCCAGGCTGGGCCTCAGGCGGGCAGGGCCTGCCAGCATCCCCACTCTGAAGTGGTGGCTCAGGCCCAGCACACAGGGCACTGGGAAAGCTCCTATCCACCATCAGGGTCCCAGGAAGTTGCTGCAGGGCTGGGGCTCTGCTTTCCTGCTTCCTTCCTTTTTTTTTTTTTTTTTTGAGACGGAGTTTCACTCTTGTCACCCAGGCTGGAGTGCAATGGCACGATCTCAGCTCACTGCAACCTCTACCTCCCAGGTTCAAGCGATTCTCCTGCCTCAGCCTCCCGAGTTGCTGGGATTACAGGCACCTGCCACCATGCCCAGCTAATTTTTGTATTTTTGGTAGAGAAGGGGTTTCACCACGTTGGCCAGGCTGGTCTCGAGCTCCTGACCTGAGGTGATCCATCTGCCTCAGGCTCCCAAAGTGCTGGGATTACAAGCATAAGCCACCGCGCCCGGCCTTCCTTCCCTCTATTAACCTCAGTTTCCTCATCTGTAAAATGGAGCCTCTAAGTACATCTGGGCCACTGTAAAGATTAAATGTGATCCTCTGTGAATGCCAGGCAGGTGAGGAGGGCTCAGGGAATGCCAAGCTGGTCACTCCTCCACCTGCTTTACGGCTGCTGGGGGTGAAACGGAACAGGACAGGGACCCCATGGCATGGACCTGGCTTTATCTCCTCCGATTGCTGGGTGACCTTGGCCCAGTGACTGAACCTCCCTGAGCCTCAGGTTTCGCCTTCTTAAAATGGGCTCACGCTACCCACTCCCAGGGCTGTTGTACAAAGAAAGCCATTTATCTCGGGCCAGGAAGGCTTGCTGGGAGGAGTTGAGGAATCTGACTGGTTCCACAGTTCAGCAGCACCTCTCTGGGGCAGGGGAGGGGAGGGGGGCACCACAGGTGGGTGGAGGCAGGCAGTGCCACCTGCACCGCCTTTCATGAGGCAGCCAATGTCGGGGAGTGAGGGTGGCCTTCCAGACACAGGGAACAGCACGTCGAAGGCTCAGAGGTGTGAGCATGCTAGCCGGGGGGGGCACTGGGGCGAGGCTGGTGCATCAGCCAGGGCCATGCTGGGAAGGTCTGAAATGCCAGGCTGAGGGCGCTGGACTTCTCAGGAACTAGAGAGCCACTGATGGTCTCAGAGCTAGTGCGTGACTTGACTGAATTCAAGTGTTTTAAAATGTCCGGCAGTATCTGGCTAGAGGATGGGGAGAGGCAGGGATGGGGAAGACTTCACATCACACCATGAATTCCTCCACAGCTTAAAGAACGGGCCAGGCCAGGCGCAGCGGCTCACGCCTGTAATCCCAGCACTTTGGGACGTTGAGGCAGGCGGATTACTCAAGGTCAGGAGTTCAAGGCCAGCCTGACCAACATGGTGAAACCCTGCTTCTATTAAAAATACAAAATTAGCTGGGCATAGAGGCACACGCCTGTAGCCCCAGCTACTTGGGAGGGTACATGATCTTGTCCTCTAGCCTGAGCGACGAGAACAAAACTCCGTCTCAAAAAGAAAAAAAGAACGGGCCAATCAGGAGTGTGCATGAAGCTGACCTGGGCTGGAGCACAGCGCAGGGTCCCAGACAAAGGCCAGCACTGTCTGGGGTCCAGGGCAAGGGTAGGACCCAGCTCCCTCCTGTCCCCTTGGGCAGCCTCGCACCCCAGCACAGGGGACACTTTGGGAACCCAGGGCCAGCCTGGCTCCACCCTGCCTTTGTCACCTCTGTAAGCCTCTGTTTCCTCATCTGTGCCCCACCAGGCTCTAGTAGCAACTAAGTTTGCTACTAGAAGGTTCTGCAGGAGGTGGCCCCTGTCCCTCTTCTGGGGCTTCCTCACTTTGGATGAGAGGGACTGGGGACCCAGTGGGAGTCGGCTGCTCTGGAGAACAGAGGCTCAGGAGGCCAGAGGCAGCACCCATGCTAAGAGAAGCCGGGTTCCCATCCTACCCCTGCCGCTCAGAACCTGTGTGACCTGTGTGACCTTGGCTGCCTGTAACTCAGTTTCCTCATGTGTAAAAAGGGAATAATAACAGTATCACTGCCCACTTATGGGGATTAAATGAGATACAGTACTGTACGTGACATGTTTAGCACACTGCAGGTCCACAGTGAGTGCTCAGTCATGTTACCCAGTGTCACTGCTGTTATTGTTTTAAGAGATGGGGTCTCGCTATGTTGCCCAGGCTGGTCTCAAACTCCTGGCCTCAAGCCATCCTCCTGCCTCAGCCTCCCAAGATGCTGGGATTACAGGTTTGAGCCAGCATGCCCACCTGTTATTACTATTATTGTTAGTTCTGAATTCCTTCTCATCCCCCAGAAAAGTGAGGTCTATTTCTGGTTTTTGGCATCCAGGGGTACAGTGGCTTATGCAACCACATGGCTGGCCAGCAGCAGGGATGTGCGCCTGCCTTTGAGACCCCAGGAGCAGTCTCTCCAATCTGTACCCTCAGGACGCAGCAAGGTGGCTACCCCAGCTGAACGCCGCTGCTCCCTCGGCAGACCCTCACCCCCTACCTACCAAATTGGGTCCCATAAGTGACCCAGAGGCTGGGATAGGGGTGGTAGAGCCCCCTCTCCAGCTGCCCCACGGCAGGGCCCACGCTGCAGAAACCAAGCTGAGTAAATAATGACATTTCCTCCTCTCTCCTGCGCTCTTCACCCCTTTCCCTTCCACAAATAAATTATCAACATGCCCAGGTCCCGGCGGAGCAGAGCATAACTCGGGGAACAATGAAAAAGCTTTTAATAGGATTCCAGGAGCTGCTGCCACTCGCTCAGGGGCCCTAATGGAGATTGCTCTGTGACGGCAGGCCGCCAGCACCCTCCCGGGCCCCTTCGCCCACCACCCGCCCCACTCCTCCCGAGGGCACCAGCGGGCAGCGAGGCCCAGCTGGGCCACCTGCTGACGTCACAGGCCAGCATCTGGGCTGCAGAAAAGCACTCGGCCGAGGCAGAAGCACATGCCACCCACCACATGCACCCGGACTGCTCCCCCTCAGCCCGCACAGGCCTGACTGCTCACAATGCCTCTGCCAAGGCTGTTCCCCTCCAGGAATAATGCCCTCCCACCTGGCTCCAAAGTGCAAATGACACCTACCCTATGAGGCCTTCCCTGATTCCTCCCTGACACATGTGTTAAATGACATCACCTACTGTCAGTACCAGCCCCAGGCCCAGCACACAGTGGGGCCTCAGGAAACGAAGGCAGAATCCAGGCAGGGAAGAGGAAGTATGAGGCTCTTAGACCACAGGAGACAGCTCAGAGGTCCTGGGCAGGTCCCCAGCTTGGGGAGGGGTCTGGTGAGGGGGGAGCATGACAGATACCAAAGCTCAGGTGCTGGTGACCTCAGGCAGTTACCTGCCATCTCCATGCCTCAGTTTCCCATCCTCCTTTGTAAAGGACCCAAGTTCACCCTAATGAACGTGGTTCCCCTTCCTCTGTGTGACCTTGGGCAAGTGACTTTGCCACTCAGTGCCTCAGTTTACCCCTGGGGTAAAATCAGGATAATAATAGTGCCTACTTCAGAAGTTGCTGGGAGAGCAGGCGCAGTGTCTCACACCTGTAATCAGGAGGCCAAGGCGGGAGGATCGCTTGAGGCCAGGAGTTCAAGGCCAGCCTGGGCAACATAAGGAAACCCTGTCTCTGCCAAATTAAAAAATTAGCCAGTGTGTTGGTGCGTGCCTGTAGTCCGAGCTATTCGGCAGGCTGAGGTGGGAGGATCACTTGAGCCCAAAAGTTAGAGGCTGCAGTGAGCTATGATTGCACCACTGCACTCCAGCCTGGGCGACAGAGCAACACTCCATCTCAAAAAAAAAAAAAAAAAAGTTGTTGGGGGAACTGCCAACCACCAGGTACATAGTAAGTGTGATATAAATGTCAGCTACTATTGCTGTGTTGATTACTCTCATGTGTTGTAGGCTGAGGGGGTTACGAGCATATGCTTTAAGATGCCATGTCCTGGGCCGGGCACAGTGGCTCACACCTGTAACCGCAGCACTTTGGGAGGCCGAAGTGGGTGGATCACCTGAGGGTCAGGAGTTCGAGACCATCCTGCCTAACATGGTGAATCCCCGTCTCTACTAAAAATATGAAAAATTAGCCCGGCGTGGTGGCGGGCACCTGTAGTCCCAGCTACTTGGGAGGCTGAGGCAGGAGAATAGCTTGAACCTGTTGCAGACAGAGGTTGCTGTGAGCCCAGATTGCACCATCGCACTCCAGTCTGGGCAACAAGAGCGAAACTCCGTCATAAAAAAAAAAAAAAGATGCCATGTCCTGGCTACGTGACCTTGGTCCAATCACTTTACCTGCCTGAGCCTCAGTTTTCTCTTCTGTGCAATGGGGCTGTTGTGAAGCCTCAGTGGGATTCTGCAAGGTAGAGTCCTTAGCATGGTGCTCTATGAAATATGCATTGTATGCAGTAAACACTCAATAATGACCTCTCTGCCACCCTTAATGAGCAGAAGGTGACATTTGAGCCCCATGCTTTCCCTTTCCACGATTTGACCTCTTGCCCTTCCCACACCTGCTGCCTCCTAACCCTTGCTGCTCTCCAGAGCCCTCCAGAGCTCAGCTCTCCCCAGCTCCCCCAGGAGTCACCCACACCTCAACTTGCCCTTTTGTCACAACCAGGCGTTTAGAGTCCACTGCTCCCTGATGCATTCCACCTGCTACTGCATGGGCCCCAGACCTCGGGGCTCAGCAGTGCCCCACAAGCCTTCCTGCCAGAGAGGGTGGGGTCCTGAGGGCGGAAAGCTAGCCTGTACAGCCCCTCTCCAGCCCCTGAGCTCCTCAGAGCCCCGAGCAGGGTGATTATCCCAGCACGTGTCTGGCGGGGCCTGTCCAATGATCCAAAGTAACTACTGGTTCCCACAAAGCCCTTCTGTGGACACAGTCACATGGAGTCTTCATGCTAACCCTGGGATGTCAGCACGTATGCCATCATCCTGTTTCACAGGTGTGGAGACAGAGGCACAGAGAGGGGACGTGAGGCGTCCAGGGTACTCAGATGATAAGTAACAAAGGTGGGCTTCGAGCCCAAGTTCATCGACTCCAGAGCTTTCATTTCATAGCCCTTCTGCCCCAGAATGTGTCCTGACTACCACATGGCACTGGACAGGGCGTGTCTCCACTCTGTGCCTCAGTCTCCCTGCTCTCACAGTGGGAAGAAGATAAACCAGGCAGAGCTTGTCAAGCCAGAAGCCCCTGGAAACTGGGGTGTGGCACTACCCAGCCCCTCTGGCTAGCCCAAGCCTGGTGGGGGTCTCAGGGCTCAGAGCCATGGTGCTGCTCTGAGTGGCAGCTACTAGGGACCTAGTGGTCCAACCCCTTGTCCAGAAGTAGTGGGAAACTGAGGCATGAAGCACCCCACTGTGACTGGGGGATCAGGGGAGTGTTGTCTATCTCCCTGGGACCGGTAGACAGCCTAGGAGGCATGCAGCCCCAGTGAGGCAGGGAAGGGCTTCCAAGACCCCCACAGGCCTGGCCACCAGGCCAGCCCCCCATTGGCTAGCCAAGGGGGTGGCCCTACCCAGAGCCTACCTGACTGCTGGCTCCCTGGGGTCAAAGGTTACGCTGCAGGGCTGGCCATCACAGGGCCTCCTCTATTGGAGCAGGGCTTAGGGGAGGGGCTGTCACTCCCACTTCTCATTCCTTCACACCCCCCCATTCCCCAGAGAGGGGTCCAGGCCTGGGCAACAGATGGCCACTGTCTGGGGGCAGGAAGGGCAGGGGACTGCACGGGAAGGGTGGGGCAGCCACTCCAGCCCCTTCCTCGTGGCAGCTTCCAGAGGTGGGGGTGAGATGTGGGCTTCATTCACCTCAGAGCCTGGCTCAGGCTGGCTCAGGGAAGACAGGAGAGGAAGGTGGGTTAGGTGTGAGCATGTGTGTGCAAGAGTGTGTGCATGAAGGTGCATGTGTGCCCACCAGAGGTGTGAGCGTGGTGCACATCTGTCTCCCCCTCCCGCCTGGTCCCACTGGACTGGGCCACCGCCACCTTCCCTGTGGCCAGCTCCAGGCCTGGCCCACCATGGCCGCTGCCCGAGAGAGTGAGTGAGCGAAGAAGGAAGGGTGGGCCCCTAACTGCCCCCCACTGAACCCAAGTCCCCACTCAGGGTGGGGCAGCCCAGCCCAGGCTAGGAGCCCAGGGGCTCTCAGCCCACCGAATCTCACTCCTGTGCTTTAACTGGGCGGGGCACCCTCAGCCTTGAGGTGAAACTCCCGTGACCCTCTGCGACTTGCCATGTCCCTAGGGCCAGACACCCACCCCCTAACAGCCAGATTCCCTGAACCAAAGCCAGGCCCCCTCTGGTCTGACCAGAGAGAAGTGGAATTGGATCCAAGACCCAAGATGCTATGTCGCTTGAGAGAGCTCAGTCCCTCGGATTTTGTCCCTAGGAATCCTGATGGGCAGGCTGGACCCTCCACTGCCACCACACCAGCTCCCGAGGCGGTCATTCGGTCCTGGCTGCACCCCTTTTTCCATTCATTCATCTGTTCACTCGCTCTGCCCTACACGAAGCCCCACCTCTGCGACCACTCAGAACCAGCCAGGTGTCCCCCAACACACCCTCCAGAGCAGCCCCGGGCACCCTCCTCACTCCCCTGAGCTCTCCTCTCCTCCTCAGCCCCTGGCTGACCTCCCCCAGGAAAAGCCCCTCCTGGTTCCAGCACCCGGCAGCATTTTTGAGGACATTTTCCCGAGCAGCATTTCCCAGGCGTCACGGGGGGTGGAGGGGTGGGGGGCAGCAGGAATGGTTCAAGAAGAGCAATTTGCTTCTGGAGATAAATGCCGGCTCCTCACGGAAGGCATTCCCTCCTTTCTTTTCTCTCTTCCTCTCTCGCTCATGCTTTTTTTTTTTTTTTTTTTTTTTTTTTTTTACAGTTTGCTAAATCTGTTGTAATCTGGTGCCAACGATTAATTCAGGCAGAAGGAGGGAAAGGGGCGTGAAAAAAATACTGCCACAGAGCTGCCTCTGGAGAGTGACGCGGGCAGGAATGGCCAGGACTAGCGCCCCGTGACCCCAGTTTTAATCCCAGTTTTAATTAAGTATAAGCCATCCCCAACCAGCCCGGCCACTGCCTCCCTGCCAGCCAGACAATAGACCCCGTCTGCCCATGAGGATGCCCTTTGACCCCTTGAAGCAGAGCCTGCCACACCTGGGGCCTGGCCGGACGTCGGATGCCTGGGTCCTGCGGTCTGCCTGGGAGGCAGTGTCCCCTAGTGGCTAGCTGAGCCCCATACAGCCGGGTCCGGGGCCCTCCAGGACACAGCCCCTTCACTCCCTTCTCCCTCTGCCTGCACCCCAGCCCACTTCCCTGCACCGGGAACATTCAGGGCTGGGGAGGGTTTCTGCGGACTCTCCTTCATCACTAATAGCTCTCGGTCCACCCAGGGCTACCGCCCCCGTCATAAACAAGCCCACATTTGTCTCACAGCCCATCAGATGCTGGGGCAACCTGTCTACGCAGGTGAACACACAGCTCTCGGGAAAAGGGGACCTGGCATCCCGGGCCTAGGAAGCCCACTCTTCCAGAGGCCCATCTGCAAGGACAGGCAGAGGGTCCCTGAGGCAGACCCAGGAATCCTGAGAGAGCTGGGGATGGATGGGCCACAGAGACCCAGGGAGACAGCCCACCAGCCCCAGCCCTGGCCGGGTGCCTTGAGCCCCTCTGCCCTCCTGCCGGGGGTCTCCATGCAGCCCTCTCCATCCATCCTGTCCTCCAGGCCCTTGTTTCTGTCCCTGCCCTTCCCTGGCTCCAGCTCACTCTTCATGTCTTAAGCACCCCCTTCCCTGGGAAGTCCCCCTCAATCCCACCCCTCAGCAGGCCCCTCTGTTACTTGACCTCACCACTTTGCGCCTTCAGAGCCAAGGCTTCACGGGGAAGAGGTAGATCTGACTAATGTCTGACACCACATCTGACTGGAAGCGCCCTGAGGGCAAGACACCCACTGCTTTTGTTCCCCACTTTTGTCCCAGAGCCCAGCACTGTGCCTGGCAATAACTAATGCTCAATGATTATCTCAAGAATGAATGAATGAATGAATGAATGAGCAGGAAAGGAGGGAAGGAGTGAGGGAAGGGAAAACAGAAGAGCCAGGGAGCCAGGCGTGCCAGAGGAGCACTGGTGGGCCAGCCCATTTATCCTCCATGGCTTCAGCCCCAAACTCCCACCCATCCTCCTCCCTGTCCTCTCCCCCACCCTCACTAGCCACCAGCTCTGCAGGTTGTCATTTTAAAACCCAGGGCTGCAGGAATCCAGCAAACAACCTCCACAAAGCAAGGAGAGGCCCCCAAACCCTGACATCATCTGCAGAGCCGCTGGCCCCGGGGAGCGGCAGTGCTCTGGGGGCCTCGAGCGATGGTAAACAGGCAAACACAGGCCTGCACAAACACAGCCTGCTCCATGGAACCCTCTTGGTGTCTCCAGCTGCTGCCAGAGAACTCCAGGCAGGCTGTCCGGGGGGAGGAGGGCAAAACAGGGGTGCTGTCCTTTTCCCGTCTCCTCCCGGCCATCCAGTCTGCCCCACACCACAGCCCTGGCCCTCTCAGGGTGAGTGTCCCATGGCAGAGGACAGAATGCAGCTGCCTCGTGGGCCAGCCAGAGCCTGAACTTTGTCTCCGGCAGAACAACACAGGTTCTGAGGAGGGACCCCCCGCTACCACCCGACCTCAAACACACTTGGAAGGCAGTACACCGGGGGCAGCAGCCAGGGCCTGGGGCCTGGGCCTCCCAGAGGCTGGCGCTCTCCTCTGCCAGTGAGCAGGGAAAGCTACCCCCGGGGCAGTCCCCACCCACCCCACTATAGGCAGTTAGCACCCTCGCCACACCCACGCCCCTTCTTGTCCACCCACGCTCGCTCACCCACATGCCTCACGCACCCCATCCTATAAGGGGCCTCAGCAAAAGCCCTCCAGCTCCCCCTTGCTCTGGGGCATTTCCCACTGCCCCTTGGGCCAGGTACCAGAGTGGATGGCCCCTGCCTGCAGGGGATGAGGGCCACCTCAGTCCTCCCTGCCACCCCAAGGCCTGAAGAAGCTGAAAGCCCTTGGCCCACAGTGAACGAGGGGTGTAGACTAGGCAAGGGCCCCACATTGCTAGGCATGAACTCTGCTAGAAACCTCATACGCATCCTCTCAACGTGGGTGCCTCCCCAAGGTAGGTACTGCTGTTACCCCACCCTACAGATGAGGAAGACGGGTCACTTGCCGAAGGTTAGCAGGCCAGGTAGAGAAACCCTCCCCAGGAACCGAAAGTCCTTAGGACCCTGTGATGGCATTCTAGTGTCCCAGGAACACAATCAACAGGGATGACTAGGTGGTTGATATCATTTCCAGACTCTAGAGCAGAAGGGCCAGCACAGCCAGACCCACACAGTCCCATACAGGCCCCATCTCTGAGATCAGGCCATGTCCAGCCCTGATTCTGGGGATGTCTGGCTGGCTGGGGAGGGGGCTGCTAGCCCCATGACTGGGCAGAGGTGGCTGTGCCCAGCTAGATCCTGGAGGCCTCATCCTCCCCCTGCACCAGAGCAGCCACTTGACAGCTGCCCCCGTGCTGGCCTCTGGGCTCTACACCCACCTCTCCGTCCCTCAACACCCGCAGGGTCAAGGCCACCTGGAGCCCTAGTCCTCTCAGCTAACTTCGAAGCAAGCACAGATGCCACCTGCTCATGTGTGCACTGCCCTTCCCTGCACCCACACGCAGAACACCCAGACATCCTCTCTGTGGGACAACTGCTGTAAACCCCTGCGCAGGCAAGGAAGCCGGTCCCAGAGGGGAGGCTGCAGGCCCAGGGTCACCCAGTGAATGCGACACAGGCTCAGCCACCAGGCATGAATCTCTACAGAGCTAAGTCTGTACACCTCTGGCAGTGGGTGACCAGTGGGATGGCAGCACCCCCTCCCCATCACCTCCTTAGAAACAGCTGGGCGGACCTCCCAGGGGCTTTCATGGGAGGCCTCGGAGATGGGGAGGAGGGGACACAGGGCGCTGCCACTGAGGGCCAGCGTGAGGATGAAGTCCAGTGACAGCACACTGGCTGGTGGTGGGAAAATCCGACCCCCCGACCCTCTGAAGTCCCTGCAGATACCCTCAGCCCTTGAGAATCCTCCAGTCCAGGAGCAGGACCACTAACAACATGCGTCAAATGCACTTACAAAGCAGCACCCTGGCTCAGGCTCAGGAGGTGGCACTATCAATCCCATTTTACCAACAAGGGAAACTGAGGCACAGGGAGGTGGAGGGACCAATAAATGGTAGAGTGCGGATGCACAGACCCAGGTCTAGGTGAAGTCCAGCAGGCCACAGCTGCCTTGGGGGTGTGGGCTACGGAGCCTCCATGCTGGGGTCAGGGTGCTTTTTACTGAAGAGTATCCAGTCTCTGTGTCTGGGAAAGAACATGGGACTGGGTGCGCACACACACACACACCCTGTGCCCATGGCCGACCCTTCAGCCAGATATGTGACAGCCCTCAGCTCTTCCTGCCCCTCACACCTACCAGGGCCCCCTCACTGCTGGCCCAGCTAGGCAGCGTCCCCTCCCAGGCACGGGCCCTGTCAGCTCAGGCCATTTCCATTTTAAACCTTCTGAGGAAGCCCTGAACAGTCGCCCACGGAGTCAGCACCAGCTGACAGGTGATGTCTGCGCCTCTCCTCCCGGGGCTGGCGGAAGAGATGCAGTAGCTTTCAACTCCAGAAACTGGAATCTGGAGCCCCTGAGCGCGGCGGCTGCCTCCCCCGCGGCCGCCGGGCAGAGACAGGGTGCCTCAGCCACCTCCCTCCACAGTGGCATCGTGGGTCCCCCCCACAGACAGCCTCCTTCCTAACTCCTGAGCCACCTGGGGAGGGGGATGTGGAGGGGCTGGTTTCCATCCAACCCGAGGGCGTAGGGGCCGCGGTGAGGCAGGGCTGTTCTCAGTCACCCCTCACCTCCGTCCCCAGCCTTGGCTGTATTTATTCACATCAGAGCTCTGGCTTGGGCCTCGGGGGCCTGGCACACCCCAGCTGGGCTGTATTCTCTCAAAACTGCCCACCCTGGAGGGCCTCGAAGACCTCCCGGGGCCACCGGGAAGGCTGTGGCAGCTCCCTGGTGTCCCTGTTCCACAACTTTCTCCTCCTCGGGGAGCTCTGATCAACCACGGTTCCCTGCAGCTGGGCGACAACACTCCCCAGCCTTCCTCCCCGGGGTCTCCAGTGCCCGCGAGGAGGGGCGTGCGCCGCCGGGTCGGGCCGCCTCCTTGTCTTGAGAGCTGGGGGATGGGGGGTGCCCGCCGCCCCCCGCCCAGGCACCATGGTCTCACCGTTCCAGCCGCCAGGTGTACGGCCCCAGCCCCCGCCCGGCTCAGGGCTGACGGTCCACAGCGCGCACAGGGAGGGAAGTTGGAGGCTGCTCATGCCCCCCTTGAAGTCGTTTTAAAAATAAAACCTCGCTCCAACCGTGACTCACGCGGCTGGTGGGGACGGGAGCGCGGCGCCCAGGCCGGCCGGCTGTCCCTGGCCGCGCGCCCTCCTCCGGTTCCCGAGTGCGGGAGCTGGGACCCACATGACCGGCCTGACGCCCCCCACGGGCCAGGCCCCCTCCCTGGGGGGTGCAGCGAGGGCTTGGACTAGAGCTCCAGCTGAGCCCCCGCCCTTTCCAGCCTCGGCTCGGGAGAGCTGAGCCGCCGGCCGCGCACCCCGCGCCTCCCCGCGGCGGGGCCAGCGCCACCGCTACTGGTGCTTGGCTCTTGACTCAGGGACCCCCACCCCAAATCCCAAAGGCTGGGCGTCCCATCTCCCGCCGCTCTGGGGCAAAGCCAGGCTGCCTGACCCCGTGGCGCTTCGGTGCCCCCGGGCCCCCGGCCCCCGCCCCGTCGGCTCTGGCGCCCTGTCCCAGACGCGCGGACCCCGACCCCCGCCCGGTGCAGCCAGCCCTACCTGCGCAGCGGCCGGGGAGGCGGGTCTCCTCGGGAAACTTTGCGGTGACGGCTGGAGCCTCAGGGGTTATTCCAAGGAGCGGGCGGGAACCAGAGCCGGAGGGCGCCCAGGGGGGCCCGGGAGAGGAGCCCCCGGCGCGCGGCAGAGCACGGTGGCGGGCCCGGAGCGGGGGGCGCGCGGCGGCGCATCTGCCCGGCTCGGGCGCCCGGCGGAGCCGCGGGAGGAGTGCGGGGGGTGCGTCCAGCGGCGGGGTGCGTGTGCCCGGGCGGGTGCGCTCGGCGGCGGGGCGGGGACCAGCGGCGGTGCCCGCGCGAGCGGCGGCGGCGAGCAGGGCGCGGGGAACCAGGCTGTGCGGCCGCCTCTCCCCTCGCGGCGGCGGCGGCGGGGGCCGTGCGTGCAGGCGCGGAGCGGGGAGGGAGAGGAGGAGGAGGGGAGGGGGAGGAGGACGGGGGCGCCGCGCTGCGCACTGGCCGGCGGGACCCGGCGCGGGAGGCTGCGCCGCCGCGCGGGGATTCTGGCCCAGCCGGGGAGAAGCGGCCTCCGCGCCCCCCTCCCCCGCCCTCGGCTAAACTGGCTGGGGGAAGGGCGGGTGGGGGAGCCGACCCCTCTGGGGAGTTGGGGGAGGGAGGCTCCCAAAGCCAACCTCCACCGTGGAGGCGGGGGAGAAAGGGGTTCTAGCTCACGCGCCGCCTCCCCAGCACCCTCCTCTCCGCACCCACTCATTCAACCATCCCTCCAGCCATCCATTCATTCATTCATTCATTCATCCGTCCACCCGTGCATTCATTCACAAACAGGTACCCACCGCCTACTCTGCATGCCAAAGTAACCCCTTCCTTCCTGCCTGGCGCCCCTTCCCTGGGCAGACCCTCTCATCCGCCGCGTGCTGTAAACACCCGGGCGCTCCCCAGCAATACCCCTCCCACCTATTAAGGGGGCAGTGCCAGGGTCCCATGCCAGCGCCCCCTCCCATCCCCAGCTGACTGTGACCTTGGCCAAGTTGCTGAACCTCTCCCAGCCTCAGTGTCCTGGATTGTGAAATGGGACCGTTACTACCTAGCTCCAAAGGTTACTGTGAGAGATGAAGAAGACCTTGAATGGGAGGGTGGCTGGCCCAGTGCCTGGCACCTATTAGAGACTGGGAAGATGTTCATGCCTGTGGGTGGCATCCGGGTGGGGTGAGGGAGTGTTTAGACCAGACAGCCTCCTCTTAGCCTGAAAGTCCCCGTGCTCTTGGCATTCGCTGGGACACTAAGTAAGGGACTCTCCCATATACCCAGCCTGGCCTGCCCTGGTCAGACCTCATCACCTTGTCAGTGGCTGCTCTGAGTCCCAAGCCTGCCCAGAGCCCCCACCAGGGCCCCAGTGCTCCTGATCCACCCTCAGACCGCCCACAGTCTGGCTGGGACCCCCTCTGCCGGCCCTGCTCTTTGCTGTCCATCGAGGCCTGGGGGCCACCTCCCCTCTGGGATGCCCTCCCAGATCCCCTTGGGGAGGGTCCCCCCTACAGAGACTCCAGCACCTCTCCCCCTCCTTTCCCTGTGCAAACCCAGCCCTCTTGCGCCCAGTCCGGGAACAGACTGGGGCCTAGCCTGAGGCCGCCGCCTCTGGCCTCTGTGCGCTCTGCATGCGCCTGTCTTTGCCCTTCCTGCCTCTCCCTCCTCACTTCACCCTTCTAATTTCCCTCCCCTTAACTCCCTTTCTTCTTTCTCCCAATTTCTACTCAATTCACCAAACAGCTATTTTTTCCTCCCAATTTTTATTTATTGCCCAAACAGCATTATACCAACAATAAAAGAAAGAAAAATCACCCACAATGCCACCGCCCTGTGGCGTCAACAGCTTCCGTTCCTCTGCTCCCTTCCAGGCTTGTCCATGCAGAGACGGCTGTAATTTTTACAGAGCTGTGGTTTCCGTCCCGCCTTCCCAGACCCCCAGATGGACGTGTGGCCCTGGGGCTCTGTCATTCCTCCATCCCAGCACTTGGCGTGTGGCTCAGGAATTATGTTCAAGCCTTCCTCCTCTTCTGAACTAAATGTCTTGAAGGAGAGACCCCTTTCTATCCCTGCCACCCCCACACCAAGCCACAGAGCTGGCACAGAGCGCGGGCACTCAATGCCTCGCAGTGGAATGGATTGTATGATTGTAGCTCTGTTTGACATGTCACACTTAGATATCAAAATGTTATCTTCGAGCCAGCCATGGTGGCTCACACCTGTAATCCCAGAGCTTTGGGGGGCTGTGGTGGGATGATTGCTTGAGACCAGGAGTTTGAGATAAAAAAAATACAAAAAAATAAAAATAATAATTTTTTTGGGGGGGCGGCGTTTCACTCTTGTCGCCCAGGCTGGAGTGCAATGGCACGATCTCAGCTCATGGCAACCTCTGCCTCCCAGGTTCAAGCAATTCTCCTGCCTCAGCCTCCCGAGTAGCTGGAACTACAGGAATGCACCACTACGCCTGGCTAATTTTTGTATTTTTAGCAGAGACGGGGTTTCACTATGTTGGCCAGGCTGGTCTCAAGCTCCTGACCTCAGGTGATCCACCCAACTCGGCCTCCCAAAGTGCTGGGATTACAGACGTGAGCCACCACACCCGGCAAAAAATAATTTAAAAAAAAAATTAGGCACCTGTAGTCCCAGCTACTCAGGAGGCTGAGGCGAGAGGATCACTTGAGCCCAGGAGGTTGAGGCTGCAGTGAGCTATGATCGTGCCACTACACTCCAGCCTGGGCAACCTTGTCCCTAAAAAACAAACAAAAATCATCTTCATAATTGTGGTTTTAACAGCTGCACGATATTCCACAAAGCTGATGGAATAACCCGCTCAGCCATGCCTGGTGGCTGTGCACAGTTCGGGGGATATGGCTGGGAGTCCACTGTGTGCCAGGTGCTGTTTAGGGCACCAGGGACCAGAAGTGAATCGGGCCCTGCTGGATCTCGCCCTGGCAAAGCTGAAATTCCAGCATGGGGGCTGGGCACCTAGACAGTTATGGCTTAGCAAGATCTTGCTGAAGCAGGCATTACCTCGTGACCCCAAGACAGAGGGCCAAGTCGATTTTGACATCAGCTTCCTCAGGGAGGTGCCTCTTGACCTGGGTCTTGGAGGGGCAGGAGGGATGTTCTTGCAGACAGCAGAAGCTCACAGTTGCTGTGACGTGAAACAGCCTTGGCTTTGAGGCTCAGGAATTCTTGGTTAGAGTGGGGGACAGAAGCTGGGGGGCGGATAGTGGAAGATGAGGTGGCTGGTGTCAGCCAGGATGGGTGTGCAGGGTCTTAGACAAACCTGGAGTGCCTCTTCTTTATCTTGGAAGGAGTAGGGCACCACGAGGGAGTGTCATTCCAGGAAGGGGACAGTGGGCTCTGAGAGTCAGAAAGATCACTGTTCAGTCAACAAACCCTTGCCGAGCCCCTGGGAGCTGTGGGCTCCAGGAGGACACAGGTGACTGGTAAAGGCAGTGTGGCCTTGGGCTGGAGGACTGAGCTAGTCCCTGCTGGGCACTCATGGGGGATGCACTCAGCCGCAAGGGCAGCTCAAGTCACCTGGCGATGATTTGTAGGTTCAACCTTGAGCTCACCAAGCCCCAGCTTCCCGGCTCCCAGAGGGGCAGTAACCCACACAGCCTGGTGGGGTGGGCCTTACCACCGGGCAGCCAAGGTCACCCTGGCCCTGCCCGAAGCATCCTTACCTCTCCAGCTGCCATCTACCCTCTCTGGAGCCCCTAAATCTGGGTCCTGCTCGCCATCCTGCAACTCACCAGCCATCGGCCCTGGGCACCATCCCAGCCTTGCTGTGCCTCCATTTCCTTATCTTAACAAGGCCATCTCAGACCTCCCAGGGCTAGCGAGAGTCCAGTGAGGTCCCAGGAGGAAAGTGCTTCGTATACAGTGAAGTATACAAAGTATACAATATGACTCACCATTATTAGACTGTGGTCAACTAAAGCTGGGCCACCCCTGGCTTCACTTGGGCCTGTTCTCAGCTGGGGGCAGGGGAAGGAGGTGACTTGACTCAAGGGAGGAACAGGGTCTTCCTCACTGGGGGGTGGGGTCTGTGGTCATCATCAGGGACCCTTAGCCCCAGGCTCTGTGCTGGGCATCCAGGCATGAAGCCATCCCAGGGCAGTGGTCAGGGGTTGGCACCAAGGCAAGGACAAATTGCAGATGTTCAGAGGGCACAACCCTGGCCTCAGCCTTCCCCACAGGCCCCAGCCTGGGTATCACCTCCAAGGAGGGGTGGACTCCTAGCTCGGGGCCCCAGTGATGCCCCAGTATACTACGGGATGTTCACGCGAATGCATGGATATGTAACCTCTGGATAGGCGGGCTGTGCATGCCACTTCAGGGACACCAGGCCAGCACACATCAGAAAGCTCCAGCAGTGGCCGGGTGCAGTAGCTCACGCCTGTAATCCCAGCACTTTGGGAGGCCGAGGCAGGTGGATCACTTGAGGTCAGCCATTCGTGACCAGCCTGGCCAACATGGCAAAACCCCGTCTCTACTAAAAATACAAAAATTAGCTGGCATGGTGGCGGATGCCTGTAATCCCAGCTACTGGGAAGGCTGAGGCAGGAGAATCACTTGAACCTGGGAGGCGGAGGTTGCCAGTGAACAGAGATTGTGCCACTGCACTCCAGCCTGGGCGACAGAGTGAGACTACGTCACAAAAAAAAAAAAAAAAAAAGGAAGGCAGGCAGGCAGGCAGGCAGGCTCCAGCAGCTTCTCTGATCCAAGTTCTAACTCCACTGTGCTCCCCTCCCACCATTATGCACAACACAGAGGGCTGGGGCTTCTCCCCTCTAAGCACAAGGTCTAGGACCAGGAGGGTGGGCCCTGGCGCAGAGCTTCAGGGAGAGCCAGAGAGCAAGACCTCCAGCCCAGGAGGAAAGTCCCAGAGAGGGTGCCCCAAGGAGCAGGCACAGAAGGGACAAAGCCAGGTAGGGTGAAGTCAGCAACCCCCAGGACTGGTGCTGGGAGCAGGGAGGGGCCCAAGGCAGGTCAGACCAGGCCACTGGCACCGGGGAGGCTGCCAGCCAGGACAAGAGCACCCCTCCAGCCCTGCTCCAGTGCCTGCCTCCTCCTCATCCTCATCCCTCCCTTCAGCATGCTCCTGCCCCCAGGCCTTGAAACAAGGGTCTTACTTCTCTGCACCCTTCCGCCTCTCCAGTCCTAACCAACTCCTCCTCATCAGCCCAGAGCCTGGCCAACCTATCATCAGAAAGGCCTCCCTAACCCCCACATCCCCACCACCCACCCACCTTCCTTTTTTTTTTTTAAGAGACAGGATCTACTATGTTGCCCAGGCTGGATTCGAACTCCTGAGCTCAAGCGATGCTCCCACCTCAGCCTCCCGAGTAGCTGGAATTGCAGGTGCCGCCACCATGCCCAGCTTCTAACCCCACCTTCCCGATTAGGTCACCTTCTTCTGTCTCCCTCCTCCACTTCTGTTTTGTAGCACTCAGCTCGTTGGTGATTGCTTATGATTTCTATGACTGCGTTTTTCATCTACCGGCCAACATGTCCACATCTCTAAGATCCGGGTGTGGCTGATTTTTTCTCTGGCGTTGTGTTTGCTTCCTGGGGAGTACGTACAATAGTATCGTGACTTAGAATCACAGGCACCTGTGTCCAGTGATGTGTGTTTTGTTAGTATTCATCTCTGCACCAGACTGTCGGCACCTTGAGGGCACAGCCGGGCCTATTTGGGTTCCTGCATGTCCCCAACCCCTGCTACAGTGTCCAGCATGTGGGGACAGCATGGTCAGGCATTGGTGAATGTGGTGAATGAATGGACAGAACATTAAACAGGAGCGAGCATCAGGCTGACAGAGCCCTTCAAGGCAACAATGACGGAGCTGTCCCAAGGCCAACCATGATTCATAAAACTGGGAATTGCCCGGAGATGATGGCTCCTGGGGTTCTGGGGGGCCAGATGCACATCCAGCTACTGGGGAGTGGGTAGAGTCTGGGTGTGAGTTTGGGGGGTGATGGAGACATGACGGGGGAGATCAGGTCTAACCAGCTGCCCCTGGGTGGGTGGGGAGACAGACGCCAGAGAGGGTGGGAACGCAGGCCTGGGCAAAGGCAAGACTGTGTCACCCGGGGGGTGGTTGTTCCACCTGTCAGCTGGTCAGCCCCCAGCCCCAGCAGGACTGAGGCGGTTGGTGGCCAGGCTTCTCTCATGGGCCCCTCCTTCCCTTGGGAGCTTCCTCTGCTCCCCACCAGTGACATCACCTCCCCTGCCCCCATCCCTTCCAGACACTCAGGGCTGCCTCTCCCGGCTCCCTCCCTTCTCAGCGATCATTCCCAGCAGAGAATATGCTTTTTGCGGTGATTTAGACCTTCCTTTACTCCAGCTGTCATTCACCTGTTACACACATCCCAAGTTCAGGAAGGAGATGTGAACTGTGTCCTGAAAGACAGCCCTGTGGAGACACCAGCCTCAGCCAGGGTAGGGAGGGCTGTGTGACGAGCAGCTCATGGGCATGGGTCCGAGAGGGGGGTGGGGGCGAGGCCAGCTGCGCAGGGTGGGCTGGGAAGGGCCTCCAGGAGAGAGACTGGGCCTTCTGGATGGTGCAGAGTCTGTGGCAGGTGGAAGCAAATGGGGGCTGGACCCCCGGGACAGTGAGGAAGGGGATGCCATTGGGAGCGAGAGGTAGGGCCTGATCCAAAGAGAGGGTGGCAGCCCCAAGACATCAGGGAGCCAGGGGACGGGGTCCCTGTGACTGCCCGAGGTAGGGGATGCAGGAGGCTCTGAGATTGGTGTCTCAGAGACCTCTACTGGGGATCCCCCCACCCCGTCACTGTGCCTCTTCTGCCGGCCGCCAGATGCCTGTTTCAGGGGCCCCAAGCTCTGCAGCCCCCTCATCTCCCCTCCCGTTCCTCTGCCCGTGTGAGCTGCTTTATGGCCTCAGCCTCCCCCACAGCGCAAAGGCTCTTGAGGCCCAGCGCCCACATCCCAGCACCCGGCTCAACCAACCCCAGCAGGTGGCCACTCCCCACCTCACTGGGAACTCAAGCAGCTCCTCGCCCTTCCCCTTGGGTTGTCTCTGTCCCCCAACAGATGCCAATAAAGCTAAGGCCACAGATGGTGCCCTGGGGCGGGGAGGTGGGGATGGGAGAGTCTGAGGTGGGGTGCCCTGAGTCCAGGGTCCCTCTCCCAGAGTCCTGGGGCTGCAGAGCTGGGGTTGCGGAAACAGATGGCATCTTCTGGGACCCCTCACCTGCCCTCGCCTGCTGGCCTAGGTGCTCCAGGGGCAGGGAAGTAAGGAGAAAGAGTGTCCTAAGCCCAGGGTCTCCCTCCCTGAGTCCTGGGAGGCAGAGCTGTACTCCAGAGCTGGGGCTGGATGTAGTCACTCAAAGCCACTTACCTGCCGGGCACAGGTGCCCCCAGCAGCCAGGCCTGGCAGGTTCTGAGCTAGGAGCACCAGCGCCGCTGAGGCTGGGGGCACTGGGAGGAGCTGCGGGAGGAGGGGGAGGGGAAGAGGGCCAGCGCCAGCGGCAGGGGGCGGGGCGCGATGGGGTTGCCCAGCAACCAGCACGCTGCCGCTGCCGAGGAGGGATTCTTAAAGAGCTGAGCAGAAAGGCTGGGCCGCGGAGGGAGCAGAGGGGCTGAGGCCGGGCCTCGCATACCAATGGCTGCCACACTGACCTCCTCCTGCCTCCTGCTCCTTCCTTCCGCCTCCTGCCTCCCACCTCCCTCCACCGTTTTCCCTCCTCCCTCTCCCTCCTCCCTCTGCAGCGTGGAGCCCAAGCTGGGAGGGCAGGGGAACAGAGAAGAGGAGGCGCCCAGGCCAGGGGGGCCCTAAGGCAGGCAGGCAGGGACCAGGCTAGGGTCCTGTCGTGTCCCCACAGGACAAGGCCTGGGAGGGGTAATAACACAGGGCAAGGGGCCCCCTCGGCTCCAGACCCTCAGCACAGGCCCTGGCGCTGGGGACAGCAGGGAACTAGAAGGCCTGGTCCCCACCCCACCCGGCCCTTCCCATGCGCCTCCCCAGCACTCCCCACTGGGGAAGCACTAGTTTTAGAGTCAGACACAACTGCTTCTTCCGCCTGCCCAGCCCCGCATCCTGAGAGTCCTGGGCAGCCTCAGAGGGTGAGCAGCCACTGGCTGCAGAGAGGTGGCGGGTGCCCGGCAGGCAGAGGACGGTGCTTCCTGGTGTCTGACTTAGATTCCCTGCGCAGCAAGTGGCTGCTGCCTTTCCTCTGTCTTTACTGAGAAGGGAACGTTTTTGGCCTTGGTGCAACACTTCCTATTCTAAAAAGCAAAGTGACAATTCAGCTGTGCCACCTTCTTCCAGTTCCTTTCCTTCTAGGGCCTCGGTTTCAAATCCGTGGTGGGGGAGGGGAACCTAGGTCAAGGGCTCCTTGCTGGGGGCCCCGGGAGGATCCTCCCACGGAAATTGTAGGCCGAGTGTAGTGCTTACAGGCAGCGTCTGGGGAAGTGTTCAAAGCGGTCACTGGGGGCCAGGGGGAGGCTATAACCTATAACCCCAGAGGTTAAGACCTGAGCCTCTGGGTGGGCTAGACATGAATGAGCCCCTTCCCAGCTTCCTGCAGAGGGTGGTGGAAGCCCCCATGGGCAGGAGGGTGGCGGGGCTACAGCTACCACTGTGTCTTCATAGACCATGTGCTCTTCCATTGACTGGATTGAGCCAGTTCTGAGCCAATCGCATCCTTGATCCAGTCCCATCTCCACGGTCTTCTCTTTGGTCCCATGGGCTCAATCATGCCGCCTCTCCCAGCCCTCCCTCAACCCATCCTCAGCCACCACCATCCCTGCAGCCCCTGCCTCCAGGACCACCTCTTCAATCTGCTCCCTTCCCCAGCTCTAAAGGGGGTCTTTCTAAAGGGCAAGACCAACCCTGCTGCTCCCAGCTCCAGCACCCGCCATGACACCCCATGACTGTGGGAGAAGGATCAGGGAGGGCCCCGTGGGCCTGGTCACCTCTCTGCCCTCCTCTCAGCCACACTCCCCTCTGCAAAGCCCCTTCCCCACTGCTAACCCTCTGTGACATCGGTGGCCTCATCAATGTCTGTTGAATGAATGAGTAGTCATAAGAGGAGCTCTTAGGTGCCAGGCCATGCCGGCCTTTGGGATCCAGGAATGTACAAAGCAAATGAGGTCGTCTCCCCACAGGCTGCCATGCTGTTAATAAACCAGCAAACACATCAGAGGATGAGGTCATTATGGGCACAGGGTGTGGGCTCCAGAGGAAATAAAGAGGCTGATAAGGGGAATGGGGCAGAAGGCCTTTTAACTGGGTGGTCAGGGGCAGCCCCTTAGAGGAGGTGACATTTTCATTGAGTCCTGAAGGATAAGAAGGAGCTCAGCTTGGGAAGAGCTGGAAGAGTGTGCCAGGCAGAGGGAAACGTATGTGCAAAGGCCCTGGGGCATGAAAGAGCCAGACCTATTGAAGGAAGAGAAAAGAGGCCAGGAAATTGTGGGGGAGGGGTGTGGGGTACAGCCATGCCTCCATGGAGGGAAGCATGGATTTTATTCTAAGTATAATCGGAAGCTATTGGAGAATTTTAAGCAGGGAAGTGACACGATCTAATTTATATTTTAACACGATCATCTGAACAACCACTTTGCAGAGCAATTTGGCAATAACTAGTAAAGTTAAGATATGCGCACTCCACAACCCAGCAGCCCACTCCTAAGTGTGGACCCAAGAGAAATTCTGGTGCATGTGTGCATGGGGCGTGTAAAGATGCTACTGCCACTGTGTTTGCATGAGACAAAACCAAGCATGCTTGACTGTGGGTCAGTGGGAGAATGGGTGGCTGGGCGTGGGGTAGTTCCACCATGGAACATTAAACACCAGTGAACACGAGGCCGAGCGCAGTGGCTCACACCTGTAATCCCAGCCCTTAGGGAGGCTGAGGCAGGAGGCTCACTTGAGCCCAGGAGTTCAAGACCAGCCTGGGCAACATGGGGAGATCCTGTCTCTGTGAAATTTTTGTTTGTTTGTTTTCCCGAGATAAGTCTTGCTCTCTTGCCCAGAGCTGGAGTGCAATGGCACAATCTCGGCTCACTGCAACCTCCGCCTCCCAGATTCAAGCAATTCTCCTGCCTTAGCCTCCCGAGTAGCTGGGATTACCGGCGCGCACCACCACGCCCAGCTGATTTTTATATTTTTAGTAGAGACGGGGTTTCACCATGTTGGCCAGGCTGATCTCGAACTCTTGACCTTGTGATATACCCGCCTCGGCCTCCCAAAGTGCTGGGATTACAGGTGTGAGTTACGGCGCCCGGCCCGAAAATTTTAAAATTAGCCGGATGTGGTGATGTGTGCCTGTAGTCCTAGCTACTTGGGAGGCTGAGGCAGAAGGATCTCTTGAGCCCGGGAGGTCATGGCTGCAGTGAGCTATGATCCCACCATTGCACTCACTCCAGTCTGGGCAACAGAGCGAGACCGTCTGAAAAAAAAAAAAAAGGAGCGGGGGGGGCCCATGAGAGCAGTGTGGGCCTGCCCAGATAAATCTTACAAGCATTGCAATGAATAATAACAGCAAACCGGGAGCTCCCGTTTATACAAAACTCAAAGACACAGAACCTATCTTACCTTGTTGAGGGGCACGCATAGTAAAACTCTAAAGAAAATAACATGCCAAATCCAGAATAGTGGACACCTCTGCAGGGAGGGGGCTTCTGCTGTTTTGTGAGGTTGATTCATCCATGCAGGAAATGCATGGAAAAGGCTCATCAGTTGCTGGGAGAGGAAGGCATGAGGGGTGAGGGGCAGCTGAGGAGCCGCCTATGTAGGAGGCCACAGCAGCCACGCCTCCTGGGATGGGGATCTGGGAGTCAGGGGGAGCCCAGGCTGGCCTGGCTGTTCAGAGCTGGTGCTCACTCTTTCCTCGTGCAAACTCCTGCTTTGTTTTCTACTAAAATAGCCCCAGCTGGGTATGGTGGCTCCTACCTGTAATCTGAGTACTTTGACTTGAGGTCAGGAGTTCAAGACTAGCCTGGCCAACATGGTGAAACCCCGTCTCTACTAAAAATACAAAAATCAGATGGGTGTGGTGTCGTGTGCCTGTAGTCCCAGCTACTCAGGAGGCTGAGGCCTGGCAGAATCTCTTGAACCTGGGAGGTGGAGGGTGCAGTGAGCCCAGGTAGCACCACTGCACTCCAGCCTGGGCGACAGAGTGAGACTCTGTCTCAAAAAAAATTTAAAAATTAAAGAACAATAAAATAGCTTCTGGTTTTCTCCTTTTAGAAGAAAGCTGAATCACAGAGAGGCAAGGGGCTTTCTGGGGTCACCCAGCAAGCTGGGTGCAGAGGAACCCGTGACTTTTCCTACGGGGCAGTCGGGCCTGCCCAGCTGGGGCTGGGCCTTGACCTTTCCTAGGGGTCAAGGCTGCCTTCAAGACCCACAGACTGAGGGGTCCATGGCCGTCCTAAGGCCCCCCAACTCCTCCCTCATCTTCTCTGATGCCCTCCACCCTCCCACCCGCCAAGGCTCCCTGGATCACCAGCCCCTCATTCTTGCAAGGATGGAGACTGCCCGGCTGGCTGGGGCCCAAGCCATCTCCTGGTAATTGAGTTTCAGGGATGCTTATGGTTATGCTAATGTGGGATGCTGAGTGCCTGCCCCATGGCGCCCAGGAGAGGGGAGGCCCAGGCAGCAGCTGGGGGTCCTGCAGTGCAGCAGCTCAGTCCTCCCATGGAAGTCAGACAGCCCAATTCAGACCCAGCTCCCCACTCCCCAGCTGCATGACCTTGGGCAAGTCACTCAGCCTCTGCGAACCTCTATTTTCTCATCTGTAAAGTGGGAAAAATCATAGGAC
Organism: Homo sapiens; assembly: GCF_000001405.40. Lineage (NCBI taxonomy): Eukaryota > Metazoa > Chordata > Mammalia > Primates > Hominidae > Homo > Homo sapiens. The sequence continues at coordinate 64,024,367 of NC_000011.10, read as the reverse complement.
CCCCTCAACGGGCTCTTGTGGGGAGGGCGAAATGAAAGAAGCCACTGGAAATACTTGGCCCAATGCAAAGCACGGAGAACTTATTTGATAAATGTGTCATCAGCTATTTTTTGTTTCGTTTTAAAGTCTGGAAGGTCCTTCAGGGCCATGGGAATGGGGCGAGCCGAGTCTGCGCCATGAGCGAGCAGCTGACTTGCGTTTCTCTTGTTTTTGTGTTGCATGCTCATGGTATTCCATTTGGTGGAATGAACATGAATTTTTTACTTAGGAAAATAGCAATAAGTGGAAGGTGCCTGGGGACAGGGCTTGGAGAGGGGGTGTTGAGGGGGACCTCCATGTTGCCAGGGGTTTAGGGGACAGCTTGGGGTGAGACTGGCCAGGAGCTTGGGTCTCCAGGGGCCCAGGCAGCCAGGCAGACAGAGCCCAAGAAACCCAGGCAGGAAGCAGACAAGAGAGGCCCAGGCCAGCTGGAACCGCAGCCACGCCATTTCAAACAGTGAACTGTGAGGCTTTTATGGGGAGAGGCGTGGGGGTGGGATGCCTCGATTAGACCAGGAAGAGGGGCTATAGAGTGGAGTGGACGTGGGCAAACAGGCAGGGGGCACCTGGAGGTGTGTGGGAGTGAAGGAGGCCGCTCTGAGGTACAGGGGAGTCGGGGAAAGGAGGGCCTGGAATGGGCCCAGTGGGAAGGAGGAGACCCAGGGGAATCTAGTGGGGATGCCCAGCTGGGTACCACCCCAGCAGCTTTGAGCAGCTCCCAGGCTCGTCAGAGAAGACGTGGTGAGGGGCTTAGCCCTGGAGCAGCGGGGTTCAAATCCTTCTCCCTGACTTACCAGGAGTGCTGGGACCTTCTGCCCCCAGGAACCGCCCCCACCCAGCTTCGGGGCCCACTGCCACAGTGAAGCCCTGTGAGGCTGTAGGTTTTACGGGCATTTTTAACTTTATCATCTATGCCTCACAAGGGCCTCAGTTAAATGATCACCCCCCCTACAGATGAGGAAACTGAGGCCCCAGGAGGTGGGGCAGCTGACCCGAGATCACAGCTGGGGGTTTCAGGACCAGGGCTGGCAAAGCATAAGACTGTTGGCTCCTCCCACTGAAGTCTGTGGCCTTAGGCAAGTCATTTCTCTTCTCTGGGCCTCAGTTTCCCCATCTGTAAGTGGGACAGGAGGGTGTGTGCAAAGATGATGGTCAAAGATCCATGTGGAGGCCAGGCGTGGTGGCTCACCTGTAATCCCAGCACTTTGGGAGGCTAAGGCAGATGGATCACTTGATATCAGGAATTTGAGACCAGCCTGGCCAACATGGTGAAACCCCAATTGTACTAAAAATAGCAAAATTAGCCCGGCGTGGTGGCACATGCCTGTAGTCCCAGCTACTCGGGAGGCTGAGGCAGGAGAATCTCTTGAACCCAGGAGGCAGAGGTTGCAGTGAGCTGAGATCGCACTACTGTGCTCCAGCCTGGGCTCCATCTCAAAAAAAAAAAAAAAAAAAAAAAAATCCATGTGGAAGCTTGCTGGGGATGCACTTGGTGCCCATAAATGGGAGCCCTCACCCTCCAGTGAGGCCCCTGCTCCCCTGGCTCCCCAGCCTGGAAAATGTCCAGGAAGTCTCCCACCTTCCACCTGGGCCGCCCTACCACGGAGGACAGTGACCTTGGCCTGGGGGGACAGAGCTTGTCAAACAAGCAACTGCTCTCACAGCTTGAGGGGCCTTTGAAGTCTCTTATTTTATCTTCAAAATCCAGCACATTTCACATGTTATTCCATCTGCGGGGTGTTTCTAATCTAAAACATGTTTTAAACGACTCGCCCTCAAGTCACACGGATACCCACCGCTGGCCTGCAGGAAGTGGGGCATCGATTTCCAAGAACAAACTCCGCTCCCCTAAGCCCCCTGTGGGGCCAGGCCTGCCAGCTGGTCAGATGCTGGGACAGTTGGCAGTCATGGAGCCCCTTGGAGGTGCCAGGCTCTGTGCTGATGGCGGGGATCTGAGCTCGGGGAGGGTGAGGAGGATGCTGGGGACACACTTTGTGGGAGCACCAAGGAGGCTTGCTATCCCCAGGGGAAGTCTGAGAGGCATCCCGGAGGCAGGGGTCACCCGGACACTGCAGTAGCCAGGAGGCCCCTCCTGCCACTGCCTGTGCCCCCAGTCCCTTCCCTGTGCGGTTCATCCCTCCTCTGTCTAAACCCCCCAGCAGCTCCCATTTCTCACTAAGGCTCTCAAGGCCCCCCAGGGGCTGCTCTTGCCTGAGCCCCCTCACTTCTGTCCTCCTTCCCTGCTCCTCAGCCCCTGAGGTCTCAAGGCCTTTGCTCCTCGTCCCCCACCCCTGCCTGGCTGTGCTGCTCACACCAGCTCCAGGGTTCAGCAGGCCCCACCCACCCCTCCAGATCCACTGCCCGCCGCCACCTCACACCCCCCCCCCCCCCCCCCGGCCCCCTGCCACTCCCTTGCATTTCCTTCTCGGCCTCTGGCACTCACAGGGATTCTTGTGCAAGTTGATTCTCGTGCTGTCTTTCCTGATGGTCTCCCAGCCAGATGATGCACGTGCCAGCAGGGCTGCCCCATCCGTGTCCCAGCGCCTGGCACACGGTGGGGCTGGCTGCACACTTGTCAGAGAACAGAAGGCTGAGATCCGGCTCACAAGGGGAAGAGGAGAATGAAGGCCAGGCCAGGACGCTGGGTGACTTAGGGGAGCAGCCCCCACCCCCCCAACTCCTGGCTGGGGCCCCTCCAGGCAGCTGAGGCCAGGGTGAGGCCCAGAGCAGCAAGCAGGGGGAGTGGAGGCGGCCTCCAGGGACATGCAGGTGGGCTGTGCCCGCCTCAAAGTCACCTCTGTGCCTGCTCGCCCAGCCTCTCCCTGGCCCAGGAACCTGCTCAGCGCTTTCCTTGGGTCACTGCGTCTCCTCTGATGTCCCGGCCCCCACACAGCACCCCTCACCGCCCTCGGCAGCCCCCCTCCCTGGGCTGGAGGATTTCGTCCCTGTCAGGGGAACAGCAGAGGCAGTTCCTGCACCTGAGCACCTTCGTGGCTCTGGCCTCCTGCCACTGCCCTTGGAGCAGCCCCTGTCGCCTACACAGCTCCCGGCCCAGGTCCTGCCTCCCAAGGGCCCCAGGGTGGGCTCCCCTGCATGGCCCATGGTAGAGAGCTGGAGCTTGGGAGTCAGGCAGGCAGACCCAGCTTAAATCCAGCTGAGTGACTCTGGGCACCATCTGTAATGTCCACGGGCTCCTTCAGGAACTCATTAGTGGGCACCTGCTGTGAGCCAGGCGCTGTGCTGAGAGCCGGGGAAGAACCATGAGGGAGACACCCGAGGGCAGGAGTGGGGGTATCAAGATAAGCACCTGGGGGCCGGGCGCCGTGACTCACACCTGTAATCCTAGCGCTTTGGGAGACCGAGGTGGGTGGATCACCTGAGCTCAGGAGTTCGAGACCAGCCTGGCCAACATGGTGAAACCCCGTCTCTAAAAATAAAAAAAATTAGCCAGGCATGGTGGCTCGCACCTAGACTTTCAGCTACTCAGGAGGCTGAAGTGGGAGAATCACTTGAACCCTGGAGGCAGTGGTTGCAGTGAACCGAGATCGAACCACAGCACTCCAGCCTGAGCGACAGTGAGACTTCATTTCCAAAAAAAAGATAGGCACCTGGGAGGGGATTCTGGAGGCAGTGATAGTGATTCATGGCCCCCCCAGGAGAGCATCACCGGGGGCCAGGAGACCTGAGGAGGTGGCAGATGATGAGGGTCTCCTCCAGGCAGAGGGGCCATGGCAGAGTCTATGAAAAGGGTCTGGGGCTGGAGAGCATGGGGCAAGTTTGAGGACCATATGTACGGCAGAGGGAGAGGAGAAGGGGAGGAGATGGTCGATGGGGCCTGGGGGTCTGCAAGGAGCCAGTCTTTATCCTAAGAGCAAAGGGATTTCTCATTTCTCACTAAGGCTCCCAAGTCCCCCAGGGTTCCCTACTGGGAGGGTTTTCATAGGGCAGCTGGGGCAAAATAGGAGATTTTACCTCCTCTCCAAATGTACATTGTGAGAGGATCACTTTCCGTGTCTCAGCGTCCTCATCTGTAAAACAGGTCTGTAAACACGTCTTCCAGACAGGGAAAGGATTAAATGAGCTGTGCATGCACCAAGCTTACCCAGCCTGGGCCCAGGCATTCCACCTTGTTGGTCCCTTTCCTCCATAAAACATATCTTAAATTATATTTTATGACTTGGTTAGCATCAAGACAAATGTATTAATATTATATCTGATAACATTGTCTTTGACCTAAAAGTTCATTGTTTTCTTCTGATTTTAAAAGAACTGCAACATCTTTGTGGGCCCCTAAAAGTGTCATGGGCCCTAAGCACGTGTCTACTGTGCCCAGCAGGGAGGCTGGCCCTGCCTGGGCCCTAGGAGGCTGGCGCTGCCCTCTCAGTGAGGTGTTGGCTGGTAGGGTGCCCTCATCATGCACGTCCCCGTGCCCCTCCCTCCATGCCTTTCCTTCTTATCCTTCAAGCCTCAGCTCAAATGCCACCTCCTCCGAGAAGCCTTCCCAGTCTGCAGACTTCAGTAGATCCCACACGCCCCCATTCCCCTCGCCACAGCATTTAGCACGCCCGGGGCAGCTCTCAAGCCTGCTCCCAGCTACCCCTCCGGTCAGGACTGGAAGCTTCCAAGGCCCAGGGACTCCATACTGTTCTTTTCTCTGTGCCTGCTGCCCAGCACAACCCTGGCACCCAACTGGCACTGAATTCAAATGTTTTGTGTGGAGCATGGAGGAGGGGCCGGGTGCCACCTGTGCCTCGGGCCTCCTGTGACCTGTCGTTTCTGAGCACTCAGGTCTGGCCCTCTCCCTTTCGCTGGACAGCGGCCACCTGCTAGCCTCTAACTAGGCTGGGAGCAGGGGCACAAACTGGGGAGCTACTGCACCTGCCCTCAGGGACAGCAAGTGCTGGGGCAGAGGAGGGCCGGGAGGAGGGGTGTGTGGGAGTCGGAGACTGAGGTTTCCAGGCCCCCAGTCCCCAGGGACCGCCAGCAGCGGACAGAGGACTTGGCAGTGACTGGCATTGAGGGGTGCCACCCCAAGGTCACAGGCGCAGCACCGGGCTCAGAGCCAGTTAATCAAGTCCCAGGGAGCATGGCGCAGGCATGTCCTCGGGCGGGGGGAACCCGATGGGGCCGGGCCACCTCGGCCTGCAGTGGGGGCCTACAGGTGACTCCAAGAGCAGACCACAGACTAGGGCACTCCACAGCCTCCAGGGTGTGCTTGCTGCCGGGAGGCCCCGCCCCCACCCAGAGCCAAAGCGAACTGTGCCGCTCCAAGCTCCCAGGTCCAGGCTCGGGTCCCCCACTCAGCCCCACATGGCGTTCAAAGGCCCCTGTTTGCTGGGAGCAGGTCTGGGTCCCTTGGGTGGGGCTGGATCATGAGCCCCAGCTTGGACTCGCAGTCCAGTGCCCATCCCCCACCTCACACAGCCACTGCCCGCCTGAAGCCACCACGCCTTCAGCAAGAAGAGCCCTTTGAGGTGGGCATGTTGGGGGTCAAGAAAAGGAGCTGTGACAACCAGTGCTCCTGGGCCCACCTGCATCTCCCCCAGTCCCCGGGTACTCTGTGAGCCTCAGTTTCCTCCTCTGGAAACTGGGTTGATGACTTGTTGTGTAAGGACCAGAGCCTCCCAGCAAACTGAGGGGGGTGGTGCAGTAGAGAGGGGACTTAGAGGCTCAAGCCGGTGGCCAGGAACTAGCTGAGGTGAAAAGGGCCGGCCACAGGCCAAGATGTTGGGGTGCACGGAGGCCTGAGGAGCAGGGAGACCTGAGAGGCCCTGCCCTGGGCTGGGCGGGCTGGGTGGCCACACCCAGAAGCCTGTCTGTTGGCATTGGCTGGCACAGCCTCCCTAGGCTCTTCTCTGCAAGCCTCCGGGCCATTCCCCTGCACAGCCTGGCCCAGCTCTCCGGCCTTGGAGGCAGCTTTATGGGGGAACCATGTGGCTTGGTGTCGAGGCCCAGGGGCCAGAACGGGGGCCCAGGGAAAGGAGGAGCTGAGGAACTGGGTCCCAGCCACCAGGTTGGCCACCTGACCCCCAGAGCCCCCCCACCCGTGGGACGTCAGGCACAGGGGGCTAGAGAAGGGGGCACAGTAGACTGGCCTCCCGGGGCACCCACTGTGCGTGGGTGGCCTGGGACCAGGTCCTCCGTGCATCCAAGTCTGAGCCCCCAGCACTGGGCCGCAGCCACTCTCCTGCCTGTGGCAAATCCCATCTCCTGGCCTGGCCTCCCCCAGCTCCACCCAGCAAAGTCTTCCCTCTGCCCCCAGCTCACCCCCTCCTCAGGCTCTGGCCGGGTTGGCGTCAGGTCAGTTCACCCCACTCACCTTGCCGGGTGCAGTGCAGGCCACACACAGTGGAGTTTGGGGGCGCCAGGTGGGCAGGGGAATGGCATCACCTTCCCACAGGGGACTGCAGAACAGCAGGTCAGCAACCCTCCCCTACCACCCCTTCGAGGCTCGCTGCCAACCTATTTGGCACAGTGCCCTCTTTGAGCAGGAGCCAGCTCATTTGTGGCCGGTGTTAATTAAGAGAGAGAGGTGATGGGGGGAGGTGGGGGGGTCCCGAGGAGGGCAGCTGCCGACCGCTGCCAGGACTGCCCAGGCCAAGGGGCCTGGAGCTGGACCGAGACCTGAGATGCCCCCTCCTCCCTCGCTGGCTCTGGGGTGGCACTGCCCAGATGCCCAGCCCTCGCCTCTGCAGCTGGACCTGCTGGGGTGGGGAGTGGGTGGAGGCTGCATCTGGGGCTTGCGGGGTACTCTGCCTGGTTTCGAGAAGGCAAGCCCCACCCCTGGCCAGGGAAAGGCAGTCCCTCTGACCGACCCTCAGACAGTGTCCCTGGGGTCAGCTGGCTTCGTGGCTTGGCTTTGGAGTCAGACAGACTCTTCCAATTCTGCTGCTGCCACCCCATGACTGAAGCTCCCTAAGCCTCAGTCTCCTTCTCTGTAAAATGGGAACCATCGCACCTCCCTTGTGGCTTTGTTATGATAATAAATGGGCCCATCTGTGCCCAGCACCCCGTCTACACCCAGCAAATAGTCTTGGTCAGCAGAAATGTACATTCATGCCCAGGCGCGGTGGCTCACACCTGTAATCCCAGCACTTTGGGAGGCCGTGGCGGGTGGATCACTTGAGGTCAGGAGTACGATACCAGCTTGACCAACATGGTGAAAACCAGTCTCTACCAAAAATACAAAAAATTAGCCGGGTGTGGTGGCGCATGCCTGTAGTCCCAGCTACTCAGGAGGCTGAGGCAGGAGAATCACTTGAACCTGGGAGGTGGAGGTTGCAGCGAGCCGAGATGGTGCCACTGCACTCCAGCCTGGGCCACAGAGCCAGACTCCATCTCAAAAAGAAAGAAAGAAAGAAAGAAAGAAATGTGCATTTGTGGGCACAGGCCCCACCCAGAGTCACTGGGGGGCCCGCCCCTCTGCAGCCTGTCCTGGGCCAGCCTGGGCACCCCATTGTGGTCCGTGTCCTGCTCTCCCTCCAGCTCCAGCTCCGGCTTCGGCTCATGCTCCCACTGCCTCGCTGGCACCACTCAGCTCACCTCCCCCTCACTTCCCGCGGCCCCCACCCCTGCTTTGGGAGCGCCCAGCCGCTCCTCGCCTCTCCATCTTAATTAGCTGCTTGTATTAATCTCGCAAGTAACATGGCAACTTGCAGCCCTGGGTTTTTGGGCGGTGGAATTAATTATTCCCCAAGCGAAGAGCTGTCAGCTCTGGGAGACCAGCCACTCGGAGCCGCCCGACACCACTTAGCAGCGTCCATGCCGTCCTCACGGCATCTTGGGCCTGCAGCCTGGCCACCCAGCTCAGCTCTGTGTCCCCTCATCCTTTCTACAGAAAGGGCTGCAATGGTCTGGGCAGATGGGGTGGGTAGCAAAGCTGTGTGCAGAGCTGAAGGCCCTGTCTGGGAGCCAGGACTCCTCGGCAGAGGGGCGGGCGCAGCTGGCCTCCCACCTGGGCAGCATCTGGGCCTGGGCGGCACCTGCCTGGCCTCACCCGCTGCTTTCCCTGATGAGCTCTGGCAGTTACCACGGACGCAGGCTGCGGATCGGGGCTGGAGCCCAGGCTGGGGGCAGTGCTGGCATGCACAGCTCTGGCATTCCTACAGAGAGGGGCTGCCAGCCTCACTTTGCCCCCGTGTCAGCTGCATGGTGGCGAGGGGCAGCCGATCGGACAGACTGAGACAGACAGGGCTGTGCGCAGGAAGGTGGCAGCCACAAAGCCGTCAGTCCAGCTCTGCCTGGCAGCACTACCCCTAGTCCAAGGAGGGGGCGGGGACCCAGGTCTTCCTGCAGCGGGGCTCAGAGTTGAGGACCCCTCTCCATTGACCTTCACACCAGCTGGTGAGGTGGGGCTATTCTCCCACATGGGGAAAATGAGGCACGAAGCCACATGGCCCCAGTCACCCCGCTGTTGATCTGGTTTTGGCTCCAGTGGCAGCGCTCCAGGCCCCTTACCCGGCTCGCCTTGTCCCTCTCGCAGTTGGACGCCCCCGCCCCTGCCCCCTTCTGCGCCCCCTCAGCACTGCTCCGCGTTCTCAGTCCTCCAGCTCTGGCCCTGGGCAGCGCTTAGCCCGGTTGCAAAGGTGCAGTTTGCTTCCTAGTGGCTTCAAGGCTATGCCCTGCCGGAAGCTGTGAGCCCTGGGGAAGGGGACCTGTCCTTTCCTCCCCACATCTCTGCACCAGGCCTGGCGCCGACCAGCCTCAGGAGATACTGTGGGCGAAACAGTGAAGGAATGAAAGGGCCGTGGCGGGGGCCATCTGCCTCTCTGGACCCCCCCATGCGTCTGCGTCCGGGTGAGCAGGCAGGCCCTGATAGCTCTCCTGTGTCCCCAGCCCTACCACCCTACAAACCCCAGGACCATGAAGAACCTCCTCCCTCTTCACCATCGTCTACTACCGCCCCGGAGGACTGGGAAGACCCTGTGCCCAAGTCTGAAGACCTAGCTGGCAGCCCACTCCCATCTTGACATCACCCTCCCCTCAAGGCTGATACTCCCGCCGCAGCCCCTTCCCCACTGATCTGCCTTTGTCTCTCTCTCTTGCAGCCAACAGCTCCCTGCTCGGAGGCGGTGGCGGTGAGTGGACCTTCTGTCTTGGTGGGGGTGGGGTGTGGCATCTCCCCTGCTGGGTCTGCTCCTCCCCTGCCCCTCGCCCTCGGTGCCCATCTCACTGCAATCCACCTTCCCCACTGTCCTCACAGGGTGCCTCCCTTCCCCAGAGCTGGAGACCTGGATGGCAGGCCTGGCACCCTCACCACCAGGCAACCTGGGCCAGCTCCCCACCCCTCTGAATGCAGGCCTCCTGCTCTGTAACTGGGCAGGGGCCACAAGTGTGGTGGAAAAAACCCAGCCCTGACCTTGATCTCCCTGTGACCTTGGGCAGCTCTGTCCCTTTTGGCCTCAGTTTCCCCACCTGTGAGGGCAAAATTATCATCTCTACCCTGCCCTTGGACCTCGGGCTCCGCAGCCAGGACAGGTCTCACAAAGTCAGGGAGAGAGCTGCCAGCTCTCAGCCCTGGGATGTCTCTGTGTCTGCCATTGTTAACGACCACCACGGAGCAGGGGTTCTGGAAGGGCCAGGCAGGCAGGAGGTCAGAGGTCAGGGTGGGCCTGGCCGCAAGGGATACAGGCCAGGTCACAGATACCAAGCGGGCGTGTCCCTGTACCCCCAGCACCTGCCTCCATGGCCAGCCCACCTAGGGCAGACCACACCAGCCCCTCAGCCCAGTCCTGCAGCCCCCCAGCTGGCCAGGCTGCCCGCTGTCTGCACAGGCAGCAGGATGATTGGTGAGCTAGGGGCCAGGGGTTAATGTGCCGTCGGATAAATCCCGGGGGCCGTGTTTACGGCAGCGGTGGCAGGGCCCAGGCCAGGTTTTAAAAGGGGGAAAAATAAAAGGGGCATAAAGGTCAGGAATAAATAAGAGCAGCATTAAGAGCTGTCGGTGACCAGCCAGGATGCAGAATGGGGGTCTGTTTGTGGCTGAGATGTTTTCCCTCCTCCCCATTCTCCTCTAGCTGTCCCCATGGAGGTCACAGCTCCCCAGAGGCCTCACAGAATGAGGGGCTTTGCCGGGGACTGTGGTCCTGAAAACAGACCACCTAGGACCCTCTTCCGAAGCCTGTCCTTTTGGAGGACACTTTGCAGACCTGACACCTGCATGTCCCACCCACAGCACCCTGCCCTTCCTCCGTTCATTGATCACCCCTGTGTGCCGGGCCCCGAGCTGGGTGCCAGGACAGGTACTGCCGGGCACAGATGGGCCTGGTCCCTGTCCCCTGAGCTCCCAGTGCAGATGAGAGCACCACCAAGACACAGGGTGATCTGTGGTGTGGGGGTGGGGGTGGGAGTGGCACCATAGGAGCTTGATGAGGAGTGCCTGTCCCTGCTTGGGCATCAGGAAGGCTTCTAGAAGGAGGTGGTGCCTCCTCTGCAATCTGAGGGATGCGTAGGCATGAGCCCAGCGAAGAGTGCTGGGAAGGGTGTCCCGGGCAGAGGGAACAGCGCAGGCAAAGGCCTGGAAGTGGAGGAGAGGGAGGCTCTGACACAGGAATGACTGGAGCCCAGCCAAGAGGTGGGGAGATGGGAGATGGCCCAGGATCCCAGACAGCCTGTGAGGAGCGAGATCTTTAGCCATTCAGTTCAGGAAGATAAAGGATCACAAAGGGGGTGGGCCTTTCTGTCCCACATCAGCTCATCGAGTCTCTTCTGCCCACCACCCTGCCAGGGTTCTTGTCTCACTCAGGGCCTAGGCCAAGTTCCTTAGCATGGCCCGTTAGGTCCCCAGTCACCTCTCACAGTCACCTCCGCACTGCCACCCTCTCCACTTTGCTCCGGCCACCCTGGCCTCCCTGGACAGGCCCCGCCCACTCCTGCCTCCGGGCCTTTGCCCTGGCAGTTCCTTCTGCCTGCAATGCCCTTGCTCCAGTTGTCCACGCGGCTGCTCCGTTCACTCCGACAGGCCTTGACTTGAATACCATCTCTCAGGGGGGTCCACCCTGGCCCCTAGCTGAAATTGCAGCTGCCTCCCCTGCCCCATGCTGGCACTCCCCCGGCCCCCACCCTGCTGTGGTTTTAACTTTTCTGAGCACCTGTCTCCTTCTAATGTGCTGTATAATTTACTTACATATTGTGTTCCTTGTCTTCTACCCCCTGAAAATGAAAGACTGTATCTGGGGCTGGCACTTATAATAAGTGCTCAGTAAATGTTTGTAATCCCAGCCTATAATCCTAGCACTTTGGGAGGCCGAGGCAGGAGGATTGCTTGAGCCCAGGAATTTGAGACCAGCCTGGGGAACATAGTAAGACCCCATCTCTACAAAAAAAAATCAACTAACCATGCTAGCATGTGTGCCTGTAGTCATAGCTTGGGAGGCTGAGGTAGGAGGATCACTTGAGCCCGGGCGGTTAAGGCTGCAGTGAGCCATGATTGCGCCACTGCCCTCCAGCCAGGGTGACAGAGTTAGACCCTGTCTCAAAAAACAAGGAACAAGGGGCCGGGCATGGTGGCTCATGCCTGTAATCCCAGCACTTTGGGAGGCCAAGGCAGGTGGATCACCTCAGGTCAAGAGTTCGAGACCAGCCTGGCCAACATGGTGAAACCCTGTCTCTACTAAAAATATAAAAATTAAGGCCAGGAGCGGTGGCTCACACCTGTAATTCCAGTTCTTTGGGAGGCTGAAGTGGGCAGATCACGAGGTCAGGAGTTCAAGACAAGCCTAGCCAACATGGTGAAGCCCCGTCTCTACTAAAAATACAAAAATTAGCTGGGCATGGTGGTACACACCTGTAATCCCAGCTACTCAGAAGGCTGAGGCAGGAGAATTGCTTGAACCCCATAGGCAGGGGCTGCAGTGAGCCAAGATCACACCACTGCACTCCAGCTTGGGTAACACAGCGAGACCCTGTCTCAAAAAAAAAAAAAGTTTATTGAATGAATGAACTACAGGTAAAGGTGGAGATGACCCTACACATTAAGCAACGGACTTACCCAAGGGCAGCTGGTGGAAACCAAAGATGTTTTGGCAAATCCAGGAGTGGCTCACAGATGGCCTGTGACCTCACTCTAGGAAGTGGAGGGGCCCTGCCCTGGCCACTCAGAGGCATGGCAGAGGTCTCTCTGGTTCTCCTTCCAGCATTTAGGGGTGCGGAGCGGCTGGCACAGGCCTCTCACACAACCTGACTGATGGAGAGATGGACGGGGCGGGTGCCCCTGGAGGAAGTGGGCCCGGAGTCCAACCTTTTAACATGGGCTGAGATTTATGGAGCCGCCGCCAGCACTTGCTGGGACTGTCACTCTGCTAATGTGATTGGAACACAGTGGAGGTGGTGGGGAGGGGGCTGTGGTAGGGACGATGCTGGGGCTGGAATGGAGCCCAGCCTGGTCCCCGGAGGTGCTCTGCCCTCCCCTATACCCCTGCTCCTCCCACCATCCTTTGAGTTCATCCAGTCCTAATCGCCTACCTGCCCAAGTTAGACCCCATCTGACTCTGCCCAGACACACCCATCTTCCCGTGGGGTCCCTGGACATCCCTCCTACAGGAGTTCAGGCCTCTACCCGCGCCCCTCCCATGACCAGCCACCCATTGTTCGAACACGCACAAGGGCCATCCTGCCTGCCCTGGCCACTCTGCCCAGAACCCTGATGCACTGCCCTGCTCCATGTCTTCGTCCCGCAGCCCTGATTCCCTGCTTGCGTTTTGTGTTTGTTCTTCATTGCCTGCCTCCCCACCGGAATGGACTCCCCCGAGGGCAGGGTTATGGGAGATTCTGAGCTCCTAGAAGAGCTTCCTGCTTTGAAGTAAATAATTAACATCTGTGGTGCAGTGAGTGGCACCCTCTGTGTGCCCTGGGAGCCAGGGACACAGCTCTCAGTCTGGCACCCACATCCCATCCCCTCACCCTGGGGACTGCCAGTCTGCCAGTCCCTCAATGGAGAGGGGCAGCAGGCAACACCCTGGCCAACACCCCAATCAGCATCCTAGCCAACAGCCCAACCAACATGCCAGCCAACACCCCAACAACATGCCAGCCAACACCCCAACCAGCATGCCAGCCAACACCCCAAACAATACACCAGCAAACACCCCAACCAACACCCCAACCAACACCCCAGCCAACACGCCAGCCAACACCCCAACAAATACCCCAACCAACATGCCAACCAGCATCCTAACACCCCAACCAACTCGTGCCAACCAATATGCCAGCCAACACCCCAACCAACATGCCAACCAACACCCCAGCCAACACTTCAACACCCCAACCAACATGCCAGCCAACACGCCAGCCAACATCCCAACCAACACCTCAACCAACACACCAGCCAACATCCCAACCAACACCCCAACCAACACATGCCAACCAACATGCCAGCCAACACCCCAACCAACATGCCAGCCAACACCCTGGCCAACACCCCAACCAACATGCCAGCCAACACCCCAAACAATACACCAGCAAACACCCCAACCAACACTCCAGCCAACATGCAAGCCAACACCCCAACCAATACCCCAACCAACATGCCAGCCAACATCCCAAACACCCCAACCAACTCGTGCCAACCAATATGCCAGCCAACACCCCAACCAACATGCCAACCAACACCCCAACCAACATGCCAGCCAACATGCCAGCCAACACCCCAACCAACACACCAGCCAGCACCCCAACTAACACCCCAAACAACACTCCAACCAACACCCCAGCCAACACCTCAAGCAACATGGCAGCCAACACCCCAATCAACATGCCAGCCAACATCCCAACCAACACATGCCAACCAACATGCCAGCCAACGCCCCAACCAACACACCAACCAACACCCCAACCAACACCCCAGCCAACACCCCAACCAACATGCCAGCCAGCACCCCAACCAACACCCCAACATGTCAGCCAACATCTCAACCAACACTCCAGCCAACACCCCGGTCAACACCCCAGCCAACATCCCAGCCAACACTCCAACCAACACTCCAACCAACACCCCAACCAACACCCCAAACAACATACCAGCCAACACTCCAACACCCCAACATGCCAGCCAACACCCCAACCAACATGCCAGCCAGCACCCCAACCAACACCCCAGCTAACACTCTGGGCAACACCCCAACCAATATGCCAACCAACACCCCAGCCAACACACCAACCAACACCCCAGGCAACACTTCAACCAACACCCCAACCAACCCCCCAACCAACACCCCAGCCAACCCCCCAACCAACACCCCAACCAACACCCTGGGCAACACCCCAGCCAACACCCCAGCCAACACCCCAACCAACAACCCAGCCAACACCCCAACCAACACCCCAACCAATACCCCAGGCAACAACCCAACCAACATCCCAGCCAACACCCCGGCCAACACCCTGGTGTGGGTAGTGGCGTGGAGTTCCTGCCAGGAGGGGCCGGCGCAACTGGGGCTCAGAAGATGGGGCTGGGACTGGCCTGCAGGGCTTTGGGGCCCGAGCCCACTGTTTTTACGGCAAATGTGCGGTGATTTAGAGCAGAAGAGGGCTGCAGTCTCAGGGGAGCAGAGAAGGGAGTCTCCCGGGCACCCCCAATGCAGTGAGAGCCCCCAGGGGCTGCTGGGGCTAAAGGGACTTAACCTGGAGGGCACAGGACTCCTGTGCCTGCCTCACTCTGGGCCTGGACCCCCACCCACCACACCCTGGGGCCGAACTAGATGGTGCTGGCAATGCAGTGAGTCCTGGGGAAGTCCCCCTACTCCCTTACTACCCATTCTTCCCTGGAGCTCTCTCTGAGTTGAGGGAGCTATGCCAAATGCTGGGACTCAGGGCTTGGCTCTGCCTTCAGGGAGACCCAGTTTGGTAGGAGGCTTCCCAGCAGAGGGAGCATTTGACTTGGGTCCCGAAGGCTAAATAGGAGTTCTGCAGGTAGAGCAGGATGGACGGGCCCCCCAGGGGGAAGGCCTGTGTCTGCTTCAGGAAGGCTTGATGGGCTTGGGGCAGCTGCCAGCCTTCCCGACAGACCCTTTGGCCTGGTGTCTGCCAGGCCCCCTCCTCTCTCCCACCTCCCTCCTGGAAAGCTTTTACTGGCTCAATAAAAACATTTTTTAAAACACTCTCCTATTGTATGGTAAGAAGGGAGGCAGGTCCTAAATCAGGATGGGAATCGACAGAGCCCTGACGCCCGTGTCTCTCCTGTTTATTAGGACTGAAATGTTTACTCGGAGATAAGGAGCCGGCTTTCTCGGGGAGATTTGTGCGCTCTTTTTCAATTACCCCTCGTCTTTCTCTGCCACTTTTGCACTAAAGGGATAATAAATGTATCCGAGCGTTTCAATTATTCATCTAAATCATGACTGCGCCTGCCACGGCCAAGCTTTAGTGACAGATTAATTCAGGGCCGCCTTCCTCTGGCTGCGTGGCCGCCATCTCTACTCCGGCCTGGCCAGCGCCCCAAAGGGTCAGCTCCTGGCATGGGTGGGAGGGAGTCAGGCAGGTCCCTGGCAGGCGGGCAGGAGAGGATGGAACCCCATCCCCAACCTCCCCACATTCTGTCTGGGGCCTTCCTGAGGTTAGCGACCCCGCTCAAACTGCAGGAGCCGAGCCTGCCTGTGTGGGTGCAGCTGCCCCTGCCCCCATGCCGTCGGCCCTGAGCACCTCTGCACCCTGTGCTGGCAGGGCAAGCCCGTGTGTGTGTCTCCTACACCGCCCAAGAGAAGCTAGGGTGGCTGGGCTTCCCTCACTGTCTTCCCCTAGCACCGGGCCTTTGCACATGCTGCTCCCGGGCCCGAGCGCTCCTCTGCCCTCCTGTCGCAACCCTCCCGCCTAGTTTCACCTTCCCATGTCAGGGCAGCCCCTCCGACACCCCCTCCACTGCTGCATTTAGTGAAGGTCTGCCAGGTGGACAACACTCCCTGTCCCGCGCCCGCACCCTAACCCTGGGCGCCTCTCCCCAGGCCCCACCGCAGACTCCCTCACCTGCTCAGAAGCCGCCACCCAGGGCCGGTCCCTCCTCACACACATGCTGGGACCCTGGGGGCCAGCCGAGCGCTCTCCCCCACAACCCTGCCTCTCTCCCTCACCTCTTTCTCTTGCCACCTCCCTCTCTCCCTCGTTTTCTCCATTTCTCCCTCCACGCTTTGCCTCTCCCTGGCTCCCTCTCCCTTCTCCTGTCGTTCTTTCTCTCTGGCTCTGGCTGGTTCTCTGTTCGTAGACCCGCAGGCCCGGGAGGATTCGCCCAGGCCTCTAAGTATTCAGCGCTCGACTCCTGCCCGGCTCACAAGCGCTCCGCGCCCTGCTCTGGCGCTATCTCCCATCGCCCGGCCGCTGCTAATCCGTGATTGCTTCCCGCGGCCGCTAGGAAAAGGCTCAGCTCCGGCCGCTCCGATTAGCCGTGGCCTTGCTCTGCGAGCAGATAAACGTGACCTCCGTGGCCTGTGGCCAGCCTCGGCCCTCTGGAGGCGGGGCTGTGTGCGGCCCTCCCCTCCCCAGCAGGGCTGAGCTCAGAAGCAGCAGGCAGCCGGAAGGGCTGGGCAGTCCCCGCACCTGTCCCTGTGCCAGTCTGGTGGGTGTTGTGTGTGCAGGGTGGGCGTGCCGGGACCCTCTGGCGTGGGGCTGTCTGGCAAAGGGCGAGGGGGGAGGGGGCTGTGCTTCAGCATAGAAGGGAAGGGCGTGTCCAGAAGAGGGAACAGAAGAGGGTCCAGAGGCCGAACCAGAACACGTCCCTTCACTGATGGAAACTTCCCACCGCGCTCGAATCAATTCCCAATTGCTCGACTCCTCGCACCTCCCGGGAGGTCCTGTAGAGGCAGCGCTCCCTCCCAGCCTCACCCGCCGGCCTGTTCCTGCCACAGGGCTCTGCCCTTCCTGAGCTCTCCGCCCGGACTCTCATCCCGGACTCTCCTCCCCATCTCCTTCCAAAGCCAGTTCTTTCTCATTACTCAGGGCTCTGCTCCAATGCCACCTCCTCGGAGGGGCCACCTCATCCTCTGAACGGCGCCCATCCCTCCCTCCTTCCTCGGGGCCAGCTCCATTTTCCCCTTCTCCTTTTTCACCACGCCCACAACTTAGAGCCGCGTGTCCCGTCCCTAGAACTGCTGCGGCCACAGGACTCCTGGCCCTTGCATAGGGCTGGCACGTGGCACGTCGCCCCCGAGCCCTCGTACGCATTTTTTGAATGGTAGAGTTTGGAACCAGTAGGAGGGGCGCGGGAGGCAGTGAATTCATCTGAGAGGGAGGCTGCAGGGAGCCCCAGAGAGTCCAGGAAAGCTTTGTTGGAGTTGAGGATTTTATTCCATGTACTCTTGGGAGCCATGGGAGGTTTTATGACAGGGGATGCGTGCCCTTCCCCAAGGAAAGGCCCCCAGGCCTTCCTGCCACCCCTGCCTGACCCCAGTTGATGATGGTGCCAACGGCAGCCAGGCATTCTCAGTACTTACGACATGGCCACCAGCACCCTTTGAACCTCTCCCTGAAGAATCTCATACACCCTCACCCCGCCCTATGGGAGGCATCATTAGCGTCTCCATTTTGCAGGTGGAGAAACTGAGGCACTAAGTCCCTGGAGCTGAACCTCACTTCCCGCCCCACCCCGCAGCTGGCCCCTGTGTAAGAGGGAGGCTGGGACTTGGGGCCCCTGTCCCGTGGCCACAACTTTGACCAGGCAGGGCTGTGGAGCTCCTGCTCTGTCCCCAGCAGGCACGATGCCACCAAGCCCCGGCATGCAGCTGCCACAGGGATTTTTAATAACGGGAGTGATTTTTGCATGATGAATGAGGCACTGCCGTTGTGTACATAATGAAGCCCTAATGTTTTCAAATCCCCATTTAAGGAGCTGATCTCACCCCGTAATGAATTTCAGATCTCATCACAGAACTGTCGTCCATCCATCTTCTCCCCCGGGCACCCACCCGCCTTGGCACCGAGAGGGTGGGGCCTGGTGAGGATGGGCTCTGCACCCTGCTGGGCTGAGCTCAAGCCTAGCACAGAGCCGGGGCTGGCTAGAGTTTGTTGATTGAATGGCCGACCAGGAGGGTGTGAGCAGAAGCAAAGATGGTTCCGGCAATGGGATATCGCTCAGGTCTTGGCCTAGTTGAATAGAAGCCAGAGGTGGAGAATGAGGAGTGGGCTGGGAGAGAAGAGAGCGCAAGACCCTTGGGTAGGTCACTTATCCGGTCTTTGTGGCTAAACCTTCCCTCTGCAGGGTTAGAAGCCTGGGGCAGCAAGTCAGATGTCTGCCCTTGACGCAGTTGGTACCCTCTCAGAGACTCAGTTTCCCCCATTTCCCCGGGAGCCTTGTCCCTTTCTGCCTTGGCATCTGGTATTTCTGTAGCCCTCCTCCAGAGAGGGAAACCAGCATGGGCTGCACCGAGGCTTGGCTGCCAATGCCCTCCAGGCTGTGCCCAGCCCGTCCAGGCGGGAGTGGTCCCTGGAGCCCAGACCCCTGGTCCTTCCTGGGCTGGAGGGGAGACACACCCCTCCCTCAAACCCCAGCTCACACCTCTGCCTCCCCAAGGCCCTCTGTCTCCAGCCCTCCTGCCTGCCTTCTCAGGGGCATCTCCACCCTGGCAGTGCAGCCAGTCCCTGGGGTACAAGGCCCCCAAAAGCATGACAGGGCAAAGGAATCCCCTGCCTGTGAAGTCCATGGCTGAGCCTCAGCCTCCCATCTGTAAAAAGGGGATCCTCCCATACAGCCCCCAAAAGCTCATTTCAGAGGCGTGAGGTTGAGCCAGAGAGGTATGAGACTCGGCACCTGAGAGGCAGGGCCAGACGCTGCAGTCACAGGGCAGCAGGCTGGACACCCAGCCAGCCCAGGCCCCACTCACCCCCACAACCTTGCCCAGGCCCCCCTTCCTGTTCACCTCCCTGCTCTTGGGGCCCACAGGAGTCTAGGAAGGTGGGGGCCAGGGGCAAGAGCTGCCCAGGCAAGGCCTTACACTTTGCTGTGTGGCTCTGGGAAAGTGGCTTTGCCTCTCTGAGCCTATCACTACTTCTGTACGATGAGGGTTAATAATGTGGGTCTTGGCCGGGCGCGGTGGCTCACGCCTATAATCCCAGCACTTTGGGAGGCCGAGGCGGGCGGATCACAAGGTCAGGAGTTCAAGACCAGCCTGGCCAACATGGCAAAACCCCACCTCTACTAAAAATACAAAAACTAGCCAGGCATCATGGCACACGCCTGTAATCCCAGCTACTCAGGAGGCTGAGGCAGGAGAATTGCTTGAACCCGGGAGGCGGAGGTTGCAGTGAGCTGAGATCATGCCATTGCACTCCAGCCTGGGCAACGAGCAAAAAACTGTCTCAATAAATAAATAAATAAATAAATAAAGTGGATCTTAGTTTCTGCTCCTCCTCTCACTGTGGGGCCTTGGACAGGTTGCTTAACCCCCCTGGCCCTCAGTCTCCCATCCCCCTTGACACCTTCCAGCATATCTCAGTGCTCCCCACCACTCTTTTTTCTTTTCTTTGAGATGGGGTCTTACTATGTTGTCCAGGCTGGTCTCGAACTCCTGAGCTCAAGTGACCCTCCCACCTCAGCCTCCCAAAGTGCTGAGATTACAGGCATGAGTCACCCCTCCCAGCCCCCACCAGTCTCTGGAGGCCAGAGCTCTGAGACTCAGAGAGGTTAAGTGACTTGCCCCAAACCACCAGCAATCTCGTGGCCAGGAATTCTGGGAAGAGAAATCCCAAAGAGGGCACAGCGTGGGCCAGCCCCACGGGATGGTAGGGGGAATGGGGGAGCAGAGAGAGACCAGGAGCAGGTCCAGGCCTGCGGGTTGGGGTGCCCTGCCCTCGGTAGGGGCACAGCTGCCCTCCTGGTCCTGTGGGCCACAGGCCTCCTTATGTTCCTGTAAATAATTAATTAGCCCCTGCCTGCTTGTTTGTTTAGCATGAGGAATGCTCCCCCACTGAGATGCATTTATTGCTGAATAAATTTAAATATCTAATCTTCCCTTCATGCATATTACAGCACCCTAAATAGCGGCCAACTCATCCTAAGCGCCTTGGCGGATGGCCCCACCGGAGCCTGCCTGCCTTCCGCCTCTGCTGGCTCTGAGGACTGCCCACTCCTGGTGCCCTCCACTGCCCCAGGAATGCCCAGGGCCATGGGCAATCACTCAGCCCAGCCCTCCTTCCTTCCACAACATCCTTCCATGGGAGGCGCACAGATGCTGGGCTGAATGCTGGCCGTGGAGGCTGGAAGGCAGGGCTTTACCACAGCAAAGCAGGGAGATGCCTAAGATGGGGCGGAGGGTCAAGGGCCGCTCAGAGGCCAGGGCTTGGGGCAGAAAGAGGTTCCTCCGGGCTCAGGCGAGGGCAGGCAGAGCCCCAGTGGCATTTGAGGAGCGGCCTGAGGAACGAGAGCCCACGAAGGAGACGGGAAGTCCCGCTGGATGGAGGGAGCCGTCAGCGCTGGGGGCAGCCAAACCGTCCAGAAAGACAGTGGCCTCAGAACACTGTGCAACAAGAGGCCACCAGGGCAGCCCCCCTGCTGGAAGGGGACGTGCTGATGTGGGGAGACACTGCCTCCCCAAGAGCGTGGACAGGGGGCCATTCAAACCAGTCAGCCAGAGTGGTTCAGGGCGAGGCCCTTTAGTGGTCCCAGAGGAAGCAGAGCCACTGAGGTTGGGAGCCCAACCTTCCAGCCGTGTGGGCAAGTTTTGCTCTCTGTGCCTCAGTTTCTTCTTCTATAAACAGGAAAAATAATAAGACAGCGGCTGTAAATCACCACGCAGGTGCTTACCCAACAAGAAGGCTGACAAAGGCCATGGGGGGTGAGTCATACCAGCTACTTAGGAGGCTTAGGCAGGGCAACATAGCAAGACCCTGTCTCAAAAAAACACAGGCTCACATCTGTAATCCCAGCACTTTGGGAGGCTGAGACGGGTGGATCACTTGAGGTCAGGAGTTCAAGACCAGCCTGGGCAACATGGTGAAACCCCATCTCTACTAAAAATACAAAAAATCAGCTGGGCATAGTGGTGCGCCCCTGTAAGCTCAGCTACTCGGGAGGCTGAGGCATAAGAATCACTTGAACCCAGGAGGCAGAGGTTGCAGTGAGCCAAGATTGCACCACTGCACTCCAGCCTGGATGATATAGTGAGACAGAGGGCTGATATGAAGGAGCCATATCAGGGGGAGTTTAACGGTAGAGGAGGGTGGAGGGAAGAAGGGGCTGCAGGGAGGAGGCAGAGGGGCCTTAGGGGCCATCTTCTGGCCACAGGTGGAGGAAGGCTTCATCTTTGACCTGATGGAGAAACATCTCAGGGGGGTCCCGCCACCCAAGTGGGCTCTGCCTCCCCAGGAAAGACCCCAGGTTTTCTGCTGACTTGGGGTGAGGGTTGAGCTGGAGCCTGGAGGTTTGTTTTGGTGGCTGAGGGCCCTGGAGAGGAGACTAAGGGTTGGTCAGCTCCTGTGAACTGGGAATACCCCACCTCCACCAGGTAGCCCCAGGGATCAGGGCTGCTGGTCTTTTCCAGCTGCCTTGGGGTGGGGTGGGAAGAGGGAAGAGGGAAGGAAGGGCATCTCCCCTGAATGGGACCCCAGGAAGCTTGAGTCTCTAGGACCTAGCTTAGCCCCAGGTAAGAGCCAGGACAGGGCCTGGAGGGCAGAGCTAAGGGGACTCTGGGAGTGTGTGTGGGAGGGGTCCTTTGGGCCTATGGCTAAGGAGAGCAGGGTGGGGGGGTTCCCCTCTGCACTCTCAGGGGAGAGAGCGAGAAGGCTGGTGTGTGGACAGGGAGGGACACGCAGGCAAGAGGGGCCAGGCTGCACTCTAGCTTGTTGGGGTAGCAGTGGGCTGACAGTGACCTGTCCCTCATCTCTGCTTTAGGGGAGCCCCTCCCTGGGGCCCCTGCAGAGCCATCACCTGGCCCAGGCCCTGTTCTGGAACTGCTGGGGGTGAGGAGGGGGCATCTGGCCTGAGCCCTCTGCCAGCATTGATTCCAGCTCCCTCCACCTCCCTTGCGCCCCCAGGTCAGCCCCAAAGGCCTGGCTGCAGGCCAGTCCACTTCCGCAGGAAACATTAAATTCCTGAAACACTGAGCTCCACTTCCCCGCACGGGCCCCCACAGCTGGCCGAGGTCGCCTGCAGGGCGGTGAGCCCCCAGAGACTTCGAGCAGCCGGTGCCAGGTGCTCGACCCGGGAGGCTCCTAGGAGAGCCAGCTCAGACAGATCCCTGGGCTCACCCCCACACACTGTGAACACCCTGTGTGCACCCACCTCCCATCACACTGATGTACACATACCCGAACATGCCCACACTGTCACACTGTTGTTAATAACAGGATACACTCATGACCTCCATTCTTGCCAAGCACTGCCTTAAGCACATTACAAAGTTAGTTTAACTCAATCCTTCCAACAGCCCAATGAGCTCTGAGGTGGGTGCTATTATCCCATTTTCCAGATGGAGCAACTGAGACCCAGAGAGGTTAAATGATATGTGAGGGGTCACACATCTGTGGCTGGCAGAGCCAGGATGTGAACTCACGTTGCCCAGCTCCACAGCCCAGCCACGGCACCCCATTCGGAACACTCACTTCCCAGCACTGGGAGCTCCAGCCTGGACGCCCGCTCTGGGCCCTGCCTTCTTGCTCCATCTCAGCCTCGCCCTGGGCTACAGCTGCCTTTCTCCCTGCAGAGGAGAGGAGCAGGTGGAAGGGATCCAGGCCTGAGCCGTTCTCAGCGTTCCCCTAACCTCTCTGCCCACCCATCCCTGGGACGCTCTGGGAAATTGCCTGGTGCCAGCTCTGAGTAAAGTTGCAGAATGAGGTTTAATTGTGCCCCCAGGGCACGAGATCAAACAGCAAAAGAAAGGGGTGTGAGCTACCTGGCATCCCTGGAACTGTGCCGAGACTGAGGTGATGAAGGAGAAGGTGGCCTTGGTTTGTCCATCTGTAAAATGGGGAATGATGGTCCTCTCTTGATGCCCGCCTGTGAGCACCAGGCAGCTGGTGCCTGAGGAGCTCCTGGCGTGGGCGATCAGAGCTGCCAAAGATGGGCCCTGTCCTCCCGGCCAGCACGCGGCGTTTTCCTCTGTGGGAGGGTCGCTGTCCCGGTATTCCAGATAAGAGGGTGGACGCCAGAGAGGGGAAGGGGCAGGATCTCACAGCCGATGAGGGGTGAGCCCGGGCTGGACCCAGGCCTGCCTGAGGCCGCGCCTCTCCTGCGCGGTGCCCTGGCGAGGTTGGGCTGCTGGAGCGTTTCCTCCATGCCTCCCGCTGCGCCCCGGTTGTTTATCTGCGCCCGGGTCCCCAGGGTCGCTCGCGAGGCCCTGCAGCCGCCCTCGGATAAACAAGCCCATGCGGGGCCGTAATTAAGCTGGATGCGCTAACGAGGCGGTTCATTAACCAGCTGGGGTTTGCGCGCCAGGAGACTCGGGCCCGGGCGTCGGGCTCACCTCCCCGCGCGGCTGGAAGACCCAGACTCCAGCTACAGATCTGATCACCCTGTAACAAGGTGGCCTCGGTTTCCTCATCCGCAAAATGGGTCCTAGGGTTTGCCGCCGCCCCGTGATGGGGCGCCGCCTGGGGAGGTGGGCCTTGGGATCGCACCGACGCTGAGGCCCGGGCGGAGGCAGCGACTGGTCGCGGGCCCTGCAGCGCGCCCGGGACAGGGCTAGGGAGGGGCGTCGGGGAGGAAGCTTCCCCGTCACCCCGGCTCGGGCGGCGGTTCCTGTCCCGGCGGCCCCCGCCTCCCGGAGCCGCCCTGCCTGGGCCCTGGCGGCGCGGCCTGGAAGGGACAGGGTGGGCCGGGTGCGCCCCCTGCCGGCCTCCTTGCGCGACTTCCCGCCAGGCCCAGGGCCGTCCCGCTCTGCGCCTCGGTTTCCCCAGATGTGAAACATTCCGGGCGGGGGTGGGGGCAGCGGCCGCGGCCGGAGGCCACGGGGTTGGGGCGCGGCTCCGCATGGGTCCTCGCATCGCCGAGGGGCTTCTCGGGACTGAGGGTGCTCACCCCGGGGCCGCAGCCTTGCCAGGCCAGCTCAGTCGCGCCCGCCCTTCCCGCAGTGGACGGCTGCATTCATCGGGCCGCCGGCCCCCTGCTTACCGACGAGTGCCGGACCCTGCAGAGCTGTAAGACTGGCAAGGCCAAGATCACCGGCGGCTATCGGCTCCCGGCCAAGTGTGAGTCCCCGACGCGCCCCCAGCTGTGGGGCGCAGACAGGGCGCCCGTGTGTCACTGGGACATCAGGGGTGCGGCCCCCACAGGAGTGCTGGGGAACTCCTCAGGGGGCCCTTCTTAACCTTAAGGGCCAAGACCCGGCCCCCACCCCGCACACCCCAGGAAGCACATGGGGGAGACCGTGCGTGGAGGCTGAGGATGGAGCTGGGGGGCAACGCCTTCGCGCCCACACTCGCGCTCGGGTCTCAGCCGGGCCCATACAGATGTGGGGAGGGGGCGCGGGGCTCTGTGCGCGTGCGGATTCGGGCTCGAGGGGGCCCACAGGGGTGGGGGCCTTCGCGGAGGAGGCTCAGCGCTTGGGGGGAAAGGTGTTTCCTGCCCCCTTCTGCCCAGGCCGGCAGGGGGAAGCGAGGGAGCTGAGGACCGCGTAGACCCCCGCCGGTCTGACCCCGTCGCCCCCCGTAGACGTCATCCACACAGTGGGGCCCATCGCCTACGGGGAGCCCAGCGCCAGTCAGGCTGCCGAGCTCCGCAGCTGCTACCTGAGCAGTCTGGACCTGCTGCTGGAGCACCGGCTCCGCTCGGTGGTGAGGGACGGCCCGCGGGGGAGGGCGGGAGGCGGGGCGCAGTGACAATGTTCCAACCCCCTCTCACCCCTCCCCGCCCAGGCGTTCCCCTGCATCTCCACCGGCGTGTTTGGTGAGTCTGGAAGAAAGGCAAGGACCAGGAGTGGGCGGTGGACCCAGACGCCGGGAGGGGCCGGGGCGGACAGGGGAGTGGGCGGGGCCAGAGCCTAGGACTCACTCCCGCCCCACCCGCCTCAGGCTACCCCTGTGAGGCGGCCGCCGAGATCGTGCTGGCCACGCTGCGAGAGTGGCTGGAGCAGCACAAGGACAAGGTGAGTCCTGGGCCCGGGCGAGGGTGGGGTCCGCATCCCGGCCAGAGTGACCAGCCCCCATCATCGCCCAGGGAGTCAGGGTGCAGAGCGCAGGGCCAGGCCCGCCCCTTCCTTCCCTGTTTCTCCTGCGCAAGGGCGCCTGGCGGTGGCGAGATGGGGGTGATGGCACACAGCCGTGAGCCTCCGTGAAGGGCGCAGGGCCAGGCAGGTGAAAGCCTGCACCAGGGCAGGCAGTCACAGGATCCTGGGGCCAGGCGTGGCAGCTCGGCCCAGGCTGAGCAGCCCCTGGCGCAGGTGGACCGGCTGATCATCTGCGTGTTCCTCGAGAAGGACGAGGACATCTACCGGAGCCGGCTCCCCCACTACTTCCCCGTGGGTACGTGCCCCGCGCCGCCCCACGGCCCGCCCCTGCCCCGGTCCACCCTGGGGGCGGGCTCTCACTGTCCTCTGCCTTCCAGCCTGAGGCTCCCGCAGCCCACCCTGACCGGGACTGGTAAGCAGGGCCTCGCCCCGTGCGGCGGCCCCGGCCCTAGACTAACCCGCCCACTAACCCCCGCTCACCCCCAAGCAGGGCGGGAAACCACGGGGCAGCCTGGGAGGTCGGGGACGCCCATAGACACCTCTGACTCTGCTCTGCCCTCAGACCCGCCTTCGGGACCCCGCTCCCAGCTCTGAGAGGTCGCCAAAGCCTGCAGCCTGGCCTGGGCCTGGCCACCCCTTCTTTCCCTCCGCGCCCCGCCCCCGAGGAGCCTAATAAAGATCTCGTTGTGGCAGCTCCTACTGTCTGAGCTCTGACTGGGGGGAAGGAAGGCGGCCCAGGTGTTGGATGGAGCCCCTGGCCAGATGCTTTCACTGAAAGGGGCTGGCAAGAGCTCTCGGTGAGCCAGGCGGGCAGAGGCACAGGCGGACGGCAGAGGCGGCAGCAGCAGTTCACATTTATTGAGGGCCTGCCCCCAAGGAGCTCACAGCCTGGGGGCTGAGACCCCGAATGTGCAGGGGGCGGGGAAGAAAAGAGGTGAAGGCAAAAAGGCAGGCAATGCAGAGACACCGTGGCCCAAGCAGAGGGGGTGCAAGGCAGGCACAGGCAGGGGGCCTGGGGCGGATGGGGAGGTGGAGAACCGGCAGCCCTGCCTAGACCTGAGGACTGTAGACCCCACACGTTTGAAGGCTGCCCTCCCCCACCAGGATGGCACTGCCCGGGCACCCTGTGGGAGGCCCAGCTCCTCCACCTGCCCTGAGCCGGGTCCAGCCTCACAAAGGCCCCTCCACCCAGGACTCCCAACCATGCAGACTCCCGGTGGAGGGCAGGAAGCTGGGGTCTGGGGCCCAGCCGGGACGTGGAGGTGGGGCCTATGAGGGAGCAGATGAAGTGTGGGTGGCCCTGGGACCCTGGGCAAGTCCCTAAGGAACTTCCAGGATCCCATAGAAGCCCCTGAGCCAGCTAAGAAGGGAAGGAAGCAGAACCCAACGAAGCAGGAGGGGCCTCCAAGAGGCCTGGCCCCTCAAACCTGCTCCTGTTGGGGAAGCTCAGGAGTAGATAGGTGAAAAGCAGGGGGACCCACCTGGGGGGAGGGGGCAGCAGACAGAGCAGCCAGGCGGGCAGCAGAGCAGGGACACGCACACACGGCTCACCACCAGCACCCCCTTTAATAAAACATGGGGGGGGGTCATGTGACAGGAAGAAGGGGGTGAAATAGGACCATTTACAACCACAGAAAAACCTCTGTACATGTCTAGCGCCTGGCAGAGGGGGGCAGCAGGGCAGCAGCGGGCTGGAGCCAGCCCTATTTGTAGAGGATATCGTAGTGTCCAGGCCGGTAGAGAAGGTAGACCTTGGGCTCGGAGCCCTCAGGGAAGATGTGCGGATTGGTGGTGCCGCCCTCGCCGCGGTCCATGTACTCCACCTGGATGGACACGCTGAGGGCCTGGGCCAGCGCAATGATGTGGATGTGGTCGCTCTCCTTGCACATGGGCTCCACCTCCTGTGGCACAGGTGCCGGTCAGGCCCTGGTCTCCGCACCCCGCCCCAGGCCCTGTGGGCCCACTGCACTCCCCCGGCCGAGAGTAAAGGGGAGGGGGACGGCACCTGCTGGCAGAACTCCTTGACAGTCCGTCCACCCTCGATGAAGTGCTCGAAGAACTTGCTCTCGCGCTGCAGGTAGCCCGAGGTGAGCAGCCGCAGGTAGACCACAAGGTAGTCGGAGGTGCTCTGGTCATTGAAGGAGGCCAGCAGGTCGGCGACAGAGGTCTGCTTCTCCACCTGCTCAATCAGGTCCATGAACTGCAGCCACGGAGGGAGAAAGGGCAAGATGACGGGGAGGAGATGGGTGGTCCTCACCAGGTGAACCCCTCCCCCATGGCCCAGCCCAAGACAGGCACCAGGGCTCACCGTGTTGTGGAAATCCTCAATTGTGAATTCAGTGAAGCCCTGGGACACCAGGTCTTCCTTGCTCTTGGCAGACACAGCCTTGAACCTGGGGGTGGGATGGAAAGGCGGGCCCAGCATGGGCTCCTCGACCAGCCCAGACGCCAGGGCCGAGACAGCACTGCCCCGCCTGGCAAGGCCAGAGTCCAGCCCATCGCCCGGGAAGGAGGGAGACACCCTACTCGAGACACATCCTACTCGCCCGGGGAGGAGGTAGACACCCACCTGCCTCGGTGCCCAGTGCCCACCCTTCTCACCGCTGCAACTCCTTGCTGTCATCCAGCAGTGCCTCCAAGTGGGAGAATCCGAAAGCCCGATAGAAACAGTTGCCGTCAGGCCTGGTCTTGCGGATGTACGAGTACTTTTTGTGGAGGTCCTGCGGAGACAGCCCCACCCCGACAGGTTAACATCAGGCCAGAACGGGGGCTGGCCAAGGAAATGTCCCCCAGCAAAGGTCACACTCCAAAGGTGGCAACTGAGCTCCCAGCAGCCACCTGCCACCCTGGGTCCCTGAAACAGGCTGCTGAATGTGGCAATGGGAGCGGCCCACTGCCCAGAGTCCTCCCAAAAGACGGCAGGAAGCTGGGCACTTAAGGACAAACTAGTTGCATGGGTCACTAAAGTTCTGCGGGGCCTACAGGACTGTACAACAACAGGTGAGTGAATGTCCTTGAGCAATGCGTTTCCTCCAGTCTTTCAGCCCAAGAGAACTTCAGGGCAAGCAAGTCAGGGCCAGGGTGGAGTGCTGGCCTCCACGCCTCAACCAGGTGGCTGGGGCCCTCTGCACAGCCCAGCTCAGCCCCGCTCCCGCCACACTGAGAAGAGTTCCCCCACCTCTAAGCCTTGCCCGCAGCCCTCCTGGGGCTAGAAACAGCCTCCCTCCTCTACTTGTTTTTTTGAGACAGAGTTTTGCTCTTGTTGCCCAGGCTGGAGTGCAGTGGCGCGATCTCGGCTCACTGCAACCTACACCTCCCGGGTTCAAACGATTCCCCTGCCTCAGCCTCCCAAGTAGCTGGGATTACAGGTGCCCACCCACCACGCACACTTCACCTGGCAAGCACACTTCACTCCCCTGGCCTGGGCACCCTCCCCTCTCCCCTACCCATCTTGCTCCTACCCCCAGCTGATGACCTTGTCTTTTTTCCTCAGCCCCCACCAGCACATCTGCCTTTGGCCTCCTCCCACAATCCTCAGAGGATCTGTTCCAGCTGCCACCTAAGCTGCCTCTCCACTCCACACTAGCCCACCCCCACCCTCAGGCTCAAGCACATCATTCCAAGCTGGGCGCCATGGCTCACACCTATAATCCCAACATTTTGGGAGGCCAAGGTGGGAGGACGCTTAAGCCTAGGAGTTCGAGACCAGCCTGGGCAACACAGTGAGACCCCCGTCTCTCTAAAAAAAATAAGTGGCTGGGCGCGATGGCTCACGCTTGTAATCGCAGCACTTTGGGAGGCTGAGGTGGTTGGATCACCTGAGGTCGGGAGTTCGAGACCAGCATGACCAACATGGCGAAACTCCATCTCTACTGAAAATATAAAATTAGCTCGGCATGGTGGTGCATGCCTGTAATCCCAGCTACTCGGGAGGCTGAAGCAGGAGAATCGCTTGAACCCGGGAAGCAGAGGTTGCAGTGAGCCGAGATTGCGCCATCGCACTCCAGCCTGGGCAACAGAGCAAAACTCCATCTTGAAAAATAAGCAAGTGAGCTGCACATGGTGGTGCATCCTGTGGTCCCAGCCACTCGAGAGGCTGAGGTCGGAGGACTGTGTGGGCCCAGGAGGTCGAGGCTACAGTGAGCTGTGATGGCACCACTACACTCTAGCGTGGGTGACAGAGTGCGTGAGACCCTATCTCAAAAAAAAAAGACATCATCCTAGGAAGTACCCCCATCATCAATTTTTCCCACCCTACTGGTTTAGACCCAACAGCATATACACATTCA
Organism: Homo sapiens; assembly: GCF_000001405.40. Classification (NCBI taxonomy): domain Eukaryota; kingdom Metazoa; phylum Chordata; class Mammalia; order Primates; family Hominidae; genus Homo; species Homo sapiens. The sequence goes on along the minus strand of NC_000011.10, from coordinate 63,994,960 downwards.
GCTACTTCTTTAAAAGGAAGGGAATCCTGGACTTTACGTTTCTGTCTGGCTACCCTTCAATTTCTCTGCTTTCTTTACAGCAAAACTCCTCATGAAGCTGTCCGTGCTGCCTCCACCTCTTTTCTCCCTCGGGAGGCTTTTGCTCTAGCCAAGGTCAGCTGAACGCCCTCAATCAGAGGGGGCAAACCCAGCGCCCCACCCCCACTGGCCCCTTAGCAGAACTGAGGCCACTGGCTGTGGCCCTGCCTAGATGCCTCCTTCCCTGGGCTGGCGCCCCCACCCTCTCCTTGTCTTCCTCCTGCCTCCAAGGCCACTCCTCATCTCTCTAAGCTCTGAGGGTCAGGGATGCCACCAAACCATACAGCACCCTTCGAGACATGGTGTGTCACCTGCAAGAAAACAGTCACTGAGGCTGGGTGTGGTGGCTCACGCCTATAATCCCAGCACTTTGGGAGGCTGAGGCAGGCAGATATCGAGGTCAAGAGATCAAGACCATCCTGGCCAACATGGTGAAACCCCGTCTCTACTAAAAATACAAAAATTAACTGGGCGTGGTGGCACACACCTGTAGTTCCAGCTACTCTGGAGGCTGAGGCAAGAGAATCACTTGAACCCAGGAGGTGGAGATTGCAGTGAGCCGAGATCGCTCCACTGCACTCCAGCCTGGGCAACAAAGGGAGACTCCGTTTCAAAAAAGGAAAAAGGAAAACAGTCACTGCACACTTAGCCACTGTGCCTGCCATGTGACCACGGGCATGAGGGCTGTCTCCCATGTGCCTACCCCGCCCTGCTCAGGCCTGGGACAGCTTCCACTTTTCTTTTTTTTTTCTTTTCTGAGACAGGGCTTTCTATGTCACCTGGGCTGGAGTGCAGTGGCAAGATCACGGCTCACTGCAGCATCAACCTACCAGGCTCAAGCAATTCTCCCACCTCAGATTTCAGAGTAGCTGGAACTACAGGTGCACACCGCCACACCCATTTAATTGTTGTATTTTTTGTAGAGACGGGATTTCACCATATTGCCCAGGCTGGTCTCGAACTCCTGGGCTCATGTGATCTGCCTGCCACGGCCTCCCAAAGTGCCGCACCCGGCCAGCTTCCTCTTTGAAACTACACTCACTCTCATGGCCAGGTACAGTGGCTCACACCTGTAATCCCAGTGTTTTGGGAGGCCAAGGGGGGAGGATCAAGTTGAAGGCTAGCCTGGGCAACACAACAAGACCTCATCTCTACAAAAATGTAAATTATACTTGCTCTCTTGACGACATCAGTCTCAAGCAATTTTTTTTTTTTTTTTTTGAGACAGTCTCGCTCTGTCGTCCAGGCTGGAGTGCAGTAGCGCGATCTCGGTTCACTGCAACCTCCGCCTTCCGGGTTCAAGCAATTCTCCTGTCTCAGCCTCCTGAGTAGCTGGGACTACAGGCGCGCGCCACTATGCCCGGCTAATTTTTTTGTATTTTTAGTAGAGATGGGGTTTCACCATGTTGGCCAGGCTGGTTTTGAACTCCTGCCCTCAAGTGATCCACCCACCTTGGCCTCCCAAAGTGCTAGGATTACAGGCATGAGCCATTGCCCCTAGCCAAAGTCTCAAGGATTTAAATAGCCCCAAGTGTGAATCTCAACTCTCAACTCCAATTACGATCCTCCTATCTACCAGCCTCACCACACCTCCTCTGAACTGTCCAACAGGCATTTCCACTGAGTGCAGCTGAGATCAACCTCCGAACAACTGCTCCTCCCCGAGGCTGCCCCACCTCAGTCACCCACAGCACCCAAAGCCTTCCAGTCGCTGCCGACTCCATCACCATATCCATCCCTTCAATATGTCTGGTATCCAACTGCTTCTTACTCCTCACCTCTACCACCCGCTGCCCGCCTCCAGCAGATTTTACTGCACAAGTCTCCTGGCAGTGTCCCTGCCTCCCCTTCACCCTCTGGAGTTTATTCTCACCCCAGCAAGAGAATGGCCAGGGTCGGCTTGGCGTGATGGCCCAGGCCTGTAATCCCAGCACTTTGGGAGGCCAAAGTGGGTGGATCATTTGAGGTCAGGAGTTCAAGACCAGCCTAGCCAATATGGTGAAACCCCGCCTCTACTAAAAATACAAAAATTAGCCAGGCATGGTGGTGGGCATCTGTAATCCCAGCACTTTGGGAGGCCAAAGTGGGTGGATCATTTGAGGTCAGGAGTTCAAGACCAGCCTAGCCAATATGGTGAAACCCCACCTCTACTAAAAATACAAAAATTAGCCAGGCATGGTGGCGAGCATCTGTAATCCCAGCTACTCAGGAGGCTGAGGCAGGAGAATTGCTTGAACCCGGGAGGTGGAGGTTGCAGTGAGCTGAGATGGTGCCATTGCACTCCAGTGCACTCCAGCCTGGGTGACAGGGCAACACTCTCTCTCAAAAAAAAAGAAAAGTGACCAGAGTCACCTGCCAGATGCACCCTATCTCCATCTCCCTCAGAGTCCTTTCTCTCGCCACAACACCCCACCCCGCCCCGCCCCGCTCAGTTCCCCAGCCCCAACCCCTCATTCTCCACCAGCCACACTGGCCTCCATGCTGGCCTCAAACCATCCAGGTGCCCTCTCGCCTCGGGCCTGGGTGGGCACTGCTCTCGGACGCCTGTGACTCGCTCCCCGGTCTTTTTCTGTTCATTACTCAAATACCACCTCATCAGCAAGGCCTTCACCAAGCCCTGTTTAAAATGGCAAATGCTCCCACTCCCAATCCCCTCTTTTTTTTTTTTGAGGTGGAGTTTTGCTCTGGTCACTCAGGCTGGAGTGCAGTGGCACAATCTCGGCTCACCGCAACCTCCACTTCCCAGGTTCAAGAGATTCTGCTGCCTCAGCCTAAGTAGCTGGGATTACAGGGATGCGCCACCACACCCGGCTAATTTTGTATTTTTAGTAGAGACGAGGTTTCACCATGTTAGTCATGCTGGTCTCGAACTCCTGACCTCAGGTGATCCACCTGCCTCAGCCTCCCAGTGTGCTGGGATTACAGGCGTGAGCCACCACGCCCGGCCCCGATCCCCTTTTCATTTTTCTCCACAGCACTCACCGCCTTCTGATACCCCACATGTCCCAGAGCCCTCTTTGGCTTATCATGTCTTTCCACCCTGAACTGTAAGTTTTGTGAGGGCAGGACTTTGTCTGCATGGCTCTATCTTCAGTACCTAGAACAGCGCCTGGACCACAGTCCGTTCTCAATAAACGTTAAATGAGTAGCACACCAGGACCACAAAGAACCCAAATCACCACTGCTACTGTAGCAGCCACCATGGCCATTGTGAGCACACTCTCTGTGCCAGGGATTTGGCACAGGGCGAATAAACGTCATCCTAATTGATCCTCACAAGAGCCCATTTAGAGAGAGAGGAGCTCTCTCTGCTTGGGCTCTGCTGCCACAGCTGTCTCTGCCCAGGGAGAAAAGGTGGGCTCAGGCACAGCATACAGAATGCGGGTGCTGGGGGCACAGAGAGGCCTTTTAGACAGCATGCTCTGGACATCCAAATGTTTGATGACTCCGTGGGAAGAACCTGGGGCCCAGCCTGTCCTGTCCACTTTACCAGGGTGGTCTAGCATGAGCGGCAGGCCTTGGCATGGGGGGTCCCACTGGAGGACACTGACATAAGAGGAATGAATGAATGAAGCTCACCCCCTGTATGGGGAGAGGAGCAGCTTTGTAACCCGCTGCTTACAACCGCCCGTAACATCTCCTTCAACCCTCACAATTGCCCTGTGAGGCAGACAATGTCCCCGCCCAGAGAGAACAGGGGATCCAAGAGCTTCAGGGTGTTGCCCGAGATCACACAGCTCAAAGTGGTGAGGCCAGGACTGGAACCCAGGCCCATCAGGCTCCACAGCCAGTGCCTTCATCTCTCCACAGGCACCCTGAGGAAATCTAGCTCCCTGAGGAGGGGGCCTCAGTAGATCACAGTGCACAGATCTCACACAGCTGGATCTGGCCTGCAGGTGTGTTTGGCCCACACATTTAAAATTTGAATTAGCTGCCAACTGTTAGAAGTCAGGAGCTGTGGTTACCTCTGGCTTCTCTTGGAAAAACAGATCTGGAGACAATGGTATGGACACTCCCATTTCCCCCAGGGGCCTCTGCTCCCTATTAGTGTCTGGCTGATACTGAGCTGTGCTGCCCTCCTTGTTCACCATCTGACTTCCTGGCCACCTTCAATCACCTGGGTTACCTACCTGGCCACAGAGGCCTCCCCTACCAGTAGAGGACTCTAAGCATCTGTCATCTTCCAGGGGAAGAGAAACATTTACTAAACACCTACACTGAGCCTACCAGATACTGTTTCCACACACCCATTGTCACATTTATTTATTTATTTATTTATTTATTTTTTTATTTTTTTAAGAGACAGGTCTCACTGTCACCCAGGCTGGAGTGCAGTGGTACAATCATGGCTCAACTTCTTGGGCTCAAGTGATCCTCCAACCGCAGCCTCTTGAGTAGCTGGGACTATAGACATGTGCTACCACACCCAGTAATTTTTTGATTTGGAGAGACAAGGTCTCACTATGTTGCCTGGGTTGGTCTTGAACTCCTGGGCTCAAGCGATCCTCTGGCCTCAGCCTCCCAAAGTGCTAGGATTCCAGGCTTGAGCCACCATGCCTGGCCCCATTTCACATGTCATCCTCCCAGCTCACAGACCTAGAAAGTGGGTGGTGAAGTTTGCCTCCGTTTGAGTGATGCAGCAGGGCCCTTTGAGGAAATCTGTGGCCCCTTGACCCCACTGCTGCCTGCCTCTCCACAAAGATCCAGGAGGCAAGCTGTGGGAAACAGCCCTCTGGCAACCCTCCTACCCCACTGAGCACCAGCCTGGTCAGCCCCCGTATGGGCACCGAGATCATCAGCTCCTGCCCAGCCTGCACCTCCCTCAATCTCACAATCGCCCTATGGGAAGATGCTTTTTTTTTTTTTTTGAGACGGAGTCTCACTCTGTCGCCCAGGCTGGAGTGCAGTAGCGCGATCTCGGCTCACTGCAACCTCCGCCTCCCGGGTTCACACCATTCTCCTGCCTCAGCCTCTCCGAGTAGCTGGGACTACAGGTGCCCACCACCACGCCTGGCTAATTTTTTTGTATTTTTAGTAGAGACGGGGTTTCACCGTGGTCTCGATCTCCTGACCTCGTGATCCGCCCGCCTCAGCCTGCCAAAGTGCTGGGATTACAAGTGTAAGCCACCGCGCCAGGCCTTTTTTTTTTTTTTTTTTGAGACGGAGTCTTACTCCGTCGCTCAGGCTAGAGTACAGTGCGGGATCTTGCCTCACTGCAACCTCCGCCTCCCAGATGCAAGCAATTCTCCTGCCTCAGCCTTCCCAATAGCTGGAACTACACGCGCGCACCACCACTCCCAGCTAATTTTTGTATTTTTAGTACAGATGGGGTTTCGCCATGTTGACCAGGCTGGTCTCGAACTCCTGACCTCAGGTGATCTGCCCGCCTCAACCTCCCAAAGTGCTGGGATTACAGGCGTGAGCCACCGTGCCCGGCCAGAAGATGCTTTTATTGTCCCTATTTATAGATGAGAACACCCATTTTAGAGACACTAAAGGACTTGCCAAGGATACAGCTGCTGAGTAGCAGAGTCTAGATTTGAATCAATGTCTTTTTTTTTTTTTTGTGAGACAGTCTTCTGTTGCCCTGGCTGGAGTGCAGTGCTGCAATCTTGGCTCACTGCAACCTCCGCCTCCCGGATTCAAGCAATTCTCCTGCCTCAGCCCTGCGAGTAGCTGCGATTACAGGTGCCTGCCACCACACCCGGCTAATTTTTGTATTTTTAGTAGAGATGGGGTTTCACCATATCAGCCAGACTGGTCTCGAACTCCTGACCTCAGGGGATCCACCCACCTCGGCCTCCCAAAGCGCTGGGATTACAGGCGTGAGCCACCGTGCCTGCCCCCCACCTTTTTTTTTTTTTTTCTGAGATGAAGTTTTGCTCTTATCACCCAGGCTGGAGTGCAATGGTGTGATCTTGGCTCCCTACAACCTCCACCTCCCAGGTTCAAGCATTGAATCAATGTGTTTTTGAGGCCTCAGCCTACGCACTTCAAGAACCAGCAACGAAAAGTGTCCTCCAACACCCTACTCCCTCAGGTGACAGACCCAGCAGGAAGCAAGTCTGAAGCAGGCACCCTCCTGCCCCACCCCCAGGGTGCTTCCCACCCGCTCTGGCCAGGCTCCCACCTTGATCTTCTGTTGATAGATGTTGTCATCTTCAGCATACTCCTTGTATAGGACCGAGAGCTCCAGCCGCTCTGACACCAGAGGGTTCTGCACAGCAATCTGGAGGAGGCAGGGATCTGTCATGTCCTAGCAGGGAGATGGAGTGACCCATGCCTAACAGACAGAATAACTACAAAAGAGCTGGGCTGGTCACCCGGTGGCACAGCGACCCCCAGAAAAGCACCAGTACCTAGCATAGCCTAGGGAGGAGGGAGCTTCCAAAGTAGAGACAGACAATAGGCCTCATGCCCAGCCTATGCATTTCCACAATGGGGCTGCTGGCCACTGCCTCCCTCGCCCACTGCAGCCCCTCACCTCTTGCTGAATTCGGTCCTGCTGAGCCATGATGGCTTCATCATAGGCCAGACAGTTAACACCTGGGAAAAGGAAAAAAGCCAAAGATTACAGGGGGTCCTGGCCATCTCCACTGCAGGCAGCTGGGCCAGGGACAAGAGCAGCCCAGGGTCAGGAAGACAGGCTTAGAATCTGGAAGCAGGTATGTTACAGATGTCCCAGATGCAAGCAATTCTCCTGCCTCAGCCTTCCCAATAGCTGGAACTACATGCGTGCACCACCACTCCCAGCTAATTTTTGTATTTTTAGTACAGATGGGGTTTCGCCATGTTGACCAGGCTGGTCTCGAACTCCTGACCTCAGGTGATCCGCCCACCTCAACCTCCCAAAGTGCTGGGATTACAGGAGTGCTCCACCTCAAGTGTGTCATCTTGGCAAAGTCCCTTCCCCTTCTGGGCTTTCATTTCCTCATCTTTAAAATGAAGGGGCAGAGGTGCACCGTGGTATCCCTAAGGTGCGCTCTTTCAGCTCTGACACCCCCTTCCTCCCGTTAACATCACTTCCCAGCAGCCTGGGAATGTTCTGGGGCCAGGCGTGGTCTCTTGCAGAAAGTAGGACGAGGAAGCAGAGTCCTGGCCTGGAGGAGAGCTTCCTATGAGCCTGCACTTTACTCCATCACCGCCTTCATCCTCTTGCGGTCGTGGATATTGTTAATGGTGCCCATTTTACAATTAACAAAACAACTGCAGACAGGTGAAGCAATCTGCTCAAGGTCACAACTAGCAAAAGACCTGCGGTCAAACCCAGGTTTGTCTAATTCCAGGCTGAGCTCTTCAGCACAATACCTCTCCTTGGCTACCACATGGCAGAGACCTTTCCTCAACTGTAAAATGGGGCGAGTACCCTCGCCTTTCTTAGAGGCATACCAGTACGTGCTCTAGGATTATCAGCCAGCTGGGCAGGTCCACCCTATGGACCCCACTGTGAGCAGCTATCGGTGAGGAGCTAGGACACCTGAATTTTAGTCCTGGCTCTCTCTTAATGTCATCTTGAACAAGTCCCTTCCGGGGCCGTTTTCCCACTTCTCGTTCCCTCAAGTGTTCGGTGAGAATGAGGTGCGTGGGCTGAATGACTTTAAAGGTCAACCCTTTTGGGGCTCGCCATCCCAAATTCTTGGCTGGGCGTCGACCTACCTACCCTTTTCGCACTACTCTGCAAAAGAACTGTCCCTGCCACCCAATGACCTACGCGGTCCCCAGGGCCCAACTCATAGGCGGGAAAAGACAGAGTGGGACCATTTTTGAAAGGCCCATCTCCTAAGGAGACTAACAATGTCTAGGCAGGCGGAAAGGGGCTGCAAGGCCAGAAGAGGCGGCTCTACCAGAAAAAGTCGCAGGCCTCAGGGACAGATCCCGCAGGCCCCTCACATCCCAGGGCCGCCTACGACATCCCGAATGGCCCGCCCGGACCTTTGTGCTCCGTAGCCCAGCGAAACTCGAGGCCCTCACGGCGCGGGCCGCCGCTGGAGCAGGCCGGGGGGCTCGGCCCTGGCGTAGGCCTCTCTGCCTGACTGCAAGGACAGGGGCGAGAGGGCTCGGGGCCCCTGGAGCCAGGAGCCGAGGGGTTGGGCAGAGGGCGGAGCGACCCAGGCCCCGCCCCGGGCGCACACGATGGAGAAGGGCCGCGGGCCTTGGCCCGCCTCGCCCGTGCTCCCTCCCGGCCGGGGGTCGCGGCGGTGGCTCCTTCCATTGTGAGGGGGAGGGGAGGCAGCGGAGGTGGAGGAAGGGACCCCTCGCGCACCTCGACCCCAGAGCCAGCGGCCCTGCCTCCCCTCCCTCCTCGGGAGCAGCTGGCCCGGCATCGCCCCCACTAGCCCGGGCCGGACATCCCTCCTTGGATCTGTACCTTCGGAGTCGCTGCCCAGCGGCTCCTGCTTCTGCTGCTGAGGTTCCTCCGCCGCCATCTTTAAACAGCGCCGCACTACCGACCGCTTCCGGGTTGCCAATTGCCGTCCTCCCGGAAGCGAGCCCCTCCTCGTTGCCCCGCCTTGGCAACAGCCCTAGCAACGGGATCCCCTTAGGCGTTGTCAAGGAATGGGCTTCCAGTCCCGTGGCAGGTGCTGGCACGCCAGGCCTGCGGACCTGAGACCTGTAGGAGAGGCCGGCCGCCCCAGATCCGCACCTCCACCCCACACATTGGTTTGGCTCCATCTTCCCAGCCTCCCAAAGTTCCCGGTGGTGATTGCAGATCCTCCTGGAGCCAATTCCGTTTTCTTTTCCCTGGAGTTTGAAACGCGGATTTTGTTATTGAGAGAAGTAGAAAAGTGAAATTAAAATCACCGAAGGCAGCATTCCTGCTGCGGGCTTCGGCAGGCACTGCATGCGACCATAGCTGCAGTGCGGAGCAGCATCTGACCCAGGAGACAGGAAGTCGGCCAGCGCCGGGGCGCCCGCGGAGCCCCACATCGTGGCCCCACGGAACCTGGGTTCTCTGCCGGCTTTGGTGAGCTGCTTCCGGCAAGGAGACAGCATCCCTTGGTGTCAAGGCCAAAGCCTCATGACCTAACTTTGGGCTCTGTGTCCTTCTGGTTTTTAAAGCAGGACCTTTAAAAAAAGAAGAAGAAAGAAAAGAAAGGGTCTCGCTATGTTGCATAGGGTAGTCTCGAACTCCTGGGCACGAGCGATCTTCGGGCCCTGCCTGAAGAGTAGCTGAGACTCCAGCCGCGAGCCACCACTAAAGCAGGGTCTTTATAAAAGCAAAGACTTCACAAAAAAGGAAAATAATGGTTGCCAAGAGTCAAGCGGAGGTGCTGGAGGGAAGTGGATGTGGCTGTGAAAGGGAAAGTCTGGATTCTTGTGAAGGTGGAAATGCGCAATACCCTGACTCTGTCAGTATCCTGGTGTATGCTTCACAACATTTTTGCAAGATGTTAGTGGGGGCAGGGGAGACTGAGTAAAGGATACATGGAATCTTTATAATTTCTTTTTTTTTTTTTTTTTTTTTTGAGACGGAGTCTCGCTCTGTCGCCCAGGCTGGAGTGCAGTGGCACGATCTCGGCTCACTGCAACCTCCGCCTCCTGGGTTCACGCCATTCTCCTGCCTCAGCCTCCCGAGTAGCTGGGACTATAGGCGCCCGCCACCACGCCCGGCTAATTTTTTGTATTTTTAGTAGAGACGGGGTTTCACCGTGTTAGCCAGGATGGTCTCAATCTCCTGACCTCGTGATCCGCCCGCCTCGGCCTCCCAAAGTGCTGGGATTACAGGCGTGAGCCACCGCGCCCGGCCTCTTTATAACTTCTTTAAGTTCCCTGTGAATTATCTAAAAATTACGTTTAACATTTTTTTTTTTTTTGAGACAGAGTTTCTCTCTGACCATCCAGGCTGGAGTGCAGTGGCACGATCTTGGCTCACTGCAACCTCTGCCTCCCAGGTTCAAGCCATTCTCCTGCCTCAGCCTCCCGAGTAGCTGGGACTACAGGCGCCCGCCACCACGCCCGGCTAATTTTTTGTGTTTTTAGTAGAGACGGGGTTTCACTGTGTTAGCCAGGATGGTCTCGATCTCCTGACCTCATGACCCGGCCACGTCGGCCTCTGAAAGTGCTGGGATTACAGGCGTGAGCCATCGCGCCCAGCCACGTTTAATTTTTTAAATAGCAAAGATGGCTGGGTGTGGTGGCTTATGCCTGTAATCCCAGCATTTTGGGAGGCCAAGCTGGGAGAATTTCATTGGAGACCAGCCTGGGCAACACAGGGAGACCCACCCCCGCATCTCTATAAAAAACATTAAAAAAAAAATTAGCCAGGTGTGGTGGCATGCACCTGTAGTCCCAGCAACAGGAGTGCAATAGCGATCTCGGCTCACCGCAACCTCTGCCTCCCGGGTTCAAGCGATTCTCCTGCTTCAGACTCCCAAGTAGCTGGGATTAAGGCATGTAGCACCATGCCTGGCTAATTTTGTATTTTCAGTAGAGACGAGGTTTCTCCATGTTGGTCAAGCTGGTCTCGAACTCCCAACCTCAGGTATCCGCCTGCCTCGGCCTCCCAAAGTGATAAGATTACAGGTATGAGCCACCGCACCTGGCCTTGCCTAGCTCTTTTCAATGATGGTTTATTTGGTGGTTAATAACTGTTCTCTTGGCCAGGCACAGTGGCTCACTCCTGTAATCCCAGCACTTTAGGAGGCCAAGGCAGGTGGATCACCTGAGGTCAGGAGTTCAAGACCAGCCTAACATGGTGAAACCCTGTCTCTACCAAAAATTCAAAAATTAGCTGGCTGTGGTGGCGCACGCCTGTAATCCCAGCTACTCAGGAGGCTGAGGCACAAGAATAGCTTGAACCTGGGAGGCGGAGGTTGCAGTGAGCCGAGATCAAGCCACTGCACTCCTCTAGTCTGTGCGACAGAACGAGACTCCATCTAAAAATAATAATAATAATAAATAAGTAAATAACTGTTCTCTTATCCTCATTCCATCTGTCCTGTTAATTTTACTGTGTGAGGATTTTGGTTCTCTATCCTGAATCATCTAAATCCCACCTGCAGGCCGGGCTCGCTGGCTCACGCCTGTAATCCCAGCACTTTGGGAGGCTGAGGCGGATGGATCACCTGAGGTCAGGAGTTCGAGACCAGCCTGGCCAACGTGGTGAAACCCCGTCTCTACTAAAAATACAAAAAAAGTAGCTGGGTGTGGTGGCAGGCACCTGTAATCCTAGCTGCTCGGGAGGCTGAGGCAGGAGAATCGCTTGAACCCAGGGGCTGGAGGTTGCAGTGGGCCGAGATCATGCCACTTCACTCCAGCCTGGGCGAAAGAGGGAGACTCCGTCTCAAAAAATAAAAAAAATAAAACCCTTGGCCGGGCATGGTGGCTCAGGCCTGTAATCCCAGCACTTTGGGAGGCCGAGACAGGTGGATCATGAGGTCAGGAGTTTGAGATCAGCCTGGTCAAGATGGTGAAACCCCGTCTCTACTAAAAACACAAAAATTAGTCAGGCACGGTGGCGGGCGCTTGTAATCCCAGCTACTCGGGAGGCTGAGGCAGGAGAATCACTTGAACCCGGGAGGCAGAGGTTGCAGTGAGCCGTGACTGCACCACTGCACTCCAGCCTGGGCAACAGGTGAAACTGTCTCAAGAAAAATAAATAAATAAATAAAATTAAAATAAAACCCATCTGCAGATTCGCCAGGAGCCCCTGGCACAGCCCCAGACATTTGTCTCTGCTCCCCAGTTTGCCACCCTGGAAATGGTCCCATGCTGCTGGTCCTTCCTGTCAAGGGCCTGTAATGACACAGGCAGCACAGGCACTTGGTTGAGGCTGCATGTCGGAGACAGTCACAGAGGTGACAGGTAGCAGCCAGAGTGCCAACATAGCACAGATGCCTCCTCACACCAACCTGCCAGACTGGTGCCTGCCCAGACCCCACATCCATGTCCATGGGATTCCATCAGGTGGAGGGAGGGGAGGAGACCCCATAGTGGGACTCAGGGACTGTGAAACTTCAGCCTTAGAGGAAGTTTACACAACAGCCCAGAGGCCCCAAGGGGCCACATGGCTCCAGACCCACCCAATCTCTTCTGCCTCTGCCTCTCAGGGAAGGGAGTCAGGCTGAATGGACCAAGACAACAGGGGCATGGCATGGGCCCTGGAACAGCCACAGTCCTCACAGGAAGGTGTGGCCAGCCCAAAGCCTGGAAGGGTGGGCCACACATGGGGATTAGGCGACCATTCTCGGTGCAGGCTTGGGAGTCGGGCAGCTGCCCAGACAGCGGGAGTAGGGGCATGCTTGGCCCCCACATAAACCTTGCATTGTACCCACGAGAGTCTCCAGGCAGCAGCCCTGAAATCGTGGTCTAGGGAGGCTTTGACAGCAGCAAAGGCTGATGCGGCAGAGCAGGGTCTATGCCTCAGGGCCATAAGTTGGGCTGTGAGTCACCTGCAGGATTCAGACCTCCTAAGGCCGAAAGCAAGCAGAGGGGCAGAGGCAATGCAGGCAGAGCCCCTCCCAAGCAACTCCCACCACCCCAGTCCTCGCTGGGGCACCCACTGTAAGTGCTGTACATTCACTTCACTTTATGCCTGCAGACGGTCCCAGCAGCTGGGCCCAGACCCTCCCCAGGGCCTCACAGCACCACATGATGCATTACTTTCCTTATTGCTTCCGTAACGAGTCACCACAAACCTAGTGGCTTAAAACAACACAAATTTATTCTCTTACAATTTTTTTTTTTTTGAGACGGAGTCTTGCTCGGTTCCCCAGGCTGGAGTGCAGTGGTGCGATCTCGGCTCACTGCAAGCTCCGCCTCCCGGGTTCAAGCGATTCTCCTGCCTCAGCTTCCTGAGTAGCTGGGATTATAGGCACCCACCACCACGCCCAGCTAATTTTTTGTATTTTTTGTAGAGACAGGGTTTCACCATGTTGGCCAGGATGGTCTCGATCTCTTGACCTCGTGATCCACCTGCCTCAGCCTCCCAAAGTGCTGGGATTACAGGTGTGAACCACCATGCTCAGCCTCTCTTACACTTTAGGAGGTCAGAAGTCTGGGTTTCACCAGACTAAAATCAAGGTGTCTGCAGGCTGCATTTCTTTCCAGAGGCTCTAAAGGAGATCCACTTCCTACTCGTTCGGGTTGGCAGAAGGTAGGACCAAGGTCCCCATGTTCTTGCTGGCTGTAAAGGAGGGCTGTTCCCAGCTTCTAGAGGCCCCTGCAGTCCTTGGCTCATGGCCCGCTTCCTCTGTCCTTAAAGCCAGCAACGGTAGGCTAAGTGCTTCTCACTTCAGGACTTATGACGACATTGCGCCCGCCTGGATCTCCAAGGATAGCCTTTCATTTCAAGGTCATGACCTTATTCACATCTACAAAGCCCCCATGCCATGTAAGATAACATATTCACTGGTTCCAGGGAGTAGACCATGGGCATTTTCGGGGGGCCATTATTCTGTCTGCCACAATATCTTCATTTTACAAAACTGAGATTCAGAGACCAGATGACTTGCCCAAGGTCGTACAGTTCAGTGGCCATGCCAGGCCTCAAGCCCAAGCCTCCCCACTCCCAGACCACTGTTCCTGACATTACAGCACCTGCCGGGACTTTAGCCTCTCCAGTCAGCATGCACACCAGGCACAGAAACCCACACATGTGGACACAGAAAATGTTTGGGGTATAAGGATCCTTGCTTTCTCTATAGAGAATTGCTCCAGGGCCCTGAATTGGTTGGGGACAAGGGTAGGCCAGTGGAAGACCGGATTTCAGACCTAATGGCCACACAGGGGACCAAGGAGTTTGGGGTTCAAACGTGATAGGTCACTCAAACTCTACACTGTCCTGCCCACCCCTACATACATCACCCCACCCATCCCCACAAATGCAGGACATGGCAGGTTGTGGGAGGAAGAGGGGCTGGAGGAACTGCTGGGCTTGCTGAGGGCTTCTTCAGACCAGGGTCCTGAAGGACTTGCCTGGAGCCATTGGTGTTGCACAGGTTGGGGCAGTGGCTCAATCAATCAAACTTTGGGCTGGAGCAGTCCTCCTCGGAGGGGGACCAGCACCCATCATTCAATTCCAGGGGCACAAAAATGGAGGACACCCAATCAAACCCTTAGCAGGGCAGTGGAGTTACCATAGAAACTCAAGACAGGCTGGGTGCGGTGGCTCACGCCTGTGATCCCAGCACTTTGGGAGGCTGAGGCGGGTAGATCACGAGGTCAGGGGATTGAGACCATCCTGGCTAACACAGTGAAACCCCATCTCTACTAAAAACACAAAAAATTAGCCAGGCGTGGTGGCGGGTGCCTGTAGTCCCAGTTACTCAGGAGGCGGAGGCAGGAGAATGGCATGAACCCGGGAGGCAGAGCTTGCAGTGAGCCGAGATGGCGCCACTGCACTCCAGCCTGGGTGACAAAGCAAGACTCCATCTCAAAAAAAAAAAAAAGAAAAAGAGAAAGAAAAGAAACTCAAGACAACAGGCTGGGTGCAGTGGCTCACGCCTGTGATCCCAGCACTTTAGGAGGTCCATGTAGGAGGATCACCTGAGGTTAGGAGCTGGAGACCAGCCTGGCCAACATGGTGAAACCCCATCTCTACTAAAAATACAAAAATTAGGCAGGTGTGGTGGCCTGCGCCTATAGTCCCAGCTACTTGGGAGGCTGAGGCAGCAGAATTGCTTGAACCTGGGAGGCGGAGGCTGCAGTGAGCCAAGATCGTGCCACTGCACTCCAGCCTGGACAACAGAGCAAGACTCTGTCTTCAAAAAAAAAAAAAAGAAAGAAAGAAAAGAAGGCTGGGCACAGTGGCTCATGCCTATCCTAACACTTTGGGAGGCCAAGGCGGGTGGATCACCTGAGATCGGGAGTTTGAGACCAGCCTGACCAACATAGAGAAACCCCATCTCTACTAAAAATACAAAATTAGCTGGGTGTGGTGGTGCATGTCTGTAGTCCCAGCTACTCGGGAGGCTGAAGCAGGAGAATCGCTTGAACTCGGGAGGCAGAGGTTGCCAATGACCCAAGGTCGTGCCATTGCACTCCAGCCTGGGCAACAAGAGCAAAACTCCGTCTCAAAAAAAAAAAAAAAGAAAAACTCAAGATCACACTTTTTCCAGTGCCACGTCCTTGCTGTGTGCAGCCCCGTGGTTATGAGACCAGCACCTCATCTGTGCCCACAGCCAGAGGAAAGCAGCCCTGAGTCAACCAAGGGCCAGGACACTCAGGGCCCTCTACTCAAGAAGTGCAGGCTTGGTGGGAATGCCCCGGCCTCCCACACCGCAGTGGCTGGTCCCCAGGGCCAGGGAGCTGCCAGCCAGGCCAGGAGATGGGCCTGAGAGGACAGTCAGGGGGCGCTCAGGTCCCACCTCCACAGGGACTAATGTAAGCAGAAAAGCCTCCCAGAACCATGCACAGAACAAGGGGTGGTCCTGTTGTGTGGAAGATGGCCATGAGGACCCTCCATCCAGAAACAAGGGACCTGTTGTGATACCTGTATGTGGCAGGTGGATTCTCCTAGGTCAGTACCCCATCCTGGCTCCAGATCCAACATAGGCTCTCCCCTCCCTGGCCGATGCTCCCACCGGGCACACCTGCAGCATTCTGAACCCCACTAGGGGCAACAGGCCCAGGCAGCTTCTCCCCGGCCCTCCAACTAGGCCCTGACCCTTCAGCCTCATATACAAAGTCTGGCTTGTGTGGAAGGAAAGGAGCCACCTAGGAGGCAGAGGACAATTTCCTAACGCTCAGGGAAACAGCTATGGCAGGAGCTAAACCCAGTACGGTATCAGGCACTGGGCCCCACAGGCTTCCCTGGGCATCACGCAGAAAAGCCAAGCAAGACCAGGCTACGGCAGGAGAGTCAGGTCCACCCTCAGCTCTGTCAACATAAATCAGGAAACAACCTGCAGAACAGGAGCTAGGAAGACGTGTGTTCAGACACTCAGGGCCTGAGGCCAACCACAGCCCTCCCCTCTCACCTGACATCTTTGCCCACTGTTCCAGGCACAGGCGTCCTGGCAGCCTCAGCTCCACAGGGGAGACTGAACCTGTGTCTTTTCAGAAATCAACCAAGTCACCCCAGCAAAGAGGATGCAAAGGAGAGGTAAAGCCATGTCTTCCTCGAGGGTGGGACCCGGCAGGTCCGAGTATTCCTTCCAGATGCTGGCAATCAGGACTCCAGCTCAGCGTGCAGTGTTTGGGAACATTGCCCCTGCTGAGGTACTTCCTGCCCCTCACACACCAGGAGAAAGAATCACTGAGGAAGGACTCCTGGGGACAGAGGAATGGCAGATTCCCCAAGTCAAACAGAGGAGGAGAAAGGGAAGCTGGCAGATAGAATGAAGAAAGACAATTAGTCCATAACCATGTATGGAAAGTGTTAGAAGGAAAGGGGCCCTGGAGTTGACATTTAAAAAGCAAGCAGGGGCCGGCGGCGGTGGCTCACGCCTGTAATCCCAGCATTTTGGGAGGCCGAGGCGGGCAGATATTGAGGTTCAAGAGATCGAGACCATCCTGGCCAACATGATGAAACCCCATCTCTACTAAAAATACAAAAATTAGCTGGGCGTGGTAGCACACGCCTGTAGTCCTAGCTACTCGGGAGGCTGAGGCAGGAGAATCACTTGAACCCAGGAGGCGGAGGTTGCAGTGAGCCGAGATCACACCACTGCACTCCAGCCTGGCGACAGAGCGAGACTCTGTCTCAAAAAAAAAAAAAAAAGCAAGCAGCCAGGCGCAGTGGCTGACACCTGTAGTCCCAGCACTTTGAAAGGCTGAGGTAGGAGGATCACTTGAGCCCACGAGTTCAAGATCAGCCTGTCCAACATAGTAAGACCCCATCTCTACAAGAAAATGTTTTAAGAAACTAGCCAGGTATGGCTGGGCGCAGTGGCTCATGCCTGTAATCCCAGCACTTTGGGAGGCCGAGGTGGGCGGATCACGAGGTCAGAAGTTCGAGACCAGCCTGACCAACAGGGTGAAACCCCATCTCTACTTAAAAAAAAAAAAAAAAACCATTAGCCGGGCATGGTGGCGAGCGCCTGTAATCCCAGCTACTCAGGAGGCTGAGAATCACTTGAACCCGGGAGGCGGAGGTTGCAGTGAGTCGAGATTGTTCCACTACACTCCAGCCTGGGCAACAGAGTGAGACTCAGTCTCAAAAAAAAAAAAAAAAAGATGAAACTAGCCAGGCATGGTGGTAGCACATGCCTATAGTCCCAGCTACTGGGGTACAACCTGTGGTGGGAGGATCGCTTGAGCCTGGGAGGTCAAGGCTGCAGTCAAAGTCAAGGCTACAGAGCTGTGATTGCGCCACTGCAGTCTAGCCTCAAAAAAAAAAAAAAAAAAAGCGGGGGCACGGAGCGGTCTCTCACGCCTGTTAATCCCAGCATTTTGGGAGGACGAGGAGGGTGGATCACAAGGTCAAGAGTTTGAGACCTGGCCAACATGGTGAAATACCATCTCTACTAAGAATACAGAAATTAGCCAGGTGTGGTGGCATGTGCCTGTAATCCCAGCTACTCAGGAGGCTGAGGCAGGAGAATTGCTTGAACACCAGAGGCAGAGGTTGCAGTGAACCGAAATCACACCACTGCACTCCAGCCTGGGTGACAGAGCAAGACTCTGTCTTGAAAAAAAAATTAAAAAGGCAAGATTGCCAGGCGCAGTGGCTGTAATCTCAGCACTCTGGGAGGCCAAGGTGGGTGGATCACTTGAGGTCAGGAGGAGTTCGAGACCAGCCTGGCCAACATGGTGAAACCTCGTCTCTACTAAAAATACAAAAAAAAATTAGCCGGGCGTGGTAGTGGGTGCCTGTAATGCCTCAGGAGGCTGAAACAGCAGAATCCCTTGAACCTGAGAGGCGGAGGTTGCAGTGAGCCGAGATCGCATCACTGCACTCCAGCCTGGGCAACAGAGCAGGAGTCAGTCTCAAAAAAAAAAAAAAAAAAAAAAAAAAGCCAAGATTCTGCAAAGTCCCTACCCCCAATTAGGAAGGGCACCAGCACCTAAGAAATGAAGTCCACCAAAAAGGAAGACCAGAGAAGGCTGGCCCCTTAGAGGAAAGGCTTCTAGCTGAAGATCCAGCCCCAGTGGGACACACACACACACACACACACACACACACACACACACACACAGACACATACACGCCCATTGGGCTTTGCACAAACAAGGGAGCTGGAGGGGATGAGCCAGAAAAGCTGCACAATGACAACAGGCTTTGTCTTCCCAGGAAGCCAGGCACCATTTAAAGGTACAGAAGCACACGAGGAGTCCAGCTGAGGCACACAAAACCTACCACAGGGCAGCCAGCCGGGCGCTCTTCTCCACACCTCCACCCAGTGCCAGTGGAGGCATGAGCCCAGGCAGGAGGGAAGGCACAATGAATTTCTGAAGTAAAGTTTAAATAGATTTTATTGTTACAAGGGGGACCCCACCAAGCAGGGTCAGTGACCCCCAAGGAGGTCACCATGGAGACATCAAGAGGTCATGATTGCAGAAGAGGTGACTGGAATTGAATGACATGATCCAGGGGAGGCCGGCCACAAATGCAGTAACATGACCAGGATGGGCCGGTGGGGCTGGTCAGGTCACAGTGTGAGGGACAGAACGGACCCCTTCACTCTGGCCTCCTGTAGGTCTCCAGGTGTGACAGGATCCAGCCCGCTGGCAGGAGGAAGGTCACGAAGCAGGAGGTAAGCCCAACGGCCAATTCCTACACAGAGCACAAGAAAGAAGGCACCTCGGAGTCAGTATTCCCCTAGGCTCTCTAAGTCCTTGCAGTTCCCAGGCAGCAGAAAGCCCCGCTCAGGGAGCCAGGACTCAGAGGCAAGTGGGAGGCCCCGCATCCTCACGTTAAAGGAATCCACGCTCCACGGAGCAGACAGAGCAGGTCCAAAGCTACGCTAACCCTTGAGGTAAAGGGTCAGTTATAAGGAGGGGGAAGAGTGAGAGGAAGGAGAGACAGCTGGGGTTAGGGTTCAGGGAGAAATGCACCACCAGATGGTAAAGGAAGGGACAGGAAGCAGGATTTATTGAAACCTGTTTTAAAGCTGGTCTGGGCCGGGCATGGTGGCTCACACCTGTAATCCCAGCAATTTGGGAGGCCAAGGCGGGCGGATCACAAGGTCAGGAGTTAGAGACCAGCCTGACCAACATGGTGAAACCCCGTCTCTACTAAAAATACAAAAAATTAGCCGGGAGTGGTGGCGGGCGCCTGTGATCCCAGCTACTCGGGAGACTGAGGCAGGAGAATGGCTTGGCTTAAACCTGGGAGGCGGAGGTTGCAGTAAGCCGAGATCGCACCACTGCACTCCAGCCTGGGTGACAGAGCAAGACTCCGTCTCAAAAAAACAAACAACAAACAAAAAAAGCAAAGCCTGTATGTTAAGACCCAGGATCCTTGCATGGGCCAGTAACTCCAAAACGATACCTATCCTTCCTTGCCTGAAAACCCCCTCCCAGGCCGGGCGCAGTGGCTCACGCCTGTAATCCCAGCACTTTGGGAGGTTGAGGCAGGCGGATCACGAGGTCAAGAGATCGAGACCATCCTGGCCAACATGGTGAAACCCCGTCTCTACTAAAAATACAAAATTTAGTTGGGCATGGTGGCACGCGCCTGTAGTCCCAGCTATTCGGGAGGCTGAGGCAGGAGAATCGCTTGAACCCGGGAGTCGGAGGCTGCAGTGAGCCGAGATCGCGCCACTGCACTCCAGCCTGGCGACAGAGCGAGAACCCGTCTCAAAATAAATAAGTAAAATAAAATAAAATAAAATAAATAGCAGTAACAACCATTTTCGTCGCTGACAGCGTCAGGCATCCCCCAGTGAACCAACGAGAAAATGGGCTCAGAGCGGCTAAAGAAGTCGGCAGGAGGCGGCGCAGCGAGGAGGCGACAGGAGAGGGAGGGCCTGACAGGACCAGACCCGAGATCCTGGGGCTGTGGGGAAAGACCTAACGCCGACAGCCCCGACTGTCGCCCGGGCACTGTCCCCGTCGTTCGCGCCCTCCAGACATGCCCAAACCGGCACTGCTGCTCCCCGCTACGCTGCGGGGCGCGAGGCATTCTCAGGACCACCTGAGGTCAGCTAGGCAGAAGGGGTCAGCCCACGGCGCCTCCCGCGCTCTTCCAGGCCCGTTCCTCACCATGATCCCAAGCTTCCCCTCCGGCGGCAACGAATGGATCTTGGCGCGCGGCACTGGGAGCCGCCGGGCCGAGCCTGTCAAGCCCCGCAGCAGCAGCGGCGTCAGGACGGACATGATGGCACGGAGTACACCACAAAAAACGGTCAGCCGTAGCCCAAGGTCAGGAAGCCAAAATGGCTGCGCTGGCCGGAAGTTCTGGAGCTGGGGAAGCAGGGAAACTGCGGCGCGGAAGTCTCTCGGAAATGACGCAAGAACACACCTCCCACAGCCCTTGGCAGTTTTTGGCGCGTTCCTCGAAACAGCCAATTGACACCTTCCTACGCTATGGGCGGAGCACAAAAGGGCTCTTCTTCGAGTTATGTTCCGCCTCCAAGGCTTATACTTGTGAATGACATCTGGGGCCACCCAATCATGTACGCGAGAAGCCTAAACTGTTCTTGACTCCTCCCTTCATTCATACTGTTAAATCTCTCTCTATTCAGGCTGGGCGTGGTGGCTCACGCCCGTAATCTCAGAACTTTTGGGAGGCCGTCTGTACTAAAAAAAAAAAAGTACGGGCTGGGCGCGTTGGCTCACGCCTCTAATCCCAGCACTTTGGGAGGCCGGGGCGGGTAGATCATCTGAGGTCAGGAGTTTGACACCAGTCTTGCCAGCATGGTGAAACCCCATCTCTACGAAAAATACAAAAATTGGCCGGGCGCAGTGGCTCACGCATGTAATCCCAACACTTTGGGAGGCCGGGGCCGGTAGATCATCTGAGGTCAGGAGTTTGAGACCAGTCTTGCCAGCATGGTGAAACCCCATCTCTACGAAAAATACAAAAATTGGCCGGGCGCAGTGGCTCACGCTTGTAATCCCAACATTTTGGGAGGCCGAGGCGGGTGGATCACCTGAGGTCAACAGTTCGAGACCAGACTGGCCAACATGGTGAAACCCCGTCTCTACTAAAAATACAAAAATTAGCTGGGCATGGTGGTGGGCGCCTGTAATTCCAGCTACTCGGGAGGCTGAGTCAGGAGAATTGCTGAACCCAGGAGACGGAAGTTGCAGTGAGCCGAGATTGAGCCATTGCAGTCCAGACTGGGCCACAAGAGCGAAACTCCATCTCAAAAATAAAAAACAACAATAAAAAAAGTTCGAAAGCAGCCTGGCCAACATGGTGAGACTCCATCTCGACTAAGAATACAAAAAATAGCCAGGCATGGTGGTAGATGCCTGTAATCTCAGCTACTAGGGAGGCTGAGGCAGGAGAACTGCTTGAACCCGGTAGGCAGAGGTTGCAGTGAGCTGAGATCACGCCACTGCACTCCAGCCTGGGCGACACAGCAAGACTCCGTCTCAAAAAAAAAAAAAAAAAAAAATCTCTCTATTGAGAGTCCCCTCCTCTCCACCAGGCCTCCGTCGTTTTTGTTGAGAATTCCTGACACTGACCTAGTAACCAAACCTCCCTCAATTACTATTACACTCTTCAATTCCAGTTACCATGCTGGAGCAGCCAACTTCCCTTCCTTCCTACCCTATCACTCTCTCTCCCTCCCCCATCCCTTCCTTCTTGGTTTTTTAAACCTAAATCTGACCAAGTCATATACTTTCAGTGGCTCCCCATTGCTTCCTAGTCAAAATCCCAATTCCCGGATGTCACTGTCCAGCCTCAACTCTCAAAACTCTTCAATATTCCACACCTTCGACCCTGCTCTCTGATTTCCACCAACAAGCCTTTTGTTGCATTCAAAATGCACTCTGCATTTTGTTATTGATGTTGAGACAAGGTCTAGCTCTAAGCCCAGGCTGGAGTGGAGTGTGGTGTGATCTCGGCTCACTGCAGCCTTGCAACCTCCACCTCCCAGACTCAAGCCAACCTCCCACCTCAGCCTCCCAAGTAGCTGGGATTACAGGTGCCCACCACCATGCCTGGCTTTTTTTTTTTTTTTTTTTTTTTGAAATAGAGTCTTGCGCTGTTGCCCAGGCTGGAGTGCAGTGGCACTATCTTGGCTCTCTGCAACCTCCGCCTCCCGGGTTCAAGCAATTCTCCTGCCTCAGCCTCCTGAGTAGCTGGGATTACAGGCATCTGCCACCATGCCCGGCTATTTTTTGTATTTTTAGTAGAGACAAGGTTTCACCATGTTGGCCAGGCTGGTCTCGAACTCCTGACTTCAGGCGATCCACCCACCTTGGCCTCCCAAGGTGCTGGGATTACAGGCATGAGCCACAGCGCCCAGCCTAATTTTTGTAGTGTTTGTAGAGCTGGAGGGGGGTCTTGCTATGTTAGTCAGGCTAGTCTCAAACTCGTGAGCTGAAGCGATCCACCCAGATCAGCCTCCCAAAGTGCTGGGATTACAGGCATTTGTCAGGGCACCTGGCCTTGCCTCTGCACTTTGGGTTTTGTTTTTGAGACATGCATCACCCAGGCTGGAGTGCAGTGGTGCAATATCAGCTCACTGCAACCTCCACCTCCCTGGCTCAAGCGATTCTCCTGCCTCAGCCTCCCAAGCAGCTGGGATTACAGGTGTATGCCACCACACCCGGCTAATTTTTGCATTTTTAATAGCGACAGGGTTTCGCCATGTTGGCCAGGCTGGTCTTGAACTCCTGGCCTCATGTCATCTGCCCGCCTCAGCCTCCCAAAGTGCTGGGATTACAGGCATGAGCCACTGTGCCCGGCGTTGCTTCTGCATTTTATGTTCATTTTTTCAGCTCCTATGCAGGCTGCCTTTTTCACCATGCTAACTCCTGCTTCCTGGCTTCCAGTTAATGATACCACTTACTTTATTCAGTGAATATTTATTAGCCTCTACTGTGTGTTAGGAACTATTGTAGACACCAGTATGAACGAGGTGGATAGAGTTTCTTGTCACAAAGCTGACTTCTGGAGGGAAAAAACAGACAATAAACAGGCACTTAATTAGAAACTATTGTGTAAGTGTCACGGTGAAAATAAAACCATGATGTGCTAGGAAGATATGTGGGGTGGCACTACTCAGGATGCCTTCGCTGGTCACCCCAAGCCTGTGTCTCCTCTGTGCCCAGCAACACCTGTGTCAGCCCTGCCCCACATGGTGGGTCTCCATCAAGACTAGGGGCCACCTGAGGGCAGAGCCTGTGTTGGTTCACCACTGTTTCCAACCAGACACTCAGAATGTTTATAAACTGCAGGAGGCTGAACAGTATTGAACTAGGTAGAAGGCACATGAGAAAGGGGGTGTGGGACCAGCCCCTGGGCCAGGTCTTAATGGTACAATCTCATTCCAGGTTTACAATAATGTCATGAAATAGATGCTATTATTATTTCAATTATTTTATTTTGAGACAGTGTCTTGCTCTGTCGCCTAGGCTGGAGTGAAGTGTCACGACCACACCTCACTGCAGCCTCGACCTCCCAGGCTCAAGTGATCCTCTTGCTTCAGTTTCCCGAGTAGTTGGGGACTACAGGCACACACCACCATACCTGGCTTTTTATTTTTTGTAGAGGCAGGGTCCCACTATGTTGCCCAGGCTAGTCTTGAACTCCTGGGCTCAAGCAATCCTCCCACTGTGGCCTCTCAAAATGCTGGGATTACAGGCGGGAGCCACTGCGCCTGCCCTATTTCGAATTTTTTACAAATGAGGAAATAGGCCTGAAGAGTCAGGTGACTTGATCAAGATCATGAAGCTACAAGGCTGCCTTGCCAGGATTACAGGGCAGTTCTGTTGCCTCCAAAAGCCATGCTTTTAGCCACCACACATGCTGCTGCAGAGGTGGACTTCCCAGAAGTTCCAGTTTTGACATTGAGGTTAATAACATCAAAGGCTGTGGCAGGGGGTGGCGATGGGATGGCAAGAGATTGAGAAACAGGAGCTTTGGAAGAGAAACCTCAGCCCATGGTTTCTCTTCCATGGTGGTGGGGCGGGGGGGTGGTGTCACAGCAAGGTTGCAATGAACTCGCGGTGCCCTAGAAGGGGAGCTGTGTCTGAGCTTCCTCTGGAGGGATGTGTTCCCAGGCCCCAAGCTCATCCCTCTTCATCGCTCCCTCACCTTCCCCACCCCATTCTAGTTTTTTGTTTGTTTGCTTTTGGCTTACAACAACACAAATTCATTTTCTTACAGTTCTAAAGATCAGAAATATAAAATCAAGATGTCAGAAGGCCAGTATTTCTTGTCACGGCTCCAGGGCAGAATCCATTACCTTTTATTTTCTAATTTCTAGAAGCCACTTGTATCTCTTGGTTTGTAATCCCTTCAAAAATATGGAACGCTTCACGAATTTGCGTGTCATCCTTGCACAAGGGCCATGCTAATCTTCTCTGTATCGTTCCAATTTTAGTACATGTGCTGCCAAAGCGAGCACTTTTTTTTTTAGACAGAGTCTCGCTCTGTAGCCCAGGCTGGTGAGCCGTGGTACCATCTCAGCTCACTGCAAACTCTGCCTCCTGGGTTCAAGTGATTCTCCTGCCTCAGCCTCCCCAGTAGCTGGGATTACAGGCGCACGCCACCACGCCTGGATAATTTTTGTATTTTTAGTAGAGACAGGGTTTCGCCATGTTGGCCAGGCTGGTCTCAAAACTCCTGACCTCAAGTGATCCACCTGCCTCGGCCTCCCAAAGTGCTGTGATTACGGGCGTGAGCCACCGTGCCCGGCCCCATTCTTAGCAATCTCAGCCCAACCCCACCCACAACCACCAGGTCCCTGTTCTTGCCCTGCACTGAGCCCTAGCAAACAGCCCAGGACAGATGCTTCTAAACTCCCTTCCCGATCCCTAGGGGCACAGGGTTAAGAGGCCCAGGCCCCAGCTGGCTGCCACTGGGAGAAGGAAGGGGCAAGGACCTCCCTGCTGCCCTCCTGGGCTTGTCTGGCACTGGGAAACAAAGGAATAACTCCCCAATTAGAGCACAGTCAGGTGTAGGCAAGAGGAAAACGGCTTCCCTCCACACCTCTAGGTTCTTTGGCTGGACTATGAACTAAATTGACAAGACAGATCAACAGGTGAGAAACCATTTCTAATTAGATGCATACTATGATGGTTAATACTGAGTGTCAATTTGATTGGATTGAAGGATACGAAGTATTGATCCTGGGTGAGTCTGTGAGGGTGCTGCCAAAGGAGATTAACATTTGAGTCTGGGCTGGGAAAGGGAGACCCACCCTTAACCTGGGTGGGTGCCATCTAATCAGCTGCTAGTGGGGCTAGAAGATAAAGCAGGCAGAAAAATATGAAAAGACAAGACTGGCCTCACCTCCCAGCCTACAACTTTCTCCCATGCTAGATGCTTCCTGCCCTCAAACATCAAATTCCAAGTTCTTCAGTTGTGGGACTCGGACTGGCTCTCCTTGCTCCTCAGCTTGCAGGCAGCCTATTGTGGGACCTTGTGATCATGTAAGTCAATACTTAATAAACTCCCCTTTATATACATATATCCTATTAGTTCTGTCCCTCTAGAGAACCCTAATACACATACACAAGGGAGTACCAAAAAACATGTAGCTCGAAGGGTCAGATGACTGAAGCTTATATAGCATCCTGAGCTACAGAAAGAAACAGGGGATGGGAGTTCTCAGGGGTTATGAGGGTGAGGGGAGGATGTGTATGGTGAATAAAGGCCGTCTTGTTACACAGATGAAGTCTCCGGTGATCAAAGTTGTCTGGGCCAGGCTTGGCTTACGCCTGTAACCCCAGCACTTTGGGAGGCCGAGATGGGCAAATCACGAAGTCCAGAGATTGAGACCATCCTGGCCAACATGGTGAAACCCCGTCTCTACTAAAAATACAAAAAATTAGCTGGGTGTGGTGGCACGTGCCTATAGTCCCTACTCGGGAGGCCAAGGCAGGAGAATCACGTGAAACTGGGAGGTGGAGGTTGCAGTGAGCTGAGATCGCACCACTGCACTCCAGCCTGGCAACAGAGCATGACTCTGTCTCAAAAAAAAAAAGAAAAAAAAAAAAGGTTGTCTGGAGCAGCCCTCTTCCTGATATAAGATACTCTTACCAATGTAAGCGTAATATAATTTCCATTATGCATGTAAATTACAAAATAGCAACCTAAAAGGAAGAAGCTGAAACAAAATTAACATAAGCAGAGAGCTTATTTGGGCCAAGTTTGATGATTATAACCTGGGAGCATAGAATCCAGTTATCCTGAATATACACTCTGGTTAGCAGCAGTTGTAACTGGATTTTTTTTTTTTTAAGACGGACTCTGGCTCCGTCGCCCAGGCTGGAGTGCAGTGGCACCATCTCGACTCATTGCAACCTCCACCTCCTGGGTTTAAGCGATTCTCCTGCTTCAGCCTCCCGAGTAGTTTGGATTACAGGCCCCCTCCACCACGCCCGGCTAATTTTTGTATTTTTATTTTTTAATTTATTTTTGAGACAGAGTCTCACTCTGTCACCCAGGCTGGAGTGCAGTGGGGGCGATCTCAGCTCACTGCAAGCTCTGCCTCCCAGGTTCACGCCATTCTCCTGCCATAGCCTCCCGAGTAGCTGGGACTACAGGCGCCCCGCCCGGCTAATTTTTTTGTATTTTTTAATGGAGACGGAGTTTCACCGTGTTAGCCAGGATGGTCTCGATCTCCTGACCTCGTGATCCGCCCACCTCGGCCTCCCAAAGTGCTGGGATTACAGGGGTGAGCCACCGTGCCTGACCTATAAGTGGATTTTTAAAGGCAAAAAAGTAGGATAGGGAGCCAGGAGGATCGCTTGAAACCAGGAGTTCAAGACCAGACTAAGCAATAAAGTAAAACCCTTGTCTCTACAAAAAAATAATGGTGTGACATGTGAGTGTCTGTAGTCCCAGCTACTTGGGAGGCTGAGGTGGGAGGATTGCTTGAGCCTGGGAGATAGAGGCTGCTGTGAGCCATGATCATGCCACCGCAAGAGTGACAGAGTGAGACCCTGTCTCAAATAATAATAATAAAGTAACAACTTAAAAGGGGGGACAGGGAGTGAGCCAATACAATTGTCAGAGGTGTTTGAACCAGAGAGACTCCATCTCGAGTAGGGGCTGGGTAAAATAAAGCTGAGACCTGCCAGGCTGCACTCTCAATAGGTTAGGCTTTTTTTTTTTTTTTTTTTTTTTTGAGACAGAGTCTTGCTCTATAGCCCAGGCTGGAGAGCAGTGCCACGATCTTGGCTCATTGCAACCTCTGCCTCCCGGGTTCAAGCGATTCCCCTCCCTCAGCCTCCTGAGTAGCTGGGATTACAGGCACATGCCATCATGGCTGGCTAGTTTTTTTCGTATTTTTAATAGACACAAGGTTTCACCATGTTGGCCAGACTGGTCTCGAACTCCTGACCTCAGGCAATCCACCCACCTCGCCCTCCCGAAGTGCTGGGATTACAAGCGTGAGCCACTGTGCCCAGCCCAAATTTGTTTTATTATTATTATTTTTGAGACAGTCTCGCTCTTCACCCAGGCTGGAGTACAGTGGCGCCATCTCAGCTCACTGCAACCTCTGCCTCCCAGGTTCAAGCAATTCTCCTGCCTCAGTCTCCTGAGTAGCTGGGATGACAGGCATGCGCCACCACGCCCGGCTAATTTTTGTATTTTTAGTAGAGACGGGATTTCACCATGTTGGTCAGGCTGGTCTCAAACTCCTGGCCTCAAGCAATCCACCTGCCTTGGCCTCCAAAGTGCTGGTATTCCAGGCGTGAGCTACCACGCCCAGCCTAAATTGACTGATTATGGAGTCTCACTCTGTCACCCAGGCTGGAGTGCAGTGGCACAATCTTGGCTCACTGCAACCTCTGCCTCCCAGGTTCAAGCGATTCTCCTGCCTCAGCCTCCCGAGTAGCTGGGATTACAGGCGCATGGCATCACGCATGGCTAATTTTGGTATTTTTAGTAGAGATGGGGTTTCACCATGTTGATCAGGTTGGTCTCGAACTTCTGATCTCGTGATCTGCCTGCCTTGGCCTCCCAAAGTGCTGGGATTACAGGCATGAGGCACCGCGCCCAGCCTCCTTTCCATTCTTAAACAACTTGCTTTCGCTTTATGCTATGGACTCACCCCAAATTACTTCTTGCAGGAGGTCCAAGAACCCTCTCTTGGGGTCTGGATTGGGACTCCTTTCCTGTAACACAATGTTGTTTGTAAGGAATATTGGTTTATAGAAATGAGGCTGGTTAGTGTTACATTATAGGGTATGGGTTATAGTGTCTGGTGTGGCACTGTTAGGTTAATGTGTAGCTACTTGTGGCAATAGTAAGAAGTTTCAAGAGATGAACACATAGCTCAAAAGATTAATTACTGTCTCATGTTAATATCTCTCTGGGCCTAGTAATTAAAAAGATTTACATTCCTTAGGCTGGGAGTGGTGGCTCATGCCTGTAATCCCAGCACTTCAAGTCAGGAGTTCAAGACCAGCCTAGCCAACATGGTGAAACCCCATCTCCACTAAAAATACAAAAATTAGCCAGGTGTGGTGGCACACATCTGTAGTCCCAGCTACCCAGGAGGCTGAAGCAGGGGAATCGTTTGAACCTGGGAGGCAGAGGTTGCAGTGAGCTCAGATTGCTCCATTGCACTCCAGCCTGGGCAACAGAGCGAGACTCTGTCTCAGATACATAGATGATTGATAGATAGATAGATAGATAGATAGATAGATAGATAGATAGATAGATTAGATAGATAGAATGAATTGATTTACTTTCTTCAGATAAAAATGCTTTTTTCTCAAAAAGGACCAGGCACAGTGGCTCACACCTGTAATCATAGCACTTTGGGAGGCCAAGCTGGGCAGCTCACCTGAGGTCAGGAGTTTGAGACCAGCCTGGCCAACGTGGTGAAACCCCATCTCTACTAAAAATACAAAAATTAGCTGGGCATGGTGGCGAGCACCTATAATCCCAGCTACTCAGGAGGCTGAAGCAGGAGAATTGCTTGAACCTGGGAGGCGGAGGGTGCAGTAAGCTGAGATCAGGCCATTGCACTCTAGCCTGGACAATGAGCAAAAAACTGTCTCTCTCACACACAAAAAAATTAAGACATTAAAAAGGTTAGCTTTTCAGAGCTTCTCTTAGGTCTGCAGTTTCTCTGAGTAACCAGCTCAAAATATGCCAAAGTAGCATATTTCAGGGTGGGATATTCTGGTCTCCTACAGTCACATTTTGAAGTGGTGTGTCCTGAGCCCCAACACAGGCAAGGGGCCTGGGGATACTCTAGGAGGTGATGGGGACTTTCTGGCGCTGGGAAACTGAACTTTTTGTTTGTGCTGTGTTCCAGGGCTTTCCTCAGGCCTCTGTGATGCATTTCTCTCAGAACACCTATCACAGTGGAGGAAAGAGAGGCTGGCAGACAGGTTCCATAACGCAGCTGAGTCTGCTAGTGCCAGGCAGGGCTTGTACCTAGGTCTGTCTGTTGGATTAATACCAAGGTCTCTGCTCTTTCCCCATCCCTCCCAGCAACCAACCCTTCCCAGAATCCAGGCACAGTCCTTCAACAAAAGAGCAGTGAGACTGTATGGTGCATTTATACAATGAAATGTGACAGAATAGCGAAAATGAACAAACTCCAGCTGCAGCACGGATGGATCCCACAATGTTGAGGGGAGAGGCCAGGCATGAAAGAGCACAGGCTGCATGCTTCTATTTATACAAAGCCCAACAGCAAGCAGGTCTGAGCCACGAGGTGTGAGTCAGGTGGTGGGGACCCCAGGGGAAGAGGGAAGACAGGGGGCCAAAAAGAGGCATGATTGGCTTCTGGATGCTGGTCACCCTGTTCACTTAGTGATGAGTCCATTGTGAGTGGTGGGACTTTCACGGTTTGTGCACTTTTCTGTATGTATGTTACACTTCAATTAAAAACTTTAAAAATTTTTGACAAGACAGGCCAGATGCAGTGGCTCATACCTGTAATCCCAATGCTTTGGGAGGCCCAGGTGGGAGGATCATTTGAGATCAGGAGTTCGAGACCAGCCTGGGCAACATAGCGAGACTCCTGTCTTTACTAAAAACAAAAAATCAGCCGGGCATGGTGGTGCAAACCTGTAATCCTAGCTACTTGGGAGGCTGAGGCAGGAGCATCGCTTGAGCCCAGGAGGGTGAGGCTACAGTGAGCTATGATTGCGCCACTGCACTCCAGCCTGGATGACAGAGCGAGACCCTGTCTCAAAAAAATAAGGCCAGGCTGGGTGTGGTGGCTGATGCCTGTAATCCCAGCACTTTGGGAGGCCAAGGCAGGTGAATCACGAGGTCAAGAGTTCAAGACCAGCCTGGCCAAGATGGTGAAACCTGTCTCTACTAAAAATACAAAAAGTAGCCAGGCACAGTGGCAGGTGCCTGTAATCCCAGCTACTCAGGAGGCTGAGGCAGGAGAATTGCTTGAACCTGGGGGACAGAGGCTGCAGTGAGCCCAGATCATGCCACTGCACTCCAGCCTGGGTGACAGAGAGAGACTCTGTCTCAAAACAAATAAATTTTAAAAATAAGGCCAGGCGCAGTGGCTCATCCCTGTAATCCCAGCACTTCGGGAGGCCAAGGCGGGAAGATCACCTGAAGTCAGGAGTTTGAGACCAACCTGGCCAACATGGTGAAACCCCGTCTCTACTAGAAATAAAAAAATTAGCCAGGTGTGGTGGCATGTGCCTGTAGTCCCAGCTACCCAGGAGGCTGAGGCAGGAGAATCATTTGAACCCAGAAGGTGGAGGTTGCAGTGAGACTAGATCGCATCACTGCACTCCAGCCTGGGCGACACAGCAAGACCCTGTCTCAAAATAAATAAATAAATAAATAAATAAATAAATAAATAAATAAAATAACAATAAAAATAGACAAGAAAAAGCAGGGGAAAATAACATGCCATATGATCTTGTTTTGCTAAAATAGACAAATAGAGAAATAGATATGCATGTAAAAATCTAGAAGGACACATACAAATTGTGACCACTAGTGTTCTCTAGATAGTGGCGGGAAAGTAGGTCATTTTTGGTCTGTCTCTACTGTATTTCCAAGATTCCATATATGGCAATTCTCGTTTTCTTTTTTTGGAGATGGGGTCTCGCTCTGTCGCCCAGGCTGCAGTGCAGTAGCAAGATCTCAGCTCACTGCAACCTCTGCCCCCTGGGTTCAAGCAATTCTCCTGCCTCAGCCTCCTGAGCAGCTGGGAATATAGGCGCCTGCCACCATACCTGGCTAATTTTTTATTTTTAGTAGAGATGAGGTCTCGCTATGTTGCCCAGGCTGGTCTCGAACTCCTAATCTCAAATGATCCTCCCACCTGGGCAGAGTATATATTTTTGTATTACAAAAACATTTTTGTATATTACAATAATATACTTTTTTGTATATATTTTGTAATATATTACAAAACAATGTTTGTATCTTAGAAGAGACAGGGTTTTACCATGTTGCCCAGCCTGGTCTTGAACTCCTGAGCTCAGACATTCCACCCGCTTTGGCCTCTCAAAGTGCTGGGATTACAGGCAAGAGCCACCATGCCCAGCCTAGGGCAATTCTTACTGCTTAAAAGTAAGCAAGCCTGGGTGCAGTAGCTCACGTCTGTGATCTCAGCACTGTGGGAGGCCGAGGTGGGCAGATCACCTGAGGTCAGGAGTTCGAGACCAGCCTGGCCAACATAGTGAAACCCCATCTCTACTACAAATACAAAAACTAGCCGGGCATGGTAGCACACACCTGTAGTCCCAGTTACTCGGGAGACTGAGGCAGGAGAATCCCTTGAACCCAGGAGGCAGAGGTTGCAGTGAGCCGAGGTCGCAGTACTGCCCTCCAAGCTGGGTGACAGAGCAAGACTCCATCTCAAAATAATAAACGAGCAAGGAGAGGGGGGTTTGTTGGTCCAATGAGGGAGGTGTGCCCCATGTGGTGACAGGCTCTCTGTGACAGGAACCTTCCACAGGACAGGGACCCCCTCTATCACCCTGGACAGCTGCTGTGCTGCCTGCAAAGACGGGGAGCTCAGTTCCCCCGCCTGGGACTGCCCCCACGCTCCGATTGCTTGCTAGGGAGTCCCTCCCTACTAAGGGGTGAGACCTAAATCTCTTGAGCCCTTGGTCTCTCTGATCCCCGGGCTCAACCTGTTCCCTCCTGAGTGGGGCACTAGGAATAGATCCCAAGCCTTGGCGATGGGTAGGGGAGCTGGTCCAGGCTTCCTGTCACTGATTGTCATACCAGGTGCCCCACCCCAGAGGCGGCCCCCAGACCCACTGCTTACACATGGCCTGGACAAACACTGGGTCTCCCCACCCCAGGCCTGGCCCTCTCCCCATGAAAGGCTCTGGACCAGCAGCTGCTCTTGTCCAAATATGGAACTGCGAGGCCTGGGGAGGGAGCTGCACCCCAGTCCTGAGGGGCCAGCAGGTAAGAACCCTCAGCTGCCCCTCCTCTGCACACTTTCTAGAGCTTGCCACCTCCCAAAGCATCTGATCTGGAGCTGGTAAGAACCTGAGCTTTGGGTATCCAGTTTCCCTACCTGGCCTGGTCTCTCCTCCTGGCACATCAGGTGGGTGCCAGGCACTGAGCCCTGGGGCTGGCCAGGAGGGCTGCATGGTGAGGATGCAAAGAAGCCAGCCCTGTGCTTTCAGAGGGCAGCTGGGGCCTCTTCATCTGCCTGTGGGTGGGGAATGACTCTTGGGGTGACGGCAGCAGCAGGAGACTCTAGTGAAGCTGCAGGAAGGGCCCAGTGCCCAGAGGTGGAGGGTGAACAAGGGCCTCGGGGAAGGAGATACAGGCCTAACACTGGGGTGCTGGGTACCTCGAGAATGCACCTTTCCCTCCGTGGGCCTTAGCTTCCCCATCTGCAAAATGGGGGCGCTAATGCAAACTCCAGGAGAAGATGGAGGGAGAGACGGCATCACTGGAAGAGCTAGTTTGGGAAACCTAACCAGGCAACGGTCAAGGGAGGGGGCGGGACAGAGACAAGGATCTTAGAGGAGTGTTTGCTCTTCCTGGGATACAGCTGTTGCCAGGCATCCAGGGGACAGGCCCAGACACAGCTGTCGGGGGCGGGGTTGGGGGTGGAGGGGTTGCTCTCTAGGCAGGCACAGCTGTACTGGCTGGGGCACCCCAGGGTTCCAGCAGCGGGAGGGAAGGGTGCAAGCTGAGGGCTGGGCGGGCCTGCCGAGAGCCTGTGGTGGTTAACCCCTTCCGGAACGCAGTCCACAGCCAGCAGCCCTGTGTGGTAAGGGCGAGATCACCGCATTTGCACCCATGTGGGACGGTGGCTCCAGCTTGGTGAAGACTGGCTTCTCAGGCCACGTTTCCCTCCATCATGGGCTGGCCCCCAGACTCACCCCTACCAGGCTGGAACCACATCCAGGCCCCTCTGCCTTCTGAGCCCCTAGCCTGCGCTCATAGCTCCAATACCCATGGGCCTCTCTTGTTTCTGGACCCCTGATCAGCTTAGGGCAGGTCCCCACTCCTTTTCATGTTCCTGGACACCAATCTCACTGCCAGGACCCTCAGAGGGCTCTAGCCTGAGTGCCCCATCCCTGGACCCCTCCAGCCACATACCCCACCTTTCCCCATCCCATATATCCAACATTCAGGAGAGGGGCCGCCACAGGAGCGGTCCCCCCACAGCTCCCACATGTGACACCCGTGTGGCCCACCTGCCAGGCATCGAGCTAGGCACGGGGGCAGTTCCACATCATGACCAACTTCAAGGGCATGTGCTGCCCCACGCCATCCACAGTGCCTGCACTTGGCGGCTTGAGACCTCACTACGATCCTCAGTGGACGTGGCTGCCTAGTCCTTTGTCACCACTGAGGGGCTCAGGGCCAGGGAGCCGGACAGGAGCCACTAGTGTCCAGGCCACCCGTCAGCCTCACCTGCTGCAACAGAGCCATCCTGTATCAGAGCATGACCCCAGAGAGGTGCAGGGCCTGGCTTTCAACAGCCAAATCAGCCACAGCTGGCTCTCACCCTGCTCCCGATCTCCCAGCTGTGGCCTACCAAGCCCTGCTCTGAGTCAAACAGCCTCCACCCCTTAGGGGGCTCCCAGCCTGGTCCCATTTCTCAGGGCCTCCTCCCTCCAGCACTGGGGTGGCCTGCACTAAGCACCAGCGCCACATGATGTGACCTCAGCCCCAGCCCTGCCAGTCCGTAGGGACTATTAAATGTTCACCTTAATAGAATTAACACTCCACAGCAGGGCCAGGCTTGGGAGCTCACGCCTGTAATCCCAGCACTTTGGGAGGCCGAGGTGGGTGGATCACCTGAGCTCAGGAGTTTGAGACCAGCCTGGCTAACATGGTGAAACCTTCTCTCTACTAAAAATACAAAAATTAGCTGGGTGTGATGGCGTATGCCTGCAGTCTCAGCTACTCAGGAGGCTGAAGTGGGAGGATCACCTGAGCCCAGGAGGTTGAGGCTGCAGTGAGCTGATTGTGCCACTGCACTCCAGCCTGGTGACAGAGATCTTGTCTCAAAAAAACAAACAAACAAAGAAAACAACCCACAGCAGACTCCTAAAGCCCCAATACAGGTTCTAAGGTTCTCTTTGCTCACTTCAGCATAGTAGGAATCCAGGAACGTAGATGGAATCACAGAAACCGACATCCTGTCCAGGGCAGCACTGCATAATACCCTGGCATTGCAGGCCAGAAGCAGGAGACACCACCCTTGTCCCCAGCACCAGGAGTAGCAAGGTGGGGCAGGAGAGGCCTCTGGGGCCCATAGCTCCTGCTCAGGAAGAAGCTGGGCCTCTCACAGTCGCCGTGGGGCAAGGCAGCATAGGGAGGGAAGGGACCTAGTCAGGTACACAGCTGTGGGTGTCCTTGGCTTGCTCCTGTCTTTTCTTTCCCAAGCTGCAGGTTACCTAACTGTGAAACGGGGATAACACCTCCTACGCTGTGTTCAAATCTTGGCTCTGCCATTTACTACTGGGCCCATGAGCAAGTTACTTTTCACTCTCCATTTAT
Source organism: Homo sapiens (assembly GCF_000001405.40). Classification (NCBI taxonomy): domain Eukaryota; kingdom Metazoa; phylum Chordata; class Mammalia; order Primates; family Hominidae; genus Homo; species Homo sapiens. Next base: position 63,959,943 of record NC_000011.10, on the reverse strand, counting down.
CTTTTTGAGAGAGTCTTGCTTTGTCGCCCAGGCTGGAGTGCGGTGGGGCAATCTCGGCTCACTGCAGCCTCTGCTTTCCAAGTAGCTGCGATTACAAGCACACATCACCATACTAAGCTAATTTTTTTTTCTTTTTTTGAGATGGAGTCTCGCTTCTTCGCCCAGGCTGGAGTATCTGGCACAATCTTGGCTCACTGCAACCTCCGCCTCCCGGGTTCAAGCGATTCTCCACCACGTGCCACCACGCCTGGCTAATTTTTGTATTTTTAGTAGAGACGGGTTCACCATGTTGGCCAGGATGGTCTCGATCGCTTCACCTCGTGATCTGCCTGCCTCAGCCTCCCAAAGGGCTGGGATAACAGGTGTGAGCCACTGTGTCCAACCTAATTTTTTGAGACGGAGTCTCACTGTCACCAGGCTGGAGCACAATGGCGTGATCTCGGCTCACTGCAACCTCCGCCTCCCAGGTTCAAGCGATTCTCCTGTCTCAGCCTCCCAAGTAGCTGGGAACACAGGCATGCGCCACCAAGCCCAGCTAATTTTTATGTTTTTAGTAAAGACGGGATTTCACCCTGTTGGCCAGGATGGTCTCGATCTCCTGACCTCGTGATCCACCCGCCTCGGCCTCCCAAAGTGCTGGGATTACAGGAGTGAGCCACCGCGCCCAGCCTAATTTTTTTATTTTTAGTAGAGACAGGGCTTCACCATGTTGCCCAGGTTGGTCTCGAACTTCTGGCCTCAAGTGATCTGCCTGCCTAGGCCTCCCAAAGTGCTGAGATTACAGGCGTAAGACACAATGACTGCAATTTTTTTTTTTTTTTTTAAGAACAGGGTCTTGTTTGCTCTGTCACTCAGGCTGGAGTGCAGTGGCACAATCATAGCTCACTGCAGCCTCAGACTCCTAGGCTCAGGCAATCCTCCCGCCTCAGACTCTCAAGTAGCTGGGATTATAGGTGCCTGCCACCAGGCCCAACTAATCAAAAAATATATTTTTTTAGAGACAGGGTCTCACTATGTTGCCCAGCCTGGTCTCAAACTCCTGGCCTAAAGCAATCCTCCCACCTCAGCTTCCCAAAGTGCTGGGGCTCTAGGCGTGAGCCATGGCGCTGGCAATTTATCCTTAGATTGGGAGTAACACCACCACATTAGTTCACCAGGCTCCACAGCAACACATCCCCTCTCCCCAGACCCCGTCTGTCCTCAGGGGTATAGAACAACCTCTGCTGCACTTGGGGAGGGAGTATTCTAGCCAAAACTAGAAAAGCCTGCCCCCTAGTTTGAACTACCTTCAAAGCTGGCGGCAGAAACCATCTGGTGAGTGGCGTCCCTCCCGCTGGGGACATAGTCCCTTTCAGTCCAGCCCAGGCTCTGGACTGTCTACTGCTCAGCGGTGGTGCCTCTTGCTCCGCCTGCCCACTGAAGCTGTGGCAGCAGCATGGGGCAGACCCAGAAGTCACACCACACCTCACTGAAGCAGCCACTGTGGAGGGCCCAGGCCATTGTGAAGGTGGAGAAGGAGGAGGAATGGGTGCAGACCTCAACTCTCCCTGCACTCAGCCGGCAGGGATGAAGGAATGGCCCCAAGCTCTCCAACTGTGGCCATTCACCCTTCAGCAAGGGGATGGCCATTCCAGGAAGTTTCTGCCTGGGATGAAAACACAGCCTTCAAGGAACAAATAACTTGAGGGGCAGAATTCTGTCACATGGGAAACTGGCCATGTGATTCGCCAGGCAAATTGCTCTCCCTTCCCAAGGGCTGTGCTGCCTTTCTTTGGGCCTCAAAGATAAGACAGCTGCACAAACCACCTGCGGGTGTGCCCCTGCCCACAGGGGAGAGGCCACAACATGCCACAGCTGGGACCCACGGAACAGGTATAACCCTGGCTCCTCTTTCCCCAGATGCTTGCTCTGCCAGGGCACGAACACTCCATGTGGATCAGGGTCTCCTGCTCCCCGTTCCAGCAGATGCAGACCACCAAGCAGAGTACAATGGGGCAGCCCCTCCACTGTCCACAGAAAGTACTGAGCTCCAGCTCCCCCGGGCCAGGGCTGGCAGGAGCCCTGCTTGGGGAACAACCTGCACAGCTCCATCTGTCACACTAGGGGGTCACAGCCTCCACCAGCTCATAACTCTCCTGCCCCAGCAGCCCTGACATGAGCTCCCCTTCCTTGGAGCCTTGTCTTCTGTGAATGGATGGAAGAGGGCAGGAATCTTAAGAGACAAAGAATATTTTGAGTAACCCAATGAAGTCAAAGAGGAAAGAAGCACTCTCGTCTATTCACCTCCCACACATGGGCACTGGAATTTACGTTTGGACACAGATTTCAAATGTCACAAGGCCTGGCTTGGGACTTTCTCTCCAAGATGCAAAGCAGGCGCCCTTCAGAACACCTTTGGCCTCTACTCAGAACTCCTGGGAAGTGGCACAAACACATACATTTGGTCTCTGTTCCCAGCTCTGGCTGCTTGCCCCGGACAGCCTGAGTTTTTTCTCCAGCATGGGGCTATCATAGCTATGCACCTCCTGATGTTCGGGCCCAATGTTGGGACAGGCTCAGGGTCCAGAGCTTCCCAGATCCACGCTGCCCATGGTGCCCCAGCATCAGGAAGCCATCTCAGCAGCTGACCAAAGTGTCTTTTATTTGTGACATACAAATACAACCAATGCAAGAAGAGATCACTTTTTCCCTTTGATTCCAGTGATAACAAGCTGCTAAAGAAAAAAAAAAATATATATATATATATATATATCAAGGAGTTTATCTTCCAAATTTCCTCTTAAAAAAAAATTAAAAAGAACCATTCACATGTCCTATACATACTTGACACCAACAAAAATAACCTGAAATAGGGTGGATATAACTAAAATTTTAAAAATCTTAAAAAAATCTTAACATGCTCCAAACAAACAAACAAAACACAAAAAGCCTGGTAAAAAAGGCCTGCTATGTTTCTCTTTTTTTTTTTTTTGAGATGGAGTCTCACTCTGTCGCCTAGGCTGGAGTGCAATGGCGTGATCTCAGCTCACCACAACCTCCACCTCCTGGGTTCAAGCGAGTCTCCTGCCTCAGCCTCCCGAGTAGCTGGGATTACAGGCCACAACCACGCCTGGCTGATTTTTGTATTTTTTAGTAGAGATGGGCTTTTGCCATGTTGACCAGGCTGGTCTTGAACTCCTGACCTCAGGTGACCCGCCTGCCTCAGCCTCCCAAAGTGCTGGGATTACAGGTGTAAGCCACCGCACTCAGCCATGCCTGCTGTTTCTCAAAACCAAGACCTGGGGGAAGTGGAGAAAGATGGATGTTTTGGAAATGAATGGGCTCAAGACCAACAAGAGTGATTGCAGGTCTCAGATAGTGCCTCTCCCACCCTAGTCCCGACCTCCTGAGGAACCCTTCAGGACATGGCCTGCAGAGACTAGGGTGAGCAGGGTATGGCACCAAGCACCCATTGACCAGTTGGTGCCACGTATCCAGTGACTGGAAAGAGACAACGTAGACTGAACTCACCTTACAAGGGATGAACACGGGGGGGTCCCTTTTGGTCCCCTTGAGTGAGAGGTATCAGGAATCCATGATCTAAGACAATAAATATTTAGCATCTGTGTCCTTTCAGAGACAGGGACCAGAGACAAATCTCTTCCTAAACATGCTCCTGTGGTTTCATGATTCTTAGGAGTCCACCAAACCCCTCCAGCAATGTCAACTCTGCCTGGGATGAAACCCACCAGGAGCCAGCAGGGTGAGGCAGAGGCAGAGGCAGACTTATTCCAGTGTAAAGCTGCAAGGCCCTCTCTAAGGAGTTCCCAGTCCCACTGCTGCCCATCAAGAGCAGCGCAAAGTGCTCAGCAGAGGGGCCAGGCTGGGTGAGGGAGGCCCTGTGTACACAGGCTCCTGCACAAGCAGGAATCCAGGTGAGAAGCAAGGACCACTCTGGGGAGATCTGCCAGGAGAGACTGCCAGAGTTGGGCAGAGGGTGGGATGTGAGCAGATGCTGAGGTCAGAGGGACCAACAGACCTCCACGAGAACAACTTCACGAAGGCTAGAACCTTTATGATACTCCCCACAGCAGAGCTCAGGGATATCCAAAGGGAGCTGTTAGGTGCTTTTTCCTTGATAAGGATTTGGCTTTTCTTCCCTGGAAGAGGAACAAGGCCTAGAGATCAGGATGAGCATTAGTTCTGAGCCTGCCTTTCTATCCTATGAGAGAAGAGGAAGGCTTTCTCCTTCCCCTGCTCCAGCCTGTTGCCACAGGGTGACACCAGAGAGAAAAGCAACTGTTGGCCACTGAGAGGCATTTCTGCTGCAGCCTGAGCTATGGCCCGGCTGGGCCACGGCAGTGGCACTAGTGCCTCACTGAGGCAGCGAGGGGCAAGCCTGAGGAGTGCAGGCAGAGGGGCCTGCTGCTGGCTGGGGGCTCTCTGAAGAGGGAGGGTGGCTGTGGGGAGGTGTGCCCTACCCTTAGAGAGCTATCAGCACCAAGATAGGAAAATCAATGGAGTTAACTACATGAGGAACGAGAAGTCCTTCTGGGGAAGATGAGGGGCTCCCTGATGTTATTCTCCCCTTGAGACTAAGAACAGAGGTATTTGGGGTAGAGGTGAGAGGCAGAGGAGAAAGAACGACGAGGGCTGGCAGACAAGAACAAGCAGAACCTCTGGCTTTCTTCTATGAATCAAAAGCTCAAGTCACTGCCATGAGACCAGGAGGTTAAGCTTAGAATGCAGCAACATCCAGGAGCCTAGAGAAGCAATCATCCCCATGGCGGGTCCCAAGAACACCTCATTGTTGGTCCTTTCAGGCTCTCTGACAGCGATGGAGAGGCAGTCTTCCTCCCAGAGTCAGCTGGTCCCAACATGAGCCCACTCCATGAATCCATAAAAACAGCTGGAAAGAGCTTTCTTCATTTCCCTGCATCTTGGCACAAAAGATCTTCCCAGTCTCCGTTAACAGCAATTCCAACTGCGCAAGCGTGAGTCTCTCTGAAGCCGCCCTCTACACCCAGATCTTACACCCAGTGTGTTCCTCTTTGGGGACCAGCAAACCCCAGACCCAGGACTCCAGAACTTTCATAAAGGTGGACATAAACATTCCATTTGTCCAAGTGTGTATGTGTCAGGGGAGGGGAGGTTGCCAGGAATCTAGGGGCTGCAGAGGTGCGAGAACCTCCACTGCAGGCCCCAGGAGCCAAATGAGGAGGCAGCCACTGTGGAGGATGAGCTTCACTGCCCGGCCCCACCTACTCTTCCCTCTCCCTTTCATTCCCTTCTAGCACTCTGGTCTCCTAGGAGAGGAGGAGCAGCTGATACCACTTCTCCCCAGGGTTCTGTGCTCTCAGGGCGCAGCCTGGCACGTGCAGGGCTGGGGAGGCCACAGCTCTGAGGACACCCGGTGAACAGTGAGACCAGGAAAGAGGAAAGGCCTTAGGAGAGAGCATTGTGACTTGAAAGTGGCTCTGAGAGTTCAGTGGCAGCAGCCACCACAGTGCCCACCCGCGTGGGAGTGATGGCTGTCCCCAAACTTGGTCCTCCGGCTCAGGATCTCATAGGAGCAATCCTCCCCACAGCAACCGGACATGCTGGGGGAAGAGTCATCAATTTCAAATCTGCAAGGCAGGCAGGAGAAAAGGGTTGGTGGCAGGCAGCTGAGTGCCTTCCTCCCTGGCCCGAGAACTCTTCTACCAGCCACACTGATGAGACCCTTAGGATGAGGGTGCAGGAGGTGGACAGTGGACCAAATCAGAGAGCACTGCCATACCATCTCCCTGAACCTGAACCCCCATGGACCACTGGACCATGAGCTCAGGCATCAGAATGAGTGAGGGCCAGGACCAGAAAAATGGCCCTGGGCAGGCCCACCTACCACCCAGAAGGGCCCACACCCAGCTCCTTACTGCAACGCTTCTCTGAAGAACTGGTAGGCACCATGATTGTGTTTAAATACTGTTAACATAACCTTCTTCATCTGTGTGCTGGAAGAAAGCAGAGCAAACGCCTTTTAGAAAGAGAAACATGGCCAGGCATGGTGGCATGCACCTGTAATCCCAGCACTTTGAGGGGCAAAGGTGGGAGGATCATTTGAGCCCAGGAGTTAGAGACCAGCCTGGAAAACATAGTGGGACCCCATTTCTACAAAACATTTAAAAATTTAAAAAAATCAGCCCAGTATAGTGGCATGTGCCTTTAGTCCCAGCTACTCCAGAGGCTGAGGCTAGAGGATCACTTGAGCCTGGGAGGTAGAGGCTGCAGTGAGATACGATCACACCACTGCACTCCAGCCTGGGTGACAGGGTGAGACCCTGTCTCAAAAAAGAAAAGACACAGAGACTAAGGTCATGCTTCCTTTCCTTTCTGCCTTTGTCTGTTACCTCCCTTTCACCCACACGAGTGTTCCTGAATTTGGCCTCTAGCCTCTGGAGGTCTTGGACCCCCACACAGCACTCACTGCTTCCCCCATCACAGGCTGATCAGACTGCACAGGCATCGGCCCTGACCAGACTGGCTTCTTCCAGAGCAAGGATGTTTCCCACTTCCTCTCTGTAGCACCATTACTTCGGTACAGAAGGTGGCAGAGATTAGAAACTCAAAAGATGCTCACTGGCCAGGTGTGGTGGCTCATGCCTGTAATCCCAGCACTTTGGGAGGCTGAGGTAGGTAGATCACCTGAGGTCAGGAGTTCGAGACCAGCCTTAACATGGAGAAACCCCGTCTCTACTAAAAATACAAAAATTAGCCAGGCATGGCAGTGCGCGCCTGTAATCCCAGCCACTTGGGAGGCTGAGCAGAAGAATTGCTTAAACCCGGTACGTGGAGGCTGCAGTGAGCCAAGATGGCACCATTGCACTCCAGCCCGGGCAACAAGAGTGAAACTCTGTCTCAAAAAAAAAAAAAAAAAAAAGATGTTCACTGCACTGAGCTAAACAAACAAAATCTGGAGTCATAATAAGGCAGGGAGCATCTTACTGAGAGGGTTCTAAGACACCTTTCTCCCAAAACATGCCTATGAGCCTCCTCCTCCAACAAGGCTCAAAGAATGGCAAGTGCCTCAGTGACAGCTCCTTCCAACTGAGTGCTATATGGGCCTCCTAAGAAGGGAGGCCTTACCTGTTGGCCATGAGCTGCAGGATCTGTATGAGGAACTTCCCCAGGCCTTTCCGCCGCACCTTGCTTTCCAACTGCACTTCATAGCTAGGTGAAGAAAGCAGAGAGGTGAGCGTGCAGGATGGGACATGAAGAGGCTGTAAGGTCTGGCAGAGGAGCTTGCAGTCCTTGGCAGCTCATAGACCTAGGTAGGTCCAGGGGCTTTGTCACCTGGCTGGAGTGCCTGGAACATCGCCAGGGTCTCTCTCCCCTACCTCCCCCAAGCCATGGCTCCTACCAGTACAGGACTTCATCCCCACACTCCACGTCAAACCGGAAGTGAGAAAAGGCAACAGGGACGGAGCTGTTTTCCCACGCGATGAGGTACCAGGCTCGGTCATCTGTCATTTCCTCCCGTTTCTCTCGGTCCTTCCAGCCCCACTCGCTCTGCTCATACCTGGGGAATTTGGGAGCAGTCAGACGGGAAAGCTGCGAGAGGAACTAGGCTCCCCTGGTTGGGACAAGCTTACATGGTTTGCATATTCGTTTTGGTCAGGTCGAAGGCCCAATCCACGGTGGCTGGCTCCAGTCCAGACACTCGCTTACATTCAATGGAGACATTCAACCTGAGAAGAGGACAGGACGTGTACGGAATTGGTTACAGCACTCCTGCCAGGGCACTGCTGTTCCTCCCTCAGAATCACAGGGAGGAAGGCCCAGTCTCAGTTACTGCACAGAGAAAAGCCAACCCTGTATCTGCCCCAGCATGACTAGAGAAGGTGCAGGAACAAAGTCTTTCAGGCTGAGATTAACAACTGTGGCCACACGGCCCACCCCCCAACCACAAGGCCCGTTTCCTGCCTCCCCAAGCTGTCCTAATCCGCCTCGGCACTTTGTAAACTTCTTGTCCCTCTCTGCTCTCTCTTTATTCTTTTTCTACCTTTTCTGTCTCTTCTGTACTTTGTTATAAACACTCATGTCTTCTGTTATTTAGTTCCTGCCCTTAGGCATTTTTCCTGTTGCTGTAATTTCTGAGCTGACTCCTCACTAGGCTCCCATGGGACCCCATTCCTCTTATCTACCAATTGCGCCTTCAAAACCACTGGGTGACCCTAGGTCCTTCGAGAAGACTACGGCTCAACACGCCCCACCCCGCCCCAGGAGTCCTGCCTGCCTCATCTGAGCAGGGGGGATACTCTCAGCTGATCAAACAGATTGAGGCAGGAATGGTGGCTCACACCTGTAATCCCAGCACTTTGGGATGCCAAGGCATATGGATCACCTGAGGTCAGGAGTTCGAGACTAGCCTGACCAACATGGTGAAATCCCGTCTGTACTAAAACTACAAAAAAATTAGCTGGGCATGGTGGTGGGTGCCTGTAATCCCAGCTACTCGGGAGGCTGAGGCAGGAGAATCGCTTGAACCTGGGAGGCGGAGGTTGCAGTGAGCCAAGATCGTGCCATTGCACTACAGCCTGGGCAGTGAGAGCGAAACTCTGTCTCCAAACAAACAAAAAAAAACCGGGTGAAGCAGGCTTCAGCCCAACACTGTTTTTCTAAACCCACAAATGCCTAAGTGTTAAGGTATCTGTTTCTAAATGAAATTTAAGTAAAAAACAGTTAAACTCCTTGACTGATCTGTGAAATCACATTCCCTAGAGAGCACTACATTCTGAAAGGACTAGAGTCAGCAAACTCTAAGCCTTTAAAGAGCTCCCGTATCAATACCTTTCAGTGACCTTTGACACAACCCCCAGAGGATGTACGCACTGGAATCCCATCACCTCTACTGACTGGCACACCACACTCAGCCTTATGAATTCAGAACTCCCTGCCCCTGAAGCATCTTCCTTTCTTTATCACCCACTTAGCCATCACAGCTGCCCAAACACAGCACTGCACCTATCTTAACTATAAAATGTCCAAAGCCCACCTGCAGGTACGAATTCTCCATTAAAGTACATGAAAGTAAGATCACAACCACAGGAACCACACAAAATTCAAGGCACCAGAGGAGCCCAGACTTGGCTGGCAATGCCTGTTTTGGAGCTATTCCACATTTCTGGAAGTCAATGGGAATACGGAATATGAAAACACTATGAGGCCGGGCACAGTGGCTCACGCCTGTAATCCCAGCACTTTGGGAGGCCGAGGCGGGCGGATCATGAGGTCAGGAGTTCGAGACTAGCCTGGCCAACATAGTGAAACCCCATCTTTAATAAAAATACAAAAAATTAGCCGGGCGTGGTGGGGGGTGCCTGTAATCCCAGCTACTCCGGCGGCTGAGGCAGGAGAATTGCTTGTACCAGGGAGGCAGAGGTTGCAGTGAGCCAAGATCATGCCATTGTACTCCAGCCTGGGCGAGACTCTGTCTCAAAAACAAAAACGAAAACACTATGAGATATCACAATATGGGATATCTAAAGTATGTCAAAAGACTTTCCAGGCCGGGCGCAGTGGCTCACGCCTACAATCTCAGCACTTCGGGAGGTTGAGGCAGGTGGATCACCTGAGGTCAGGAGTTCGGGACCAGCCTGGCCAACATGGCGAAACTCCGTCTTTACTAAAAATACAAAAATTAGCAGGGCGTGATGTCATGTACTTGCAGTCCCAGCTACTCAGGAGGTAGAGGCAGGAGAATCACTTGAACCCAGGAGGCAGAGGCTGCAGTGAGCCGAGATCGTGCCACTGCACTCCAGCCTAGGCACAGAGCGAGACTCTGTCTCAAAAAAAAAAAAAAACAAAAAAAACCTCATACCAGCTGCTACTTACTGAGCTGCATATATTCTCTTTCTTCCTTAAAAAAAACCTTCCAAGTTTGGCTGGGCACGGTGGCTCACACCTGTAATCCCAGCACTTTGGGAGGCCGAGGCGGGCGGATCACAAGGTCAGGAGATCGAGACCATCCTGGCTAACACGGTGAAACCCCATCTCTACTAAAAATACAAAAAATTAGCCGGGCGTGGTGGCGGGTGCCTGTAGTCCCAGCTACTCGGGAGGCTGAGGCAGGATAATGGCGTGAATCCGGGAGGCTGAGCTTGCAGTGAGCCGAGATGGCGCCACTGCACTCCAGCCTGGGTGACAGAGCAAGACACCATCTCAAAAAAAAAAAAAAAAAAACAGCTTGCAAGTTTGGCATCATCATCCTATTTGACAGGTAAGAAAATGAGGCTTGAGGAATATGAGTGACTTCTCCAAGTAGAGTTATTAAGAAGCCCAGCTACAATTCAATCCCCCAGAGCCCCAGTTTATCCCCAAGCCAAGATGTTACATTCTGGAAGCACAACTCATCAACAGCATCTCAGGTAAGGCAGATTATACTTCCTATTTTAGAAACCAAAACGAGAAAAAAACGTGAGGGGGCCTTCACTCCAGAGCCTATAGTTAACTGGATCAGTAATAGTAACAGCAAACAGGGTGAGGGTTGAAAATTTACCTATTGGGTACGATGATTACTATTTGGGTGATGGGTACACTAGATGCCCAACCCCACCACTACACAGCTGCACATGTACCCCGCGAATCTAAAATAAAATTTTAAAATAAAATAACAGCAAACACTTATCTAGCTTTTATTATGCTGCAGGAACTAACACTTTACATCTTATCCTCCTGACAAGTCCATGAGAAAGGTACTATTATTAGAACCATTTTTGGTTTTTGGGTTTTTGTTTTGTTTTGAGACAGGATCTTGCTGTCACCCAGGCTAGAGTGCAATGCTGCTACCATGGCTCACTGCAGCCTGCATCTCCCAGGCTCAAGCAATTCTCCCACATCAGCCTTCTCAGTAGCTGGGAATACAGGCATGTGCCACCATGCCCAGCTAATTAAAAAAATTTTTTTTTTGTAGAGACAGGGTCTTCCTATGTCGCCAGGACTGGTCTTGGACTCCTGGGCACAAACGATCCTTCCAACCTCAGCCTCCCAAAGTGCTGGGATTACAGGTATGAGCCACCACACCTGGCCCAGGCCCATTTTTAAATAGAAAATTGAGGAACAGAAAGGTTAAGTAATTTGTTCAGGGTCAGCTGGGCACAGCACTTTAGGAGGCCGAGGTGGGAGGATCACTTGAGGACAGCAGTTTGAGACCAGCCCGGGCAACATAGGCAAGACCCCTTCTCTACCAAAAAATATATACATTTTTTTGAGATGGAGTCTTGCTCTGTTGCCCAGGCTGGAGTGCAATGGCGCAATCTTGGCTCACTGCAAGCTCCGCCTCCCGGGTTCACGCCATTCTCCTGCCTCAGCCTCCCGAGTAGCTGAGACTACAGGTGCCCGCCACCATGCCTGGCTAATTTTTTATATTTTTAGTAGAGACGGGGTTTTACCGTGTTAGCCAGGATGGTCTCGATCTCCTGACCTCGTGATCCGCCCACCTCGGCCTCCCAAAGTGCTGAGATTACAGGCGTGAGCCACCACGCCCAGCAAATATTTTTCTTTTTAAAGAAGAAAAGTAATTTGTTCAGGGCCAAATAGCCAGGAATTGGCTTTTAACAATTATACTGTATACTCAGGGAAAGAGCACTAGATTGGAAATTAAAAGCCCCTCAGCTGTCAGGGGAAACTCCATAAACTCAGAAAGCTCATTTGACTCTCTGGGCCTCAGTTTCCCATGCATTAAATGTGAGTGTCAGCCTAGATAATTTTCCAAGTTTGTTTCAGCTCAATGATTCTTTGCAGAGAGAATAATCAGTCCTGAAGAGACATCAGGCCAGGCGCGGTGGCTCACACCTGTAATCCCAGCACTTTGGGTGGCTGAGGCAGGTGGGTCAGTTGAGGTCAGGAGTTCGAGACCAGCCTGGCCAACATGGTGAAACCCCATCTCTACTAAAAATACAAAAATTAGCTGGGCGCAGTGGCTCACACCTGTAATCCCAACACTTTGGGAGGCTGAGACAGGTGGATCATGAGGTCAGGAGTTCAAGACCAGCCTGGCCAAGATGGTGAAACCCTGACTCTACTAAAAATACAAAAATTAGCTGGACGTGGTGGCGGGTGCCTTTAATCCTAGCTATTTGAGAGGCTGAGACAGAGAATTACTTGAACCTGGCAGAGGTTGCAGTGAGCCGAGATCGCACCACTGCACTCCAGCCTGAACGACAGAGTGAGACTCCGTCTCAAAAAAAAAAAAAAAAACCCACAAAAATTAGTGAGGTGTGGTGGCACGCACCTATAATCCCAGGTACTTGGGAGGCTGAGGCAGGAGAATCGGCTGAACCCAGAAGGCGGAGGTTGCAGTGAGCCGAGATTGCGTCACTGCACTCCAGCCTGGGTGACTAAGCAAGACTCCATCTCAAAAAATAAAAGAAAAATTTATCTAAAGAGACATCAGTCTGAGATTAAGTGCAATCTTTGCTCATTTATGGATTCTTCTGCCACCCTACCTGGGGGATTTTATATCAATATAGGGCACGAGTCAGTTTCTGCTTTTGTTTTGTTTTGTTTTGTTTTGTTTTGAGATGGAGTTTCACTCTTGTTACCCAAGCTGGAGTGCAATGGTGCTATCTCGGCTCACTGCAACCTCTGCCCCCCGGGTTCAAGTGATTCTCCTGCCTCAGCCTCCCGAGTAGCTGGGATTACAGGCGATCGCCACCGTGCCAGCTAATTTTTTGTATTTTTAGTAGAAATGGGGTTTCACTATGTTAGCCAGGCTGGTCTCGAACTCCTGACCTCATGTGATCCACCCACCTCGGTCTCCCAAAGTGCTTGGATTACAGGCGTGAGCCACCGCACCCAGCCCTGTTTTTTCGTAAATACGAAGAACAATGAGAAAATTTGTGTCTGAGGAAGCCTACTCTGGAAAGGGAATTCCTGAAGACACTCGAGGAGACAGCAGTTGGTAATGCTCAATGTGACTCACCCGTTTCTATCATATTTCTTGAACACTGGGAAAGCCTCCAGAGGGTCTCCAAGCTGTGGAGGGAAAGAAAAGAGGAACAGCACAGACAAGTGGGGCGGAGGTGCAGATCCTATCCCAAGAGCTGTTGTCTTGGAGTGGGATGCTGTGGGGACCCACAACGGGAGACTAACTTCAGAACCAGGAGCAGCCTCCCAAAACCCACCATTTGCCTAGCTCTGAAGTCACATGTGCGAGGAAGGCTTTGGTGGAAAGGCCCAGGAGAGTTAAGTTTGGCATCACCTGACAGGGCAAGAGGAGACCTCATTAGCCTGTGGGCATACAACCTGCTCACAGCACAGCTAACCCAAAGAAGAGGCTACCTGATCTGCTGCACACTGACTTTACCTGGTTACAACTCCAAATGGAAAATCAAGCCCCTGAGCCACATCCTTATAAATGAGTGTTTACTATGAGTGGGTTAAAAGAATGACCAAAAAATGGGATACTAAATGGAGGCAGGGGCTGGGCACTGTGGCTCACGCCTGTAATCCCAGCACTTTGGGAGGCCAAGGCAGGTGAAATGCTTGGGCTCAGGAGTTCAAGACCATCCTGGGCAACAAGGCCAAACCCCGTCTCTACAAAAATTACCCGGGTGTGGTGGTGGGCACCTATAGTCCCAGCTAATTGAGAGGCTGAGGTGGGAGGATCACTTGGGCCCAGGCGGCAGAGGCTGCAAGGTTGAAGTGAGCCGAGATAGTGCCACTGCATTCCAGCCTGGATGACAGAGTGAGACCCTGTCTCACACAAAAGAAAAAAAAATTATCTAGATCCTCCTCTATTCATAAGGAAGAAGATCCACAGGGAGGCAGCCACTTCACTGGAATCCACGTTTTCCCAAACACCTGGGCCAACTGCTGGCGCCAACTTCCAACACACAGGTATGAGCTCAGTTCCCTGCACAGCAAGGAGGCAGAGGCGGTGTGGGTGGGTAGTGTCACAATTCTGCCACAGGGTGGAGACAAAATAAGTCAAATTATAAACCAAGCTGAAGTCCCAGGAGGCAGGGACTGGGAAGAAAGGGAGAATCACCCTGTTGGCAGCGTCCACTTTGGCACAAACGGCATCCATGGCTGCTCGCTCCTCCAACCGCTTCTGCTTCTTCTCCTTGGCTTTGCTTGACTTTCTCTGCAACAGGGAAAAGCAACGTTAGCTGGAATGGCTGTGGCCAATCAAGCACTGACTTTCCCTTTAAGGAATCGAAGGGCCCTGCATCCACAGGCCTGGCCCAGCAGTGAGAAATTTCCCACCTCTGCTGCCACACATTTGGAGGGGCGGAAAGACCCAAGCAGGTCATTTTGTAGTGGGGAGTCCTCAGAGGTCACCAGACTTCTCAGCTTCCCTTCAGAAAGAGCACTGGCCGTCCTGACACAGACACTGTGGGGACCCAGCGAAACAGCTGACAACGCCTACAGCAGGCCAGCCCCCAGCAGGCACTTAGTAAATATTCACTCACCCGCTCCCTCCTAAGGAGGGAACACCCAACTTTAGACACACTGAAGACCGCTTCAGGGAGGAGACAGCATCTAAGGTAGCCGTTGATGGCTGTTCCTAAGTTTATTCAAAGCCTTTTCGGTGTCTTCCAGCTTTGGGAGACAAAGATCTGGTTGGCCACAGCTCCTGTGGGAGCCGGGTCTCATTTCAAGTGGGGGCCACCGTGTTCGGACTCAAGGACACAGAGCCATTCCCAGAAGCCCTGCTCAGTTAAGGCCAACGAGTGACAGGGCACACCCAGTGACAGGGCAGAGGGCAGGGGCCCAAAGGGTTCACCTCAGGACACAGATGACACATGGCCAGCAAGACGAAGCTGCAGGCACACAGTCAGCAGCAGGGCAGCAGAGGAGCAGCAAGTGGGGATTCTCCTGGCATAGAGCAGCGAATGGCAAATTGCCCACAGCTGCTTCTAGATCAGGTCCTGTTTTGAGGCCGACGTGAGATTCTCTCAGGCCTAAGACCCACTCACCCTATTGTGAAAAGCCAGGTAACACACGGCAAGAGCCAGGCTCTGACACCTGGCAGGCCTCATCCAAAACCTCCTTTTTTCTCTTCTTTTTTTTTTTTTTTTGAGATGGAGTCTCACTCTTTCACCCAAGCTGGAATGCAGTGGTGAGATCTCGGTTCACGGCAGCCTCTGCCTCCTGGGTTCAAGCGATTCTCCTGCCTCAGCCTCCCAAGTAGCTGGGATTACAGGAGCGCACCACCATGTCCAGCTGATTTTTGTATTTTTAGTAGTGACGGGGTTTCACCAAGTTGGCCAGGCTGGTCACTAACTCCTGACCTCAAGTAATCCGCCTGCCTCAGCCTCACAAAGTGCTGGGATTACAGGCGTGAGCCACTGCGCCAGGGCTGTCCAAAGCCTCTTCCTGCTCTCCACCCTCTGCAGTGCTAGGACGAGGCACAGCACTTCTCTGAGCCTCCCCTGGCTTGATGACTGAGGGTCCTTATGAGGGTTAATATGGTATGTGTTCAATAAAAGGCTATTCTCATTCTCTCTCCCCAGGACAACAAGAGAGCACAGGCATGCAGACTGCATGCACCACCCAGCTGGTCCCCAGAAGGCATCCCAAAGGCACTGGTAAGTTGGCTCTGCTTTTTACCAATAGAGCAGCCTCTTTTGACACCTCCCCCCCAACACCCCTCCTTTCCCTGAGCTCTCTGGAGAGGTTTGACAACTCCCAATTACATCTAGCCCTGACACGGACTGGCCCCAGGAAAGGACACTCAGAGCGATTAACCTTCTGCATGAGTTGAAAAACCAGATGCTGGGGAAGTTCTCAGAATCAGTTCTACCCACTATTTTCCAAGGAATGACACTGCTTACCTCCTACTTTAATCAACCAAGAAGAAAGGAGTTCAGATACCAGGAACTCACAGGGATTGTTCTTATAGCCACAAACTCTACCAACACCAGCTATTAATTATCTCATGGCTGAGCGCTGTGGAACACAGGCAAGATCTCATATCTTACCTCCCTAGAGGAAGGAACAAAATAGAGAATAGACTGTCTTCATAAGGCTGGACTCCTGGAACAGAACTAGCCTCCCTCTACCATGGACAGGTTTAGAGCATTCATCTTTTTCTCTGGAAATTTAGATTTCAAGACAACACAGAGATAAAGCTTGCAAAGTACCTTTACAAACATTATGTTTCTTTTTTTTTCTTTATTTTTTTTAGAGATGGGGGAGTCTCACTATGTTGCCCAGGCTAGTCTCAAACTCCTGAGCTCAAGCGATCCTCCTGTCTTGGCCTCCCAAAGTGCTGGGATTACAGGTGTGAGCCACCACACCCGGCCTAGGTTATGGTTTCAATTATCAGGGCAGAAACTATCACTTCCCTTTACACAATAGGAAACTGAGCCTTGAAGAGACAATGTGACCACTCAGTTCTGCAGTGAATAAAGGGCAGAGGGGAGACTCAATCCCAGGGATGGGCTGCAGATCATGTTTGTTCCACTGGCCACACTGTCCCCTACTGAGGCGCCTATGTCCTGCATAGTGGACTTCCACTTGGTCATCAACAAAGATTCTTGCACCCTGCCACGATAAGGCCTGGGCTTCAGAAGCCCTCAGCAACCACTCGGCAACTCCTTTCTCATTGCCTGGCTGGTTTGGTAACAGCGTGCCAACACAGTGCCGCTATACACCCTACCCTCTGCACTGAGGCAGAGGTGAGGGACAGAGAAGCGTCGGATGGAAGGTGTCCAGGGCTGCACCATGGGGCAGAAGAGCATGAGCTTTGGCGTCAATCAGATTGGGCCTATGCTCTTCCTGACACCCCCAGAATGACTTATGAAAGCAACTCCATCTCCATGAAGATGGGGGTACAAATGTTGGCCTCTTGGAGCTGTAAGGGCAGGTTAGAAGCCAGCACACCTTCAGTGCAGGTACAAGCTCCCTTACTCCACCCTACATGCTTGTTCTCTTATACAGGGCTCAGGGATCAAAGGTGCTGGAGGGCAAGGGTAACGCCCAGAACCCAGAAAGCACTGAAGCCTGGGTTCCCTCCATCTCACTTCTAAGCATGAGCAGTAATTCCCAAGAACAAGCAGCAGGAGGGCCAGCCGGGCCTCTAGTAGATTTGTGGGCTCATTCATGTAGACCTGGCAATCCTCAGAGCAAGGCCTGGAGCTGCCATGGCCTGAGACCGCAATAACTCAAGAACCCCTTACGAGCTCCGCTGCCTGCCCATGGGGCAGAAGGCAGGGTGCAGCCAGCTGGGCCAGACAGGCAGGGAGGGGCCGCACTAGGAAAAGTGGTCTCCTACTGTTCCAATTAGCTTTGCCCCTGCCTTGTGGAAGTAAGGCTGTCCTACAGGGACACAGGAAAATGCTCCTAATTAAAATGGATAATAAGCACAGTGAACAGTAAAGCTCACTGTGGTTAAGTGTCTTTTCCAAGGGAGCTTTGTACAAAAAAAGAGAGTGCGGGATTTTGAATCAAAAGACCTGGATTTGATTCTCAGCTCTTTCACTTACTAGCTGCGTGACTTCAGGCAAGTTACTTAAGCTCTTTTCAGCAAGTTGCTCAAAATTTCTCTCTCAGTTTTCTTCTCCATAAAATGGGGCTCGCAATGTCTACACCAACAGTCGCAGGAGGGGACTTCTGTTTACAAAGACCTCCCTCAGATCTTCTGCCGGTGCTTTAATAAAGGTGATCTATTTTACTTTTCACAACCCAGCATGGTAGGTGTGACTACTTCTTTGATGAGAAACCTGAGGCACAGAGAGTTAAGGAACTTGCAGGGTCACAGAGGCGGTGAGGAGAGTTCTCAAAGCGGTCTCTTCCTCCCACTCCCTCCAACTCTCCCCATGAGGTGAGGGTAGATCCGCTTTATCTGGCTATGTTCACCCAGTGCTCACCAAACAGCAGATACTCAGTTCACATCTGCTGAATGAATCATCCAAGATCCAAATCCACGTTTGAACCCTAAAGTCATGCTCCTTCCACCATGTCACAATCACATGTATATGGCATTTTTTGTTATAAAGTGTTACATAAATGTTTCCATGTGCAGTGTAAAACTCTTCCCCTTACTATTCCCATTGAAAAAGTAACTCCACACACAGTTCTACGACTGGAAGGGGTCATAAAGACAAATTAAAAAAAACACACCCAGGCTGGGCGCGGTGGCTCATGCCTATAACCCCAGCACTTTGGGAGGCGGAGGTGGGTGGATTACCTGAGGTCAGGAGTTCAAGACCAGCCTAGCCAACATGGTGAAACCCCGTCTCTACTAAAAACAGAAAAAAGTAGCCAGGCATGATGGTTAATACCTGTAATTCCAGCTACTCGGGAGGCTGAGGCAGGAGAATCACTTGAGCCTGGGAGGCAGAGATTGCAGTGAGCTGAGATTGTGCCACTGCACTCCAGCCTGGGCAAAAAGAGCACAACTCTGTCTAAAAAAAAAAGGAAAAGAAAAGAAAAGAAACATCCAGATGGGAGGAGGAGCCACTTTTCAGAAAAAGAATTTGGCATCTCTTAGATTTTCAGTATCAATGTCTCTACCCCATATACTATCCAATATCCAAAAAGAATCTGTTTTTGGTGAAGCAAGAGAAATATAAATTCTAACTCCTGAAAGATGACACAAATGTGGCAACTAGGACACGTGTGTGGCAACTGAAGAGAAAGCGCTCCATCTGAAGCCTCACTCAGCCTGAGGCCAGGCTCTGCCACAGGGTAACTACAAGGAATGATGACTTCCCCAGCACCCACAGTTGTGGAATGAGGGTGATGAGACGGTTCCAGCTGTTTCAGGGAGGAGAATTCAAGTCTCTCTTACTGTCAATTTTAGGCCAGAAGAGACTTTGTAGGGTCTCATGTGAGAAACACATCTGTAAAGTATAAGATTGAGGCCCTAAAGGAAGCAAGGATCGCAGAATCTCTGGGGCATATTTCTTTTTTCCTTCACCCTGTCTTATGGTGTTGAGGGCCTGCTATTTCAGTCCAACCAACGAGGAAGTGTTGAACTAGAACGGCATGTTACACTTCTTGTTTTCTGCTTAATCCGCAGTGGCTGCTTCTGGTTAGACAGTTACTAAGGGACACAGGTTTCATTTAGTTTCAACAATGGCTGTGTCTAGGACCTTTCACCAAAATTTAGGTTAAATATGCCTAAGGTCTCTAGACTTGGTTTTCTACATATGAAGTACGTAATACCCAAAACTATTTGTTAAAACACGATGACTGTTTTGACACGGATTAGACAACTATTTTTGTCTAATAAGTTGATTTGTTCAGTCGATAAATAGTGGAGTGACGGGAAAAAAAAAAACTAGGTTAACAACAGTAGGGACAAACCCAATGGGTTAAAAATAGCACAAATCCATTTTAGATCAGTAAAGTTAAGGCTGAGGATACAGACAAAAATAACAGCCACTACTTAGGAGACACCTCCTTAGCAATCTACATCCATTATCTCACTTAATCTTCACTACTACCCTAAGGGGGAGGTATTAGCATCCCAATTACAGAGGTGAGGAAATTCAAACACATAAAGGCCAACTCACTGGCACACTATTATACCACCAGCAGCGAAGACGGGGCTGGAAGTGAGGTACCTCGGGCTCCAAAGTCAGGGTTCCCTTAAGGTGATGGAAATTCCATGTAAATACTAATATAGGCCTGTGTGGTGGCTCACGCCTGTAATCCCAGCACTTTGGGAGGCCTAGGCGGGTGAATCACGAGGTCAGGAGTTCGAGACCAGCCTGGCCAACGTGGTGAAACCCTGTCTCTACTAAAAATACAAAAATGAGCCGGGCATAGTAGCGGGCGCCTGTAATCCCAGCTGCTGGGGAGGCTGAGGCAGGAGAACCGCTTGAACCCAGAAGAAGGAGGATGCAGTGAGCCGAGATCGCGCCATTGCACTCCAGCTTCGGCGACAAGAGCAAAACTCCATATCAAAAAAAAAAAAAAAAAAAAAAAAAAAGAATACAGCCAATACTAGGAAAAGCGTTATCTTTTTAGGAGGGTGACTGATACTGCTGTAATTGAGACTTAGTAAGGTGAACGCACAGAAACTTGCAAATAACTTCTGCCCTACCCTATATCCCGGGAAAGTAAACTAAAATGCACCTCCAGGCTGCCGGCACGGAACAAGTGGTCAATATCCATCCGCGGCTGGGCCGCCGCCCCCGCCTCCCCGCATCTTCCCCGCACACCTGCACAGCCCTCCCCTTGCAAAAAACACCTGCACTACCAAAACCCCTAACAACCCAAGCGGTCGTAAGAACCATTTCATTGCAACCAGGAGGCGTCGAAGGCAGGAGTCTATGGGAAAGGAAGGCTGTGTTTATCAGGAGCAGCAGGAACCTGGTGGAGAGGTTTCGAAAGAGTGTAGGGGAACCGGCTTCGCTGAGACTCGAGTAACGGGAAGGGCAGTGGACTGGGATTCGGGAGGCCCAAGGTGGGGTCTGACGCCCCCGACAATATGACCTTGGCTAGGCGCCTTCTTTCCTCTGGGCCTCAATTCCCTCCAAGCCAGGGTTGACCTCGGATGTGAAAAGCGACGAAGCTGGTGACAGCCAGGTGATGAGTGACCCTGGGGGAGCGGGAAGCTAACCCCAGGGTCCCCGCGGGGGACGGTGGTGGGGAGGCCAGTAACGGGTCCGCGAAGCAGGAAGGGGCGGGCGTGACGCTGGGGGCGCCGAGGGGGTGGGGCCCCGGACCAGGGGCTCTCCAGAGGATTCCCGGGCTAGGCCTAGCGTAGGGACCCTTAGAATGGGGGAGTCGGGTCATGTGGGGGTCAGGGGTCACGTGAGGCTGGAGGGGGTCGGGGTCACGTGAGAGGGGGGTTTAAGAACAAAGGGGGCGAGGGTAGCGAGGAGCGCCCCTGGACCTCCCATCTCCTCTCTCTGCCTCACTCACCCCCATAGCGGCGGCGACAACGCTCAGCTTCTTCTTCACACACTTGCCGGCAGGGAGGCGGCAACGGCGGTGGCTGCAACAGCGGCGGCAGCAGAGCGGACGGCCCTGCAACGCGCATGCGCCTCGCAGCTTCCCCCCCCCCCCCCGCCCAACCGCGCGCCCTCGTACCGCGCCGGCGCAGAACCGGCGCAGGGCAGCGGTGAGCCGGCGCGCAGGTGGAGCGCCCGCTAGGCTGGCCGAGGGTCTCCGACCAGGAGGAGGCGGGAGCGCGGAGGAGCGTCGCGCCGGGAATGACGTGCGGCCAGAGCCCGCCCCCTCGCAGGGCTGCGTCTGTAACTATGGCAACGGCGGCGCCAGGCCTGGCTGCTCACCCAGGCCGTGAGTCGCGCGCCGCTGGGGGCCGGGTGGTTGGCAGCACCTCCCCTGCGGCCAGCGACTCCTTGGCCCCGCGCGTAGCAGCCGGCGGCACAGCCACCTTCCCAGGCGGCCAATCGCGTCTCGACCTCTAAAGTACCTGCCCCTCCAGAGCCCTAGCGCGCGTAGCGGAAGTCTTTGGAAACTTTCCCACCTTCCAGATCTTGACTCTTGAAATTCCTTTTCTAACCAGAGTCCTGTTACTCATTCATTCGTCTTCTAACCATTCATTCCCCCTCATTCATTCACGTTCTCAATAAAAATTAACTCGCATCTACGCGGTGCTGAGCCCAGGGGGCACAGAGAGGAGCGAGGTGCCATCTCAGCGCCACACCTCAGGGTTTAGAGGGGAGACGGGCACGTAAGCACTGTTTAGGAGAGAGTGGACAGTGCTGTTAGCGTGAACACCAGGCATCCCGGAAAGTTTTAATTTCAACCCATCCCCAGCACACCGGAGTGACCCGCACGTGACCCGAATCCAAACCGCCGGGGGCGCTTCCGCAGTGTGCACACCTCTGCCAACCTCCCCCAGAATCTCCAGGGGTGGAGCCAGAGTCTTCACTTCCTAGTGCTCCCCAGGTAGGGAGCGAAAATTAGTGAAATGCTTCAAGACGAAAATTAGTGAAATGCTGCCCAACACTTAAGCTTCATGGACTTTTTCAGGTTTTGCTCATTATTCCATCTTTTTGTTTTTTTAAGAGACAGGGTCTCGCGGTCGCCCAGGCTGGAGTGCAGTGGTGCAATCACAGCTCACTGCAGCCTCGACCTCCTGGGCTCAAGCGATCCTCCCGCCTCAGCCTCCTGAGTAGCTGGGACTACAGGTGTGCACTACCATACGCAGCTCAATTTTTATTTATTTTTTGTTGAGATGGGGTCTCACTGTGTTACACAGACTGGTCCCAAACTCCTGGGCCCAAGCGATCCTCCCACTTTGGCCTCCCAAAGTGCTAGGATTACAGGCGTCAGCCACTGTGCTTAGCCTCATTATTCCAACTTTAGTGCTCAGTACAGTGGTGGCCTCAACAACATTTATCCAGTGCCTACTGTATGCTAGGCACTGTTCCAAGCAGCAAGGAAAACAACAATAAGAAACAGAATAGGCACCACCCTTGTATCCTAGAAGGAGGAGACCGATAATAGATGAAATAAATAGGTAATATACATAGTTAGTTAAATGATACAGGCTCGGCCGGGCGCGGTGGCTCACGCCTGTAATCCCAGCACTTTGGGAGGTAGAGGCGGGCGGATCACGAGGTCAGGAGATCGAGACCATCCTGGCTAACACAGCGAAACCCCGTCTCTACTAAAAAAATACAAAAAATTAGCCGGGCAGGGTGGCGGGCACCTGTAGTCCCAGCTACTCGGGAGGCTGAGGCAGGAGAATGGCGTGAACCCGGGAGGCGGAGCTTGCAGTGAGCCGAGATTGTGCCACTGCACTCCAGCCTGGGCGACAGAGAGAGTCTCAAAAAAAAAAAAAAATGATACAGGCTCTAGAAGGAAGAAAAAGCAGGGAGAGAGCACAGGGAAGGTCAAGATTTATAGTTGTGGCCTGGCGCAGTGCCTCACACCTGTAATCCCAACACTTTAGGAGGCTGAGATGGGCGGACTGCTTGAGCTCACGACTTTGAGACCAGCCTGGGCAACAGAGTAAGATCCTGTCTCTGCAAAAAAATTTAAAAATAAAAAAAAATTAGCCAGGCGTGGTGGCGTGTACTTGTGGTCCCAGCTACTCTGGAGGCTGAGGTTAGAGGATTGCTTGAGCCCGGGAGGTGAAGGTTGCAGTGAGCCGATAGCGCCACTGAACTCCAGCCTGGGTAACAGAGCCAGACTCGGTCTCAAAAAAAAATAAAATAAATAAAAGCTTGGCGCAGTGGCTCACACCTGTAATCCCAGCACTTTGGGAGGCCGAGGCAGGCAGATCACGAGGTCAGGAGATCGAGACCATCCTGGCTAACACCATGAAACCCCATCTCTACTAAAAATACAAAAAAATTAGCCGGGCATGGTGGCAGGCGCCTGTAGTCCCAGCTACTCGGGAGACTGAGGCAGGAGAATGGCATGAACCGGAAGGCGGAGCTTGCAGTGAGCCAGGATCGTGCCACTGCACTCCAGCCTGGGCAACAGAGCGAGACTCTGTCTCGAAAAATAAAATAAAATAAAATAAAATAAAATAAAATAAAATAAATAAAAAAGGCCGGGCACGGTGGCTCACGACTGTAATCCCAGCACTTTGGGAGGCCAAGGCGGGAGGATTACCTGAGGTCAGGAGTTCAAGACTAGCCTGACCAACATGGAGAAACCCTGTCTCTACTAAAAATACAAAATTAGCTGGGTGTGGTGGCACATGCCTGTAATCCCAGCTACTCGGGAGGCTGAAGCAGGAGAATCACTTGAAGTGGGGAGTCAAAGGTTGCAGTGAGCCAAGATTGTACCGTCGTACTCCAGCCTGGGCAACAAGAATGAAACTCCATCTCAAAAAAAAAAAAAAGAGAGAGATTTATAGTTTTAACTAGGATGCTCAGGAAAGGCAAACATGAGGTGATACTTGAGTCAAGATCTGAAGGTGAGGGAGCAAGTAATGAGGACGTCTGGGGAAAGGGCATTGCAGGCAGAGGAGGTCCTAGAACCACCCTGGCTTCTGGGTTGAGATGAGAATGTAGGGACAAGGTCAAAGGAAGGACAGTCCAGGCTGGGCAAGGTGGTGGCTCATGCCTGTAATCCCTGCACTTTGGGAGGCTGAGACAGGCAGATCACTTGAGGTCAGGAGTTTGAGACCAGCCTGGCCAACATAGTGAAACCCCATCTCCACTAAAAATACAAAAACTAGCCAGGCGTGATGGCAGGTGCCTATAATCCCAGCTACTCGAGAGGCTGAGGCAGGAGAATTGCTTGAACATGGGAGGCGAAGTTTGCAGTGAGCCGAGATCAGGCCACTGCACTCCAGTCTGGGCGACAGAGCAAGACTCTGTCTCAAAAAAAAAAAAAAAAAAAAAAAGAAGGACAGTGTCCAGAGGCCACTGCTATAATCAAGGCAACAGATGAAGCCTCCACGGTTGAGCAGCGGCAGAGGTGGGAGAAGGGCATTGAAGGTAGAGCCTACAGGACTTGCAGATTTGGTGTGGGGTGTGAGGGAAGGATCAGAGCCAAGCTACTTAGCCTGAGCTGCTAGAAAAATGGAGTGGCTTCAATTGAGATGTGGATGACTTTGAAAGGAGCTGGCTTGAGTATAGGGAAGATCAGGATTCTGTTTTGGCCACATCAGGTCTGAGTGCTTTTTAGACGTTCTGGTGGAGACGTGGGGTAGTCAGAGTTGAACTCAGGAGAGGGGTCCACGCTGGAGATAACAATTTCAGCACAGTCGGTGAATAGATAATATTTAAAGCTGTGAGACTGGCCGGGCATGGTGGCTCACGCCTGTAATCCCAACACTTAGGGAGGCTGAGGCAGACAGATCGTTTGAGGTCAGGAGTTTGAAACCAGTCTGACCAACATGGTAAAACCCCGTCTCTACTAAAGTACAAAAAAACCTTAGCTGGCCATGGTGGCAGGCACCTGTAATCTCAGCTACTCGGGAGACTGAGGCAGAAGAATCGCTTGAACCCAGGAGGCGGAGGTTGCAGTGAGCTGAGACTGCGCCACTGCACTTCAGCCTGGGTAACAGAACGAGACTCCCTCTCAATAATAATAATAATAATAAAATAAATAGAAAAGACAAAATCAAATTTGATTTTTTAAAATAAATAAATTAATAAAACTGTGAGACTGAGGCCGAGTGTGGTGGCTCACGCCTGTAATCCCAGCACTTTGGGAGGCTGAGGTAGACGGGTCCCTTGAGCTCAGGAGCTCAAGACCAGCTTGTGCAACATAGCGAGACCCTGTCTCTACCACAAAAAGAAAAAAAAAAGCTGTGAGACTGGATGAGGCCGTGGAGGGAATGCAGTTAGACTGGAATGAGTGAATCTTTGGCCTGACAGCCCTATTGTGTGGTCAGGAAATTTGTTGTGGTTGCCAGCCCTCTAGGGACCAGGAGAGGGAGCTGAGAGTGGGAGGAGGGTAGCCAGCTGGGAAGAAGGGATATCCAAGCTTATCTTTGAAGAAGGAAGAGGAGGCAAGGAAATTTCTTTTTTTTTTTTTTTTTTTGAGACAGAGTCTCGCTCTGTCGCCAGGCTGGAGTGCAGTGCAGTGGCACAATCTTGGCTCACTGCAACCTCCGTCTCCTGGGTTCAAGCAATTCTCTGCCTCAGCCTTCCCAGTAGCTGGGATTACAGGCACCCGCCACCATGCCTGGCTAATGTTTTTGTATTTTTAGTAGAGACAGGGTTTCACCATCTTGGCCAGGCTGGTATTGAACTCCTGATCTCGTGATCCACCCGCCTCAGCCTCCCAAAGTGCTGGGATTACAGGCATGAGCCACCACGCCCGGCCTAGAAATTTCTTTTCTTGTCTTGTCTTTTTTGAGACGGAGTCTCGCTCTGATGCCCAGGCTGGAGTGCAGTGGTGCAATATCGGCTCACTGCAACCTCCCCTCCCGGGTTCAGCGATTATCCTGCCTCAGCCTCCTGAGTAGCTGGGACTATAGGCATGTGCCACTGTGTCTGGCTAATTTTTGTATCTTTAGTAGAGACAGGGTTTCACCATATTGGTCAGGCTGGTCTCGAACTCCTGACCTCATGATCCACCCACCACAGCCTCCCAAAGTGTTGGGATTACAGGCGTGAGCCACCGCACCCAGCCTAGGCAAGGAAATTTCAACTGACAGAAAAGGATTTGCAGAGCCAGGGCGGTGTGAGGGAGTGGATAAGGTGAGGGATGAGACTCCACCCCCACCTCGGCACAGTCCCCACTGTGTTTTGGTTTTTCTGGTCTCCTTACCTACAGGGAACTTCATGGTCAGCTGTTTCAGTGCACAGATGACTGCCACCACCATCCCCTGTGCCCTGTCCCTTCTGCCATGCCCCACTCTTGGGTTTGCTCCCTGCTCCCCCAGCCTGCTGGAATTTGCTGGAAACCAGGCAAGGCCTGGGAGGTGAGCCCAGTAGTCCTTGGGGGAGGTGACATCATCCAGGCCACCCAAGAGGCCCGAAAAGGCCCAGTGCCCTATTTCTGCCCCAAGGCAGCATCCTTCTGTCTGAGGCCTGCCCTGATTATGGGCCATCTCTCCTGCTCAGGGCTTCCTTGTTCTTGTGGGGTGGTGGACAGAGCCTGCTCTGGAGTTGGACCAACCTGTGTTTAAATCTCCTTTCTGCTACTTGTTGGCCTTGTGACTTTAGGCAAGCTGCCTACTATCTCTGAGACTCAGTTTCCTTATTTGTAAAGTGAGACCACCAGTAGCAATCATCTTCATCTTCAGTAAAATCTTCTTCTAGGGGTGGTTGTGAGAATTAAATAAGATGGGATGGATGGCAAGGCCTGGGGCAGGAATGGAACCCCATACACCCATACAAAAGTATATCAAAGTGGCCAGACGCGGTGGCTCACACCTGTAATCCCAGCACTTTGGGAGGCTGAGGAAGGTGGATTGCCTGAGGCCAGGAGTTTGAGACCAGCCTGGGCAACATGGTGAAACCCCGTCTCTACCAAAAGTATAAAAGTTAGGCCAGGCGCAGTGGCTCATGCCCGTAATCTCAGCACTTTGGGACGCCGAGGCTGGTGGATCACAAGGGTGGATTCGAGACTAGCCTGGCCAATATGGTGAAATCCCATCTCTACTAAAAATACAAAAAGTAGCTGGGCCTGGTGGCAGGTGCCTATAGTCCCAGCTACTCAGGAGGCTGAAGCAGGAGAATCGCTTGAACCCAAAAGGCAGAGGTTGCAGTGGGCCAAGATTGAGCCACTGCACTCCAGCCTGGGCAATAGAGGGAGACTCCATCTCAAAAAAAAAAAAAAAAAAGGGTGAAACCCCGTCTCTACTAAAAATACAAAAATTAGCCCGGCCTGGTGGCGGGCGCCTGTAATCCCGGCTACTCAGGAGGCTGAGGCAGAGAATTGCTTGAACCTGGGAGACAGAGGTTGCAGTGAGCAGAGATCGCACCACCGCACTCCAGCCTGGGCAACAAAGCGAGACTCCATCTAAAAAAAAAAAAAAATTAGCCAGACGTAGTGACGCACACCTGTAGTCCCAGCTACCTGGGAGGCTGAGGCAGGAGAATCGCTTGAACCCTACAGGCGGAGGTTGCAGTGAGCCGATATTGCACCACCGCACTCCAGCCTGGGCAATAGAGCAAGACTCTATCTCAAAAAAAAAAAAAAAGTATGTGTCCCCTTCTCCCCTCCCTGGCATCGCATCCCTCCCGCCGCACCCACATTGACCAGGCTTTCTACGCTGCCTCATTTACCCTTCTCTCCAACCCCCACGCAGGGGGCTGAAGCACCCCTTCTCCACACTCGGCTCCGACCTCTCCGGCAAGGGACTCTGTCTCCCTCATCTCTCCGAGGCCCCTGGACTCCCTGGCTCCTCCCTCCTCCGCTGCCTCTTCCTCCCTATGCCTCAGACACAGCCACTCCCAATCTCCAGGCTTTGCCCTCTTCTCCCTCTATGGCCCGCAGCCGCTCCCAAGTATTCATTCACTCCTTCATTCAGCCAAGGCACGGGGGCCGCCATGTGCTCCGCTTTGCCTTCTGTGCGGAGGAACAGCTTGGGAGACAGCTCCTGCCAGAGAAGGAGAGCACGTTTGGGGAGGGCAGTCATCGCACTGTGTGATGAGTGGGCAGCTGAGAGTCCCCGGACTTCCCCAGAAGAATCTGAATTTACACTTCTCCTCCTGCCACCCAAGGCCAGGTCCACCTAGAGTGTCAAACGCTAAGGCCCCTCAGGGTCCCTCCCGGCTGTGAACCTCTTTCCCCAGGCCTCCTTCGCTTGTGCTCCTTCCTGGCTCCTGCCCGCCCTAGGGGGCCTCTCTTCCCTACTCAAAAGCTTGTGGAGGCCAGGGGTGGTGGCTTACGCCTATAATCCCAGCACTTTAGGAGGCTGAGGCAGGTGATCACTTGAGGTCAGGAGTTTGAGACCACCTGGCCAACACGGCAAAACCCCACCTCTACCAAAAATACAAAAAAAATTAGCCAGGAGTGGTGACGCACACTTGTAATCCCAGCTACTCAGGAGGCTGAGGCAGGAGAATCACTTGAACCCAGGAGGCGGAGGTTGCAGTGAGCCGAGATCTCGCCACTGCACTGCAGCCTGGGTGACAAAAACAACAACAACAAACAAACACACACACACACACAAAAAGCTTGTAGAGGCAACAGCCTACCCTGTGTCTCCTTCCTTAGCTTCTCATTCCTCTCACTCCTCAACCCCTGCAGCTTGGCTGCTGTCCCCTGCAACCTACGCCTCCCTCCTGGTGCCTCCAGCAGTTTTGCTAACTCCAACTGTGCTTCCCTGTCTCAGCCTCATCTTTCCGGCCCTTCCTGCAACATGTAGCTCTGTTATTCCCTCCCTCTTCCTTGAAACACTGTTCTTCCCTTGGCTCCTGTGACACCACACGCCCCTGTTTTTCTAAAACCCACATCTGGTTGGTCAGTTAAAGGCCTTCTGCGGCTCTAAACTCTGTATGGTTGTTCCACCCCTGCCCGCTTGGCCAGGGCCGCTGCTCCATGTGGCATCCTGTGCTCCCTGCAGTGGGTGACTGTGCCTTTCTGCTGTTAGGGTTGCCAGATTCCATAAGTGGGACAAACTGAAACTCACTGTTTATCTGAAATTTATTTTCTGTTTTATTTATTTATTTTTTAGACAGGGTCTCGCTCTGTAGCACTCTGCTGGAGTGCAGTGCAGTGGCACGATCTCGACTCACTGCAACCTCTGCCTCCTGGGTTTAAGTGATTCTCCTGCCTCAGCCTCCCAAGTAGGTAGGATTACAGCTGCGCACCACCACGCCCGACTACCATTTATCTGAAATTTAAATTTAACTGGCCAGGCACAGTGGCTCACGCCTGTAATCCCAGCACTTTGGGAGGCTGAGGCACGTGGATCACATGAGGTCAAGAGTTTAAGACCAGCCTGGCCAACATGGTGAAACCCTGTCTCTACTAAAAATACAAAAATTAGCCGGGCGTGGTGGTGGGCATCTATAATCCCAGCTACTCAGGAGGATGAGGCAGGAGAATCGCTTGAACCTGGGAGGAAAAAAAAAATAAAATAATAAAATAAAATAATTTGAGAGAGAGTCTTGTTCTGTCTCCAGGCTGGAGTGCAGTGGCACCATCCTGGCCCACTGCAACCTCCCCCTGCCAAGTTCAAGCTATTCTCCTGCCTCAGCCTCCCGAGTAGCTGGGATTACAGGCGTGCACCACCACACCTGGCTAATTTTTGTATTTTTAGTAGAGACAAGGTTTCACCATGTTGGTCAGGCTGGTCTCAAACTCCTGATCTTAAGTGATGCCCTCGCCTTGGCCTCCCAAAGTGCTGGGATTACAGGCATGAGCCACCATGCCCAGCCGTCTTGTATTTTTATGTGCTAAATTTGGCACCAGCTTGGTGCCTGGTGTAAAGCACACACTCAGTAAATGTTAGCTGAAGGAATATGGGCAGTGATGGCGGCAGGCACAGGTGCTGTAGGGCACAAAAGAAGCAAGGTCCCTAGAGGAGGTAACACCTGAGCCCTGCAGATGGAACTATTAGGTCATACACCAACAGCCCCTCCATGGAGATATCTCCCACAGTGGGTTGAATAGAATCCCCCCAGATTATATGTTCAAGTCCTAACCATCCCCCTACCCTGTATCTGTGAATGTGACCTTAATTGGAAATAGAGTCTTGCAGATGTAATTAAGTTAAAGCTCTTGGGATGAGATCATCCTGGATTTAGGGTGGGCCCTAAATCCAATGACTGGTGTCCTTAGAAGAGAAAGCAGAGGGAGATTTGAGATACAGCAGGAAGACAGCCATGTGAAGCCGGAGCCGGAGACTGGAACGAGGCAACTAGGAGTCAAGGACTGCCAAGGAGAGAGGCACGCAGTGGGTTTTCCCTCAGAGCCTAGAAAAGGAACCAGCTCTGCCAACACCTTGATTTTGAGCTTCTGGGAGAACTGGGACAAAACGAATTGCTGTTGTTTTAAGCCATCTGGTTTGTGATACTTCATTAGGGCAGCCCGGGAAAACTAACACACTCCCAAGGCTCCATGTTTCCCAAAATCTCTGTTTCTTCTTTCAGGACCTCCACCCCCAGAACCCTCTCTAGTACCAGACCTCTTATCCGGCCTGTGTAGCCAGCCACCAACATGGCCCCAGTAATCTTTTGTTGTAGTAGTTGTTATTTTTTTAAGACAGAATCTCGCCCTGTTGCCCAGGCTGGAGTGCAATGGGGCGATCTCGGCTCATTGCAACTTCCGCCTCCTGGATTCAAGTGATTCTCCTGCCTCAGCCTCTCAAGTAGCTGGGATTACAGGCATGTGCCACCATGCCCAGCTAATTTTTTTTGTATTTGTAGTAGAGACGGGGTTTCACCATGTTGGCTAGGCTGATTTCGAATGCCTGATCTGAGGTGATCCACCCACCTCAGCCTCCCAAAGTACTGGGATTACAAGCATGAGCCACCGCACCCGGCCTCTGTTTTTTTTTTTTTTTTTTTTTTGAGACAGAGTCTTGCTCTGTCGCCAGGCTGGAGTGCAGTGGTGCCATCTCGGCTCAATGCAACCTCCACCTCCTGGGTTCAGACAATTCTTCTGCCTCAGTCTCCCAAGTAGCTGGGACTACAGGCGCCCGCCACCATGCCCGGCTATTTTTTGTATTTTTAGTAGAGGCGGAGTTTCACCATGTTGGCCAGGCTGGCTTCGAACTCCTGACCTCATGATCCGCCCACCTTGGCCTCCCAAAGTGCTGGGATTACAGGTGTGAGCCACCGCGCCCGGCGCCTCTGTTCTTTATAACCCAGTCTCAGATGTTCTGTTACAGCAGCACAATGGACTAAGACAACGGCAGAACCCCGCCTTTGCTCGGGTGATGGGTAGGGGTCATGGCAGGTGTGCTGGAGTACAAGCACCATGGGTCTAATCCAAGCCTAGGAATCCTGTTCTCCTTTGAGGGATTGGTTTAAGGGACTTGGGGCTGTTCTGGGATTCCTGGGAAGGGTTGTTCTTCCTGATAGATAACAAGACAAATGCCAAGGAGAGAGTCCGTGCTCCCTGCCCCTCCTCTCCCACTCTGGAAATTGTCCTCAGAGGATGGGATGCTTGGAGCAGCTGCAGCCATCTAGTGATCATGAGGAGAAATCTGATACGTGGAAGGGACAATGCTGAGAAAGGAGAAGCACCTGAGACCTCGATGACCACTGAGCCTCTGTCAGTGGTGACACTGACCTCCTGACTCCTTAGGAAAGGTAAAATGCCTGCTTTGCCCAAGTCATCACTGAGTGGCTGTTCCTCTACTTGCAGCCACATGCATCTTAACTGAAAGGGAGGGGACACAAGATTTTGAAAATATGTCTCTGGTATCACCCAGCTTGGGACTGGCTCTCAGCTCTGCCACCATCAAGCTGTGTGATCTTAGGCAGGTGACCTGAAGCCTCAGCCTTTCGTCTGGAAAATAGGGCTGCTATGGGGGAAAAATGGGATAACCCAGGTAAGGCATTTTGCACATGGTGGTTGGTATATATATGCATTCATTTCATTTGTTTATTCCTCCACTAATTTATTTAACAATGGTATTTAAACACCTACTATATACTTGCACTAATAGGGTTTGGGAATGTAGTTGTGAAAAACTAACTAATAAGCACTTGAAATTGGCTCTTACTTCTACTATTATTACAAGACTTTGCCTTCAAGGAGCAGGTCCTGATATGTTGGTAAAATCAAGATAGGTTTGGCAGAAGTGATCTTCTTGGACCTACCAGTGTGGGTATCTGTAGTGAGAGGGGCT
Source organism: Homo sapiens (assembly GCF_000001405.40). Taxonomy (NCBI): domain Eukaryota; kingdom Metazoa; phylum Chordata; class Mammalia; order Primates; family Hominidae; genus Homo; species Homo sapiens. The sequence goes on along the minus strand of NC_000011.10, from coordinate 63,927,833 downwards.
GGGGGCAGTTAGGGAGGGGAGGAGCAGTTAGGAAGGGGGCTGGGGGCAGTTAGGGAGCTGGGGGCTGTTAGGGAGCTGGGAGCAGTTAGGAAGGGCTTTCCTGGGGAAGTGGTGCTTGGGACACCTGAGGCTGATTCTCCCAGCAACCATTAGTTAAGCACCCACTGTGTATCAGCCACTGTGAAACTGTGTAAGTTGCTGGGGTAAGACAGGTGCCCCACCCTCTGGGCTCACAGCCTCCAGTAGGTGATAAAAAGGTATGTGGGGTCAGGTGCAGTGGCTCATACCTGTAATCCCAGAACTTTGGGAGGCTGAGGCGGGCAGATCACTTGAGCCCAGGAGTTCAATACTAGGCTGGGCAGCATAGCAAGACCCCGTCTCTATAAAAAATAAAAAGTTAATTGGGTGTGGTGGCACACACCTGTAGTCCCAGCTACCCAGGAGGCTGAGGTGAGAGGAATGCTTGAGCCGGGGAGATTGAGGCTGAGTAAGCTGTGATCTTGCCACTGCACTCCAGCCTGGGTGACTCAATGAGACCCTGCCTCAAAAAAACACAAAAAAACAAAAAACAAAAGCCAGTAGGTGGTTCCATTAGATCGTGATAAGTGATGAGATAGGGAGGGGGCAGATGTCCTGCAGAAGGTGATATCTGAGCTTCATTTCGAAAGGTAAGTAAGAATTAGACAGCAAGGGGGCCAGGCACAGTGGTTCATGCCTGTAATCCCAGCACTTTGGGAGGCCAAGGTGGGTGGATCACGTGAGGCCAGGAGTTTGGGTGGATCACATGAGGTCAGCAGTACAAGACCCATGGTGAAACCCCGTCTCTACTAAAAATACAAAAAAATTACCCAGGCATGGTGGCATGCGCCTAGCAATCCCAGCTACTCGAGAGACTGAGATAGGAGAACCATTTGAACCTTGGAGGCAGAGGTTGCAGTGAGCCGAGATCGCGCCACTGCACTCCAGCCTGGGCAACAGAGTGAGACTGTCTCAAAATAAATAAATAAATGAAAACAAACAACAACAACAAAAAAAACAAAACAAAAAAAAAAAACAGGCCAGGCACAGTGGCTCATGCCTGCAGCACTTTGGGAGGCCGAGGTGGGTGGATCGTGAGGTCAGGAGTTCAAGACCAGCCTGGCCAAGATGATGAAATCCCATCTCCACTAAAAATACAAAAAATTAGCCAGTGTGGTGGCGAGCGCCTGTAATCCCAGCTACTCAGGAGGCTGAGGCGGAGAATTGCTTGAACCTGGGAGGTGGAGGTTGTGGTGAGCCGAGATCACGTCACTGCTGAACAGCGAGACTCTGTCTCAAACAAACAAACAAACAAAAAAAAAAAAAGAGAGAGAGAGAGAATTAGACAGCAAGGAAAGGAGGAGCTTCATTCCAGGTATTGTATATATAAAGACTTGGAGGAAAGAGAGGGGACTCAGGGCATCCTGGGCATTTCCAGTTGCTGAGTGTAGCTAAGGCATATCGTTAAGTGGGATAGTGTTGAGAGGTGTATTATTTCTGAGGCTTTGATTGCAAGTGACAGAAAACAGAAATCAACCAGGCTTAAACAATAAGGAAAAAATGTATTGGCCTACTCCTTACATAACTAAAAGGTCCAGAGGTTCAGGCCAGGTGTGGTGGCTCACGCCTGTAATCCCAGCACTTTGGGAGGCTGAGGAGGGCAGATCACCTGAGGTCAGGAGTTCGAGATCAGCCTGACTAACATGGTGAAACCCCGTCTCTACTAAAAATACAAAAAATTAGCCGGGCATGGTGGTGGGTGCCTGTAATCCCAGTTATTCGGGAGGTCGAGGCAGGAGAATTGCTTGAACCTGGGAGGTGGAGGTTGCAGTGAGCCAAGATTGGGCCATTGCACTCCAGCCTGGGCGACAAGAGCAAAAGTGCATCTCAAAAATAAAAATAAAAGGTCCAGAGGTTCAGTGACTTCAAGTGAGGTTGGTTGGGTGACTTTTTCTCCTCCACCTCCGGGTTCAGGTGATTCTCATGCCTCAGACTCCCATCTTTTTTTTTTTTTTGAGACAGGGTCTCACCCTGTCGCCCAGGCTGGAGTGCAGTGGCACACTCATGGCTTCTGGGTTCAAGCGATCCTCCCACCTCAGCCTCCCTAGTAGCTGGGACCACAGGCACGTGCCACCACACCTGGCTAATTTTTTTTTTTTTGTAGAGGCAGGGGTCTTGTCATGTTGCCCAAGGTGGTCACGAACTCCTAGTTTCAAGCGATTCACCCACCTCTGCCTCCCAAAGTTCTTGGATTACAGTGTGAGCCACTGCACCTGGCCTTGGGTGGCTTTTTCCATCTCCTCGTGGTATTCTCCATAGTGTTGGCTTTCCCCGAAGATCAAAGATGGCAGCCAACACTCCTGTGCTCAGCTTCCTGGTCTTTTGTCTTACATTTACAACATGCTGATTGGACCAGCTTTGGTTTCTAGTTCATTTCTGAAGCATTCATGGTATCCAGGGCCTTGGGAAAGGCTGGCATTGGCATGGGATCAACGCCATAGCACCACATGGATCCCCAAACAAAAAAGGGGAATGGGGATGGATGTCAGGGGACCAGATTTTGAAGGAGATAAGTCATGCTAAGGAGCTTGATCTTAATCCAAGGATAATGAGAAGCAGAGGATTGACTTGATCAGATTGGGTTTTAGAAAGATCACCCTGGAGGCTGGGCGCAGTGGCTCACACCTGTAATCCCAGCAGTTTGGGAGGCTGAGGCAGGTGGATCGCCTGAGGTCAGGAGTTTGGGACCAGCCTGGCCAACACGGTGAAACCCCGGCTGTACTAAAAATACAAAAAAATTAGCTGGGCGTGGTGGCAGGCACCTGTAATCCCAGCTACTCGGGAGGCTGAGGCAGGAGAATCGCTTGAACCCAGGAGGTGGAGGTTGCAGTGAGCCAAGATCGCGCCATTGCACTCCAGCCTGGGCAACAAGAGCGAAACTCCATCTCAAAAAAAAAAAATCACCTTGGCTGGGCATGGTAGCATGTGCCTGTAATCACGGTGACTCAGGAGGCTGAGACAGGAGGGCAGCTTCAGTCCAGGAGTCCAAGACCAGCATGGGCCTTATAGGGAGACTGTATCTCAAAAAATAAAAAAGAAAGATCACCCTGGCTGTCGAATAAAGAACAGATTAGAGGAAGTCAAGAGAGGAGGCAGAGAGTCCAGTGGGGGGACTCTTTCAGGAATAGGATGAAGGCCAGGAGGGGCAGTGGGAGAAGGGACTTCACAAGAGTTGGAGACTGATAGATCAGGAAGTAAAGGAGAGGGAAGAGTGGAGGGCCACTCCCAGGTTTCTACTTTGGATCCCAATGGGGAGAGACATAAAGGGTCTGTAATCCCAGAAATTTGGGAAGCCTAGGTAGGCAGATCACTTCAGGTCAGGATTACGAGACCAGCCTGGCCAGCATGGTGAAACCCCGTCTCTACTAAAAATACAAAAAAATTGTCAGGTATGGTGGTGCATGCCTGTAATCCCAGCTACTCAGGAGACTGAGGCAGGAGAATTGCTTTAACCTGGGAGGTGGAGATTGCAGTGAGCCAAGATCATGCCACCAGACTCCAGCCTGGGCAACAGAGTGAGACTCCTTCTCAAAAAATAAAATAAAATAGACCGGGCATGGTGGCTCACGCCTGTTATCCCAGGACTTTGGGAGGCTGAGGTGGGCACATCACCAGAGGTTGGGAGTTTGAGACCAGCCTGACTAACATGGAGAAACCCTGTCTCTACTAAAAATACAAAATTAGCCGGGCGTGGTAGCACATGCCTGTAATTCCAGCTACTCGGGAGGCTGAGGCAGGAGAATCGCTTGAACCCAGGAGGCGGAGGTTGTGGTGAGCCAAGATCGTGCCATTGCACTCCAGCCTGGGCAACAAGAGTGAAACTCCGCCTCAATGAATAAATAAAATAAAAGGAAGAGGGATAGGGAAGGGGCAGGCTGGGCACATGGTGGTGAAGATTGGTGAAGATTCAGAGATGGTTTTGGACAGGCCTGGGGGACAGCAAGTGATGCTGAGTCCAGAAGGCAATTGGTAGGATATAGGGTTCACAGCCTGGGGTCAGGGGTCTGGGCTGGGGAAGGAGGGGGCTATCCACAGCCCACGGTTTGATATATCTCAGCCAGGGGAATTGAGGGAGTGGATGGAGCCCAAAGGACCCACATAAAGGGTTTGAAGTCCAGCCAGGAAGGGAGCCAGGGAGGAGCTCACATCCTGGAGCTAGAGGTGGCCCTGTCTGTCCAGTCCTGCCCAGAGATGAAGTGAGAACATACCCGCTAAATGTCCTTTGGGTTTAGAGATAACAAAGTCACTGGTGACCTTGGAGGAACGGTTTCTGTGGAGTAGTGGAGTTGGGGAGTGAGTGGGAGGTGAGGACAGGGATGGAGGGGTGTGAACATCTCTTTAAGAAGCACTTTTTTTTTTTAAGGCAGCAATACTGCTAGCTGAAAGGGGCAACTAAGGTGAACATGGGATGAAGGGAGGGTTGGGAGTGGGGTACGGGAGGTGCAGGGGTGTGTGTGTGTTTAGGATGAATGGACTTAAGCAGGTTCATGTGATGAGGGGGGAAGACAAACATGAGTAAGGAGAGGAAAATGAAAATCAAGGTGCTCAGGATTGGGGTGTGTGTGTGTGGTGGGGCTGGCACTGAGGGTGATGCAAAGCCTGGGAGTGAGGTTGGCCTTGAAGGGGGAAGGTCCATCTATGCTACAGGGAGGGGAAGGAGCAGACAAAGGCCATGAAGGGGTTCCTCCCAGATGGCCTCACTTCCCTCTGGAAGTGGGAGGCAAGGTCCTATGCTAAGAGCCATATGGTGGCTGGAGTGGTGGAGGGGGACTGTGGGGAGAGCAGGAAGGGTACTCACTGCTCAGCCAGAAGTCCTGGATGTGCCCTGGCAGAGCAGAGCACCCAGCAGCCCTGAGGGAAGGGCTGGGCATGGGGCATGCAGATGGGTGAGCCAGGCCAGGGTTTGCAGGGTGGGTGGAGCATCCTGGGCCACCAGGTGAGGCTCAGAGAATGGTGAGCCACCTGTTTGGCTGGATCATACATGGGCTAGAAACCCCTTGAGTACTGGGCTGTGAGACCTTTTCCTGGAAGGCAATAGGGAACCGTGGAAGGCTGAGAAGGAATGGGATATAATCGAAGCTATATTTAAAAATTTGTATTCAGTGGCCTGGCGCAGTGGCTCACACTTGTAATCCCAACACTTTGGGAGCCAAGGCAGGTGAATTGCTTGAGATCAGGAGTTCCAGACCCGCCTGGCCAAAATGGCAAAACCCCGTCTCTACCAAAAACACAAAAATGAGCCAGGCGTGGTGGCGCATGTCTGTAATCCCCACTACTCGGGAGGCTGAGGCAAAAGAATCGCTTAAACCTGGGAGGCAGAGGTTACAGTGAGCCGAGCTCATACCACTACATTTCAGCCTGGGCAACAGAGCAAGAGTTGGTCTAGAAAAAAAATATTTGTATTATGTGTGTATAGTGTATAATTAGAGTGATTAGAGAGGTCAGACTGAAGGCTGAAGTTCCAGATACCTATCTGGAACTGCTGACATGTCTAAAGGGAGTATCTTAGTCCATTTTGTGTTGCTGTAACAGAATACCTGAGACTGGGTAGTTTACAAACAAAAAAGTTTATTTGGCTCACAGTTTGGGAGGCTGGGAAGTCCAAGAGCATGGTGCTGGAATCTGGTGAGGACCTTCTTGCTGCATCCTCACATGGCAGCAGGAACTCACATGCAGGGTGGGATTAGGGGGCCAAACTCATCTTTTATCTAGAACCCACTCCCTCAATAACTAACCCACTCTTGAGATAATGGCATTAATCCATTCCTGAGGGCACTGCCTCATGCCCAAAGGTCCCACCTCTCAACACTGTTGTAGTAGGGATTAAGTTTCCAACACATGGACTTTGTGGGAAATGTTCAACCCATAGTTGAGAAGATGTGAAGTGTCCAATGTCATGGAGCAGCTTCTTGCTCCAGAGGTCAGACCCAGGAGCTCAAGGTGGGGCTGGCCCGAACTGGTCCACTGGGCATGGGCTGCCTCATGGAGCAGTGAGCCATGGGCAGAGGGGGCCCTGCTGGGGGTGCTCAAGAGGGGAGCACGGCTTCAGATGAAAGCCAGCATTGATGTTGTTACTCCATTCCATGTGAGATGTCCTTGGATCTTCCTAACAGTCAATGAGGTCAGGATCATCTTGCCCTTTTAGAGATGAAGGACTGAGGCTCAGAGAAGCCAAGTAATTCACCTAAGGCCACGTAGCTAGCAAGAAGCGGAGCCAGGACTCAACCTAAGTCTGAGCTCCTGCCACTTCTCTAGGGACCTCTGGTCCACCTGACTGCACTGGAGGGTGATGGGTGGTTCTGGGGCAGGCCTTGCTGGGGGTGGATTTAAGGCTCAATGACTCCAATGGCCCAGGGGGACCATGATCCAGGCACTTCCCCAGGAACATGGCGCCAGGCTCAGCCTCTCTGGGAGGACATTTGTTCCCAGACTGAGGTGGGACCCCCTTGGTCCATGCGGTCACCGCCAGAGGGCGCAGCTGTTGTCCAGGTGAGGGCAAGGGGAGGCCCCCCACCCCCAATCCCAGTTTCCGGAGAAACCAAGCAGGCTCCCCCTCATGGAGTCTGGGAGCTCCTGTCACCTCTCATCTCAACCCGAGGTCTTGCTGACCCTTCCCCAGGGATGTCAGATTTGCTCAGGGAATCAGATTTCCCCCACGTGGGTGTCTGAAGCCTGGAGTCTCCTTGCTGACCCCGCGCCTGGTCTGCTGCATCCTCCCCCAAGGGCCACTCCCAGATGTGCCTGTCTTGCCTCCCTCTGCCGCCTCCTTGCACGGCCACCGTGCCGGGGTGGTGCCAAGCGCCAGATTGCCACCTCTGTCACCTCTTTCAGCTTCTTCACAACCCTGGGTGGGGGGTGAGGTGGGGTGGGGGAAGGAGTGCCGGCTAGGCCAGGGGGTTCACTGACAGGGCCCAGAAAAGGGGAGGGCAGCACCCTGGGCCACACAGCCTGCCCAGGGCCCCAGTGGGCGGCAGGGGAGGGAGGAACCGAATTCCTGTCTGGGCAGGACTGAGAGGGTGGGGGCCCCAGAGGGAGCTGCCATGGTCCTTCCACTCTAGCCCACCTCCTCCATTTCCCCAGGGTCACCTCCCGCCAGGCCCCCAGTCGATGGAAGCACCTCCCCCCAGCCCCCTAATTGCTCAGCCAGGTTTTGGCTCGGATCCCACCACACTCCCTCCCCAACCCCGGGGCCCTCCCGCTGCCTCTCTCCCTCCCCAAGTTTAGCCCCTTGGCTGTGGCCACTGATGGCCTGGCCAGGGTCCCAGGCAACACACCACAGCGGCCAGGCTCGCTGGGCCGGAGCTCGGGACAGTCCCAGTCTGTCTGGCAGGGCTGGCGGGCTTGGGATTGGCTGGAGCTGCCCCCGCCTGCGGGAGGAGGGAGCGGCAAGGGGAGGCCGGATGGCTTGCCCAAGGTCACCCTCCTTTTCCCTCCCAGCATCCCTGTTCAACCTTTGTCCCCTCGGCCTCACCTTGAGGAAGGAGGAAGCAAGAAACCCAGCAGGCAGAGCGCAGAGAAGCCCGGTGAAGGCAAAGGGCTTCCGACACTTATTCATTCAGCAAACACTGAGTGCCTACTGTATGCCAGGCCCCGAAAGCACAGCAGCAAACAGAGCCCCTGCCCTCATGGGGACACAGCCCAGCCAGAGACAGGCAAGGAAACCACCACAGGCATCATATAGACTTGTGTCTCTGAGCTGTGTGTGTGGCAAGGGCGCTGAGTGGGACTCGGCCTGGCTAGGGCCGGCTTCCCTGGGGACTGGAGGGGTGAGGAGCCTTTTCTGGCCCAGGCAAGGGATGCAGCTTCTGGCGGAGGCCTGTGTAGGGGCTGTGCAAGACCTCAGTTTCCTCATCTGGCACACCGTAGGAAATAAATGTGCCCTGATCACACTTGCTTCCAGGCGGCCTGCGTCCTGGCCTGCAGCCCTCGAAAAGAAGGCGCTGTCGCTTCCAGTGGAAGGGTGAGCCCGAGCTCATCGGCGAAAATGGCGGGGAGGGCATTCCCGGGAGCCCTCCGGCTCGCGCCAAGCTCGGAGGTAGCTCGGGTAGGTGAGGGCCCCGGGTTCTCGGCCGCGCTGCCCAGCTTCCTTGGCCCCTTCCGCTGCCTCAGGCTGCAGGAGAGGAGGGGCTGGTCCCCGGGCTGCCTCTCCTTCCCTCCCCTCCCACACCCCCATGTTCCTGGCCACGTGGCACCTCTGTGCCCCAGGCCTGGGGGAGGACGATTTCTGACCTGGGGACAAGTGGAGCCAGGGAAAGGTGGGTGGGATCTGGGATAACCGCGGAGCCCGGATCCGGTGGCGCAGCCCCGCCCCGCAGCCCCGGGGCGGCAGGGAGGGGGTGCTGTCTCTTTAAGAGCCTTCATGCTGCTGGGAGCAGATGGCCAGGCCGGCCGGGGCCCCTTGTCCTTTGTGTGGCTTCGCACAAAAGAGGGGGCCAGCTGGGGAGGGGGCGGCTGTAGCAGGTGGGAGGGGTGGGGCCTTGCCCCTCCCCCTTCTAACCCTGCACCCTTGCCCCTCCATGAGGGGGTTCTTCACTAGGAATGCGCCTTCCCTCTGGACCCCGTGGCCCCCACAGTCGCCCCCAAACTCCTAGGACACACTTCCTGTGTCGTGGCCCACCTCCTAGGCAGAAGCCTCATTGCATCAGGGCCTAGGGACTCTCCCAACCCCCGCCCCAAGGAATAAACCTCCCCTCCCTGTCCCCACCTCCAGAGCAGAGTCTTCCTTTGGCCCAGAGTGCCTGG